>NC_000001.11:41068986-41372016 GCF_000001405.40 Homo sapiens
AATGTACTTGGACATAAAGAGAGATGTACACAGTAGGAAGAGAGTTTAAGGTTGAATTAATAATAAGTACACAGAAAAATAAACACAAAACAAGGAAATCAACAAGATTTCCCCTGAAAATGAAATGTTGAGCAACAAAGGAAAAGTAATCACGGTATACTACATGGCTCAATTGAGAACAGCATTTAACTAGTTATAATAACAAAACACTGAATTTTGATCTAATTAAAATTATAATATCATGGAGTTGGGGTAGGGAAATATGTGTGGGTGGATAAGGGGCAAGGAGATTAAGAAGAGTTAAATTCTCATCTTCTAGAGTGGGTAGTCATTAGAAAAATAACTAAAAAAGACAGCAATATAGACATGCTATTTAGATACAGAGGTAAATAAAAACGTCAGTTAAATTGAAAGTGATTGCCCCTGGGGAATAGTAATTGACAGGGGGATACGAGGTATGTTTGTTTTGTTTTTGTAATAAGTTGTGTAGACCCTTCATTCCTTTAAACTATGAATGTGTATAACTGACACAAATCAAAATACCTTTTAAAAAGTTCTCTACAGTTAAAAAAATGAAAAGTAGGTAAAAGATAAATGTGGCACATCACATTCAGTCTGTGATAGCTTTTATTGTTAACATTTGAAGGGACTATAAAGGTTATTTGGACTAATCCTATCATTGTATAGATTATAAACTGAGGCTCAGACAGGGAAGTGATATCAAAGTCACACAAAGTGAATCAAGGCCCACTCAAGAGATGGCGACACAATGGTCAATGAAGACTATTACAGCCTGACCATGGCAGGTTCTCTCATCTTCTATCGGTTATGGGAAACTATGTCTGAGCCTTCCCTTCAGGCTCCTACATTCTAGGATTTGATTAGAGACATAATCAACTCCTTCTAAGAGAAAGACAACCCTAACTTCCATGGGGATCATGCCAATTGCTTAAGACTTCCTAGAAGAAGATGGAGTGTCTGCTGAGTAACAGAATAGGGTTTCACACATTTATCTTAACTTACACATTAAAAAATGAGTATTTTTCTTTATAGTTACCCCCTTGGAAGGCTGTGTATCTGCGCACAGTTCTTTTAGTTACTGTCATAGACAGTTTATGAAATGGGAACAGATATGCATAACCCAGGATGATTACCCACCCATTTCATCCACCAGATTTTGCAATAAGTCAACCTTACTTTCATTGTACCAAAGTTTGTCACCATCAATGATTGTTAAAAAAAAAAAATCAGAGAAATTTCATACATATTTTAAGGGTGGCACCATTACTGAAATGCTGGGAGGATTCTGGAAGGTGGAAGGGATCACTCAGAAGGAACACCCCTAACTGGGAAGGAAGGCTATTATTCTAAACTAGGCCAGGGAGCTCTTGGTGCTATCCCTGCATTAGTTCCCCATCCCTGAGTTCACAGAAAATTTACCTAAGTTTGATTGTCTGACATTATTTCAAATGCCAAAGATAAAATTTTTTAAAAATATTTTACCTAGGTTTACAAGTGGAAAGGTGCTAATTACTGGTGTAAGACAAAAGAAAGTGCAAACACTAGGTCTGGGGCTTGTGCGCAGGTAGTCCTGTCATCTGCTCTTACCTGTTGGGGCCTGCATGGCTGAGCTGGGGATGGTGGCAGCATCCTGGGGTACAGTGCTGGTATCCGGTTCAGGAGTGCTGGTTGTTGGTGAGGCAGGTGGTGGGTTCAGCAAAGTCCGAGGTTTCCTCTGTCAAAATGAATGGGAAAAAAATTGCTACCCATGACAGGTCTTTTCATTCCCTATTCTTGGCACTTAATTCACTCATGAAGCAAAAATATATTTATGGATGGAATAGTGTTTTATCTTTGTTCTCTACACAGCATCTGGCTTAAAGCTATACATATACCTGTAGTAGATGCTTAGTAGACATTTTCTGAATCTATATACAAGCCTCTGGTCTTTTTTAGGGTCAAAGCTTAATTTATTATCTTTTATACTAGATTCAATATTATCATATGAAGTTTCAGATCCCTTATTAGTTGGGCAGACAAAAGCAAAATATGCCATAGTTTAAGTCTGCTTTGACATTACTTTGTACTTTATTTCTCTCTTTAAAAATGGAAACAAACAAAAAAAAATAGAAATGACCCTTCTAACTCTACAAACAACTTTACTCTGTCTGCCTCTCTCTTCACCTCATTACCTGCCATTCCCTTAAATCTCCTATTCTACTAAATCTCTATTGCTTCTTTAAAAACTTGCACTTTTACCTGGTCCACACCTTTACAATGATAAGATGTCTCTTTCACTTGAAATGCTCTCTTTTTAAATTTATTTTACAAATTTGTTTATCTAGGAAGCTTTTCTAGTTTTTCTCTAATCATTGTCTCTTTTATGTTACCTCTGTTTTTTGAACTGTTGCATTTGTCAACGTATTGTCATGATATGTTTACATACCAGTATCCCTATTCACCTGGAAATCTTTGAAAGTCTGGTTCTAAGTACCATTCTTAGCATGGTACTTAGCATAAAATAAGTGTAAATAAATTTTTTTAATGAAGCATGCAGTATAGAATAATAGAGGAAATAATAAAGCTGATTTGAGAGAAATCTATTATTTCCCCTACACTGTTCAGGGCAGTTTTTGGGGGAGAAAGATCTCAGGTGTTTTTCTAAGAAATAGTTTCCTAAAAGCCTTTTTTTTTGAGACAGAGTCTTGCTCTGTTATCCAGGCTGGCATGCAGTGGCATGGTTCTGGTTCACTGCGACCTCCACCTCCCAGGCTCAAGCGATCCTCCCACCTCAGCCTCCTGAGTAACTGGGACTACAGGTGTGTGCCAGCACACATGGCTTACTTTTAAATTTTTTGTAGAGATGAGGTCTCATTATATTGCCAAGGCTGGTCTCGAACTTCTCCTGCTCAAGCGATCCTCCTACCTTGGCCTCCCAAAGTGTTGGGATTATAGGCAGGAGCCACCACGTCTGGCTAAAAGCCTTTCTGAATGCAAGGAGAACATAACCATCACAGAGATCCAAAAATCCACTTTTACTAAATGCTTCATGTAGGGATAACTGCTGGGAGCCATATCAACCTGTCTGCCTTCTAGGAGTATGTTCTCTAAAGAGATAGCCCTGATGACAGCAGGCATATATAAGATGGCTTTGCCTGTGAAAGCAATCATGCAAACTCTCATGAAGCATTCAAAACACACATTGAAAGTGAACATCTGCTCATGCTTTTTTACTGCTAAAAGTGAAAATCCAAATACGTAATGAATGAGTCAGGGAAGAAGGGAAATACCACTTCAACTTCAATGAGTTGGTGGTAGGATTTCACAGGGTTCCTAAAGGAAGAAGCCTGGTAAGTTAGGTGCCTGAATAATGTAAACCTATTTGAGATAGGTACATGTACAATATTATATGTATTCATACATTATCTCATTTCCATTTTACAGGTGAGAAAATGGGCTCAGGGCTTTATCCAGAGAAGCCTTCCCAAAGTCACACAGGTGGTAACATATGGAGATAAGATCTAAACCTGTTTGTCTGACTTTAAAGCTTATGCTCTATCCACAAGACTACTCTGCTTCAAAAAGAGATATAAAGCCAGCCATGGTGGCTCACACTTGTAATCCCAGCACTATGGGAGGTCTAGGTGGGAAAATTGCTTGGGCCCAGGAGTTTGAGACCAGCCTGGGCAACATAGCAAGGCCCCATGTCTACAAAAGTTTTTTTTAAAAATTAGCTGGGCATAGTGGCACATGCCTATAGTCCCAGCTACTTGGGAGGCTGAGGTGGGAGGATCGCTTGAGCCCAGGAGGTCAAGGCTGCAGTAAACAATGATTGTGCCACTGCACTCAGCCTGGGTCACAGAGTGAGACCCTGCCTCAAAAATCAAAGCAAAACAAACAAAAAGGGATATAAGGCTCACAGGTGAAGTGGAAGGCATATACACTTGTAGGGGTAGGCAAAAGAGCACGAAGGAGAATTAAGAGTATCAAATGCTAGGACATAAAACACAGGAAAAGATGAGAATGACTGCTTTCAAGAAGGCTGGAAAGAAAAAGGACTTTGGTTACTACGTTCAAGACTTCCTGAGGGAGCAGAGCAGAGGCAATCACAGAATCAGTTTTTGAGTTTTGAATGATCTTAAAGGCCATTTAACCCAACCATCTACCCAATACTTCTAATTCCCTCTCCCTAAAAGATCCCTCCTATAGTCATCCAGTCCCTGATGAAACACCTCTAGTTATAGGGGCTCATTACTTCCATTTTGGGATAGATTTAACTGTTCCTTTTATGTTGAGACAAAGCTTCTCTGCTTGAGTTTCCATTTATTGGTTCTGGTTCTATCTTTGGAGTCCCCCAGATAAGTTTTCTCCCTCTTCTGACTGTCCTCAAGATGTCTTCACATCATCAAAAGCATGGCTTCTCTGGCCTTGGCATCCTTAGGGCCTTCAGCCTCTCCTCTACAACATGAGAATGAGAGGTGGGTAATGAAGGCAAAAATGAATTAGGAGCTGGGTTAGTGGTAACAGATCAAGAGGAGTATTACGTGTTACACAGGAAGATCAGGAGGTGATACTGAGAATTCGAAGCCAAAAATAAGAGACAACTGAGATTGGTAACATCATCACTAAAATCATCCATCCATCCATCCATCCATCCATCCATCCATCCATCCTTCCATCCATGTACCCACCCACCTACCCTCCTACCCATCTTGCATATTCTGAATATTTCCCAAGAGACTGAGATATAAGGTACCACAGGAGAAAAAAAAAGAAGAAAAAGATTAGGTTCTTGACCTTGAGGAGCTTATATTGTACAAGGACTGAAGTCAGTGAAAGCTAATAAACAAGCAAAACAAACCAACAGACAAACAAACTAACCCTAGGGAGGAATTAATGAGATTGGGATGGAGGAATTAATGAGATTGGGATAGAATGCCCAGGGAGAACTGGGTATCATCTCCATACTGGAACTCAGGTATTCTTGTTCAGGCAGGAGATTCATCAGAGAAATCTCCCAACAGTTAAGAAATGAGGGGAGGAGGTGATGCTAAAAGGGGCCCTAGAGAAGCTGCTGACAGAAGTCTTTTTTTTTTTTTTTTTTTATATCAATGCCTTCCTTAGGGAAGATACCCATGAAAAACAGGCCATGACTAAGAGGTAGTACTTTCAGTAACAGTGCTCAGTGAAGGTGACTCAGCTGTCTTTTCCAATACTAGAATACTAGAAGTGTTGTGTCCCTCAGGAAATGTGGGAAAGACTGAAAGAGTGAATATATGCTAGGGAAGCAGTGACCTTGGAAGTAGATCTAAGGGCCAATCTCTGTAGCTTTTGCCATTTACTAGCCATGTGATCTTAGAAAAATCATTTTACATCTGTAAGTCTCAATTTACTATAAAATAACATTAACACTATTTATCTCTTAGGGTTTTGTGAAAATCATGGGATATGTATGTATTGGTGTTTAATACAGTCTGACACTTAGTAGGTATTCAATTTTTTTTAAAGAAGAGGTAGAGATAGCAAAATATATATTTACATTCAACCTGAAAAAGCTGATTAAAAGAAAAAAAAAACATTTACAGAGTTAATTTGTGCTTTCTGTCTACACGCTGGACATCTACTTTGGAAAGGTTAACAAAGAGCAGTTTCTTCCATGTACACTAGACCAGAATCTCCTCAAATATGAGTGACTTTCAAAGTTAAAATTTGTTTCCTATCCTCCCCAATTCTATCTTTAATATTACCAACTCTCAGGTAAGTAGCAAGTAGGGATGACGGTCTAGGAAATTCCTCTTATAAGATACACAAGATAGAGAAGAGGGCCAGATGTGCCCCTTTCCAAGAGAGATGGGTATGGATGAATGACCGCCCCCAACCCTGCCTTTTCTTTTGAGACGGAGTCTCGCTCTGTCACCCAGGCTGCAGTGCAGTGGCACGATCTCCGCTCACTGCAAGCTCCACCTCCCGGGTTCACGTCATTCTCCTGCCTCAGCCTCCCGAGTAGCTGGGACTACAGGCGCCCACCACCACGCCTGGTTAATTTTTTGTATTTTTAGTAGAGATGGGGTTTCATCGTGTTAGCCAGGATGGTCTCGATCTCCTGACCTCATGATCCGCCCGCCTCGGCCTCCCATTAAGTGCTGGGATTACAGGCGTGAGCCACGGCGCCTGGCCGAATGACCCCTTTATAAACCCTTATTCCTTTCTGGGAAACCCACATTTTACCTACCTTGCTGCCAGGTTTGGGACCTCTCTTCTTTGGGAATTTCAAAGGTTCAGCTGTCTTGGATGGGGCAGAGATGGGATGGGAAATTAGGGTCTTGGGTGTCCGGCCCCGCTTCTTTCCTGGTTTACGCCCCCTCTGCCCTGGTTGATGTTCCAAGACAGTTTTGGTGCTGCTGTGGATGCTGGGCTTCTCAGTATTCACATCGGAGGCAGGATAGGGATTCTTTGGAATCACAACTGCAAGAAAAAGACTCATTCTATCACCCTCCCTCCCCCCTGCATTCTCATCCCAGCCAGAAGAAAAAAAGGACTTGCCACTTCTGCTCAGGTAGTTTTGTTCCAAGAAGCTGGTTTCCTGGCATTTGACCTAAATGTTAAGGAAATCTCTGAAGAAGACTGAATTTAGATTGGCTGGAATTGGAGGTTTTAAATTATTTCTGGCAGATGCAGAAAAAATATTAAATTTTTCTTCCTAAGGCACCTTAGACAAATATTGTGACCTAAGTCAAAGGTGAAGTATATAAATATTAATAGAATCATAGGCTCAGAGTTGAAAGGGCTCTTAGAAACCTGTAATTCTGTCCTGCTAAGAATGAAGGTCTGAGGCTCAGAACAAGACACAATGCCCTCCGCAGGTTACATAGTGAGTTGGGATAAGAACTTGTTTTAAAATTGAGCCCTGATAACCATGCCAGGGATTTTCTACATCAATCTACTTGAAGTTTTAGTTTGACTATTGCAGTGAGGAGTAGAGGAACATGTGGAAATATAAATCTGATAGCATCTCTCCTTAAAAATCTTTGCTCTTAAAAACCTTTATTCCTTATTACCTTTAAGGTAAGGTCTAAATTCTTTAACCTGATTTCTAAGGACTTTTTTGACTCTGCCCATCTTGCTCTCCCATTATGACTGATGTCATTTCCTATCATCCAACCCCATGTTCTAGTAGCCCTTATATGTTGAGCTCTCTATTACTCTTTGTCAGACACATATCAATACTCAGTTTTCAACACTGGATCCAGGGCCACCTCCTTATTGAGGACTTCTCTGACCATGTCCCAACTAGGTCAGTGTCCTCTCTTTACTCCCAAAGCATTCTGTAGACATCTATGTTACAGTACTTCTTAATTTTACTCCAATTATTCATTTTTTCCTTAAACTGAGAATTTTTTGAGGTAAGGGATATCTAAGACATCCTACAAATAGTGAGAACTTACTATAAGTTATACACTGTACTAAGCTCTGGGGATAGAACTGTGAACAAACCAGACTTCCACTCTCATGGAGCTTACCTCCTAGTGAGAGAGAAAGAAAATTAAAAAAATAACACAATATACGGTATAATGTCAGGTAGTGCTAAGTGCTGTGATTAAAATTAATGCAGGGTAAGGAAACAAAATTTTAAGGGAAGTCCTCTTTGAGGAGATGACATTTACACAGAGCTCCCGAAAGAGGTAAAGGCACAATGCCTTATGAAGATGTGAGAGGGTATAACAACAAGTGCAAAGAGTCTGAGACAGGAACATGTTAGTGTGTTTGAGAAATTGGAAAGGAGGTCAGTAGAGCTGTAACTGAGTGAGCAAAGGGGAGGGTAGAGAGAAATTAGGTTAGAGAGTGAGTAGCAGTAAAATTGTGTAGGACTGCAGCCTGTGAAAATGAACTGAACTTATTCTAAATATAAAGGGAAGCCACTAGAGGGTTTTGAGCAGGGGAGGGACAAGATATACTTAGAAGGACCACTCTGACTGCTTTGTGAGAGGGACGAGAGTAGAATTAGGGAGACCAGTTAATAAACTATTATATAGGGCAGGTAGAAGATAATACTTCCTAGGCCTCCAGGTAGGAAGTGATAGTTGTGGTAGTACAATGTTAACGATGCAACAACTAGAAAAAGTCAGAGTAATTATTTAAAAAGACACCACAGAGCTGTCATGAGGAAGACACCACAGAGCTGTCATGAGGATTAGATGAACTGGAATTCCAAGGGGTGGCCTCTGAGGTAGCTGATACTGTTTTCTTTCCTGAGGGCATCTGCTAATTTTGGCATAAACTAAGGATCAGGCTTGGCATGTGGTGAGGGGCTCTACTGGAGGAAAGAGAAATGAGAGCTGCTGCGACAAACTGGAAACTTAAGGAGCCCCTGCATGTGGCCAGTTTTTCTCATTGGGTATCTGCTGAATTTTGGGCCAGCACATTGGAACTTCAAAGCTAGACTGAGAGCTTTTAAAAGGCAGAATAAAATCTCCTATAATCTTGTGGTTTTAGGAGATAAGGTTCCACTAGAAGTAGGTAGTATACCCCAAATACATGGCTGATCTCCTCTTAAAGATATTTTAAAACTATAAGGGGTGAGAGGTAATAAAACTAAGCCCCAGACCTCTCAAGGGTAGGACAATCTCCTGCAGTGTTTCAGGGCTAAGGAGCTAGAAATTAGGTTCCCAACCAAGAGCCCAAGAGGGTCCGTGTCCAAAAAACAAGCATAAACCATAGGCACAATCCAGATGTGGTCTAACTCAATCCAGAATTAGATTGAGGTGATCAGGCCCTATCCTATTTAGTCTAGCAGAGGAAAGGAAGAATTCTTTCTCATGGAAGATACCAGTTGGAGCCTCAATAGTTCTTTTAATATAAAACGTTTGGCATACTACAAAAATTATTAGACATAACAGAGTCAAAACAGTGTGATCAGTAATCAAGAGAAAATACAGGCAATAGAAAGAGACCCATATATTATCCAAATAATGGAACAAACAAACAGATTTTTTAAAAATCATAATTAAAATGTTAAAATGTAAAAAAGATGAACAAAATATAAGAAAAGGTAGATAGTACCCACAGAAATATCTATATAAAAAACTAAATGGACATCTTATAACTAAAAAATACAATATTAGGAATAACTCATTGCATGGGTTTAAGGACAGACAAGAGCCAATAGAAAGGATTAATAAACTTGATGAAAAAATAGAAAACATCCAAAATAAAGTACAGTGAGAAAATATGAAAAAATATATTAGAGCATTAGAGATTAAGTAGACACAGTCAATAGGTCCAAAATATGAGTGGCTGCAATCCCACAGGGAGAAGACAGATAGAATGAAGAAAAAGCAATATATGAAAAGGTAACAGCGGAGACTTAATCTCTAACTAATGAAAGACATCAACCCACAGATTCAGGATGCTTATGGATTCAGCAATCCATAGCAGGAAAAATACAAAGAAAACGATACCAAAACACATAATTGTCAAACTGCTGAAAATACAAAAGATGAAATACAGATGAAATAAAAGACAGGGAGGAAATACAAAGATATATTTTAAAAAGCAGTCAGAGAGAAAAACAGCATTACCGGAGCAACAATAAGAGTGATAGCAGGCTCTTTAATAAAACTGTGTAAGCAAGAAGAAGTAGAATAGTATCCTTAAAGGGCTAAAAGAAACAGACTACCAAAGATAGAATTATACACCCAGTGAAAATATCCTTCAGAAATAAAGGTAAAATAATGAGATTTTCAAATAATCAAAGTTGAGAGAATCTGTCACCAGCAGACCTAACTATGGAAAATGAAAAGGAAGTTCTTCAGGCTGAAGGACATTCCAAATGGAAACATGAAACTACAGGAAGGATGAAGAACACGAGAAAGGGTAAACATGTGAGTTGATACAAAAGGATACTGATTATTTAAAACAATAATAAAAATGGCTTGTGCCGTTTATAATATATGTATTAATAAGTTATGTGACAGTAATAGCACAGAGGATGAAAGTGGAGAGTAAATGGAGCCAAACTTTGTTAAGAATTTTGCATTATTTGGGAGTAGTTAGAGCACTTATTTAAGGTAGATTTTAATAAGTCCAATATGCATATTTGCATACGGCAATTAATTAAAGAATTATCAGGGATAAGAATGCATTACTAAAAAGCTAAGGGGAGAGAAGTAGAATAATAAAACATACTTGATTAATCCAAAAGAAGGCAAGAAAGGAGGAATAAAGAAATAAGGAAGAACTTGGACAAATAGAAAACAAAAAAGCAAAATGCAAAATGTTGACTTAAACCCAAATAAATAATTTTATTAAAGAAGGGTGGATTAAGTAAAACAGTCAGTAGGAATAAATGAACAAACCAGACCAAAAAAAACCCCCAGAACTCAATTATATTTGTTTATAAGAGGGCCCTGAGATACAAAGACACTCAAAATATAAAAACACAGGAAGAGAAAAGCAAACAGATGAAAATAATGTACTCTATAAACACTAACCAAAAGAAAACTAATAACATGAATAACCAATTAACCAACCAACCTAACTGATA
Organism: Homo sapiens; assembly: GCF_000001405.40. Classification (NCBI taxonomy): domain Eukaryota; kingdom Metazoa; phylum Chordata; class Mammalia; order Primates; family Hominidae; genus Homo; species Homo sapiens. Next base: position 41,079,530 of record NC_000001.11, read on the forward strand.
CATATACCTAATAAATATAGAATACGCAGAGACAATTTCATCATAGATCCATCAGACATTGGGTAGAGAACAGGACAGTATGAATAACTTTATGCCAATTAAATATGAAAATTGAGATAAAATGTCACTCAAGACCAGCCTGGGCAACACTGTGAGACCCCATCTCTACAAAAACAAATTAGTTGAGCATGGTGTGTGCCTGTAGCCCTAGCTACTCAAGAGGATCGCTTGAGCCCAGGTCGAGGTTGCAGTGAGCTATATCACACCACTGCACTTCAGCCTGGATTACAGGCTCTATCTCTTATCTCTAATGCTCTAAATTTTTTTTGTATTTTCTCACTGTACTTTATTTTGGATATTTTCTATTTTTTCATCAAGTTTATTACTCCTTTCTGTTGGCTCTTGTCTGCCCTTAAACCCATGCAATGAGTTATTCCTAATACTGTATTTTTTAGGTATAAGATGTCCATTTAATTTTTTATATAGATATTTCTGTGGGTACTATTTTTTCTTACACTTTGTTCATCTTTTTTACATTTTAACATTTTAATTATGATTTTTAAAAAATCTGTTTGTTTGTTCCATTATTTACATAATATATGAGTCTCTCTCTTAAAACACAAAACAAAGCAAAAATACCACTGACACAAGAAAAAAACAGAATATGAAGAGCCTCATACATAATAAAAAATTGCAATTGCAATTAAAAATCTTTCCACAAAGAAAATCCCAGGCCTAAACTGGCTTCACTGATGAATTCTAGCAAATATTTAAAGAAGAAATAATAACAAATCTTGCAAAGCCTCTTTTGAAAAATAGAAGAGGGAACACTTCCCATTTCATTTTATAAGGCCAGCATAACCCTCATACCAAAACATGACAAAGATAGTTACAAGAAAAAAAAACTATAGACTAATATCCCTCATGAACATACATCCAAAATCTTTAACAAAGTATTTGTAAATTAAATCTAGGTCTCTCTCTATATGTATATCAGATATACAATCCTATATATATCATATCATAACATGCAGGATAATATATCATAACTAAGTGGGATTTATTTCAGAAATACAAAGGTTAACAATGGAAAATACAATCCGCTGAACACATACATTCACTAAATGAAAGAGAAAACCTATATATCATCTCAACAGATGAAGAAAAAGCATTTGACAAAATTCAACATCCATTCATGATAAAAATTATCAATAAACTAGGAATAAAAGAGAATTTCCTTAGTCTAGATAAACGCATCTATAAAAAACCTATAATCAACAGCATTCTTAATGGTGAAATATTGAACACTTCTTATTGAATTATGGGATAAAACAAAATAACTACTATCACCACTTCTATTCGACATTGTATTGGAGGTCAATGCAATAAGGAAAGGAAAAGAAATAAAATCTATAAATACAGACTGTAAGGGAAGAAGCATTACTTGTACGTGACATGATTGTTTACATAAATATTCCTCCTTACAAGTCTACAAAATCTATTAAAATAAAAAAATGAATTTGGAAAGGTCACTAGATACAAATCTAATATTTAAAAATCTAATGTATTTCTCTAAATAGCAACAATTTGAAAATTATTTAAAAATCCACAAAATCAAATAACATCAAGTATTCAGTGAAAGATGGGCAAGACATCTACACTGAAAACTATAAAATATTGATAGGGGAAATTAAAGAAGATCTAGATATCACATGGCCATGAAGGGATATGTTACATTCATAGATTGAAAGCATCACCACTGTTAGGTGTCAACTCTCATCAAACTGATCTAGAGTCAATGCAATTCCAATAGAAATCTCAGCAGTTTCTAAAAAATGTGTGGTGTATGTATGCAAATTGACAATTTAATTCTAAATTTTAATAGGAAATGCAAAGGACCTATAGTAGCCAAGTCAATCTTGATGAATAACAGCAAAGCTGGAGAACATGCATCATCAAATAGCAAGATTCATTATAAAGTTACAGTAATTGACACATATATTATTTGTTGGGCATGGTGTTTCATGCCTGTAACCCCAGCACTCTGGGAGACTGAGGCAGGAGGATTGCTTGAGGCCAGGAGTTTGAAACCAGCCTTGCAACATAGCATGACCCAGTCTCTACAAAAATTTTTTAAAAAATTAGCTGGGCATGGTGGTGCACACCTGTAGTCCCAGTGACTCTGGAGGCTGAGGTGGGAGGATTACTTAAGCCCTGGAAGTCATGGCTGCACTGAACCATGATGGTGTCACTGCACTCTAGTCTAGGTGACAGAATAAGACTCTGTCTTAAAAAAAAAAAGACATATATTATTGGTGCAAGGGTAGATGAATGAATCAACAGAGCAAAATAGAGAGTTCCAAAATTAACTACACATATATAGTCATCTGATTTATGATAAATGTGCCCTTGCAATTCTGTGGAGAGAAAAAATGGTCTTTTCAATAAAACTGTGGTGAGTCAAATAGGTATCCATATGGAAAAAAATTAAACTTGAGTTCTATTTCACACCAGATACAAAAATTAATGTGAAGGCTAAAACATCAAATTTCTAGAAGACAAATGAGAATACCTTCAAAACTATGGGGGCGGCCAAAGATTTATTAAAACAGGACACAAAAAGCACTAATTATCAAAGAGTGAAGATATATATGGCCTCATTAAAACAAAATATTTCTCTTAATCAAAGGACATTAAGAAAATGAAAAAAAGCAACTCCAAGACACATAATTGTCAGATTCACCAAAGTTGAAATGAAGGAAAAAATGTTAAGGGCAGCTAGAGAGAAAGGTCGGGTTACCCACAAAGGGAAGCCCATCAGACTAACAGCGGATCTCTCGGCAGAAACTCCACAAGCCAGAAGAGAGTGGGGGCCAATATTCAACATTCTTAAAGAAAAGAATTTTCAACCCAGGATTTCATATCCAGACAAACTAAGCTTCATAAGTGAAGGAGAAATAAAATACTTTACAGACAAGCAAATGCTAAGAGATTTTGTCACCACCAGGCCTGTCCTAAAAGAGCTCCTGAAGGAAGCACTAAACATGGAAAGGAACAACTGGTACCAGCCACTGCAAAAACATGCCAAAAACATGCCAAACAGCATCATCCTGATACCAAAGCCGGGCAGAGACACAACAAAAAAAGAGAATTTTAGACCAATATCCTTGATGAACATTGATGCGAAAATCCTCAATAAAATACTGGCAAACCGAATCCAGCAGCACATCAAAAAGCTTATCCACCATGATCAAGTGGGCTTCATCCCTGGGATGCAAGGCTGGTTCAATATACACAAATCAATAAATGTAATCCAGCATATAAACAGAACCATCGACAAAAACCACATGATTATCTCAATAGATGCAGAAAAGGCCTTTGACAAAATTCAACAACTCTTCATGCTAAAAACTCTCAATAAATTAGGTATTGATGGGACATATCTCAAAATAGTAAGAGCTATCTATGACAAACCCACAGCCAATATCATACTGAATGGGCCAACACTGGAAGCATTCCCTTTGAAAACTGGCACAAGACAGGGATGCCCTCTCTTACCACTCCTATTCAACATAGTGTTGGAAGTTCTGGCCAGGGCAATTAGGCAGGAGAAGGAAATAAAGGGTATTTAATTAGGAAAAGAGGAAGTCAAATTGTCCCTGTTTGCAGAGGACATGATTGTATATCTAGAAAACCCCATTGTCTCAGCCCAAAATCTCCTTAAGCTGATAAGCAACTTCACCAAAGTCTCAGGTTACAAAATCAATGTACAAAAATCACAAACATTCTTATAAACCAGTATCAGACAAACAGAGAGCCAAATCATGAGTGAACTCCCATTCACAATTGCTTCAAAGAGAATAAAATACCTAGGAATCCAACTTACAAGGGAAGTGAAGGACCTCTTCAAGGAGAACTACAAACCACTGCTCAATGAAATAAAAGAGGACACAAACAAATGGAAGAACATTCCATGCTCATGGGTAGGTAGAATCAATATCATGAAAATGGCCATACTGCCCAAGGTAATTTATAGATTCAATGCCATCTCCAACAAGCTACCAATGACTTTCTTCACAGAATTGGAAAAAACTACTTTAAACTTCATATGGAACCAAAAAAGAGCCCGCATCGCCAAGTCAATCCTAAGCCAAAAGAACAAAGCTGGAGGCATCACGCTACCTGACTTCAAACAATACTACAAGGCTACAGTAACCAAAACAGCATGGTACTGGTACCAAAACAGAGATATAGATCAATGGAACAGAACAGAGCCCTCAGAAATAACACCGCATATCTACACCTATCTGATCTTTGACAAACCTGAGAAAAACAAGCAATGGGGAAAGGATTCCCTATTTAATAAATGGTGCTGGGAAAACTGGCTGGCCGTATGTAGAAAGCTGAAACTGGATCCCTTCCTTACACCTTATACAAAAATTAATTCAAGATGGATTAAAGACTTAAACGTTAGACCTAAAACCATAAAAACCCTAGAAGAAATCCTAGGCATTACCATTCAGGACACAGGCATGGGCAAGGACTTCATGTCTAAAACACCAAAAGCAATGGCAACAAAAGCCAAAATTGACAAGTGGGATCAAATTAAACTAAAGAGCTTCTGCACAGCAAAAGAGACTACCATCAGAGTGAACAGGCAACCTACAAAATGGGAGAAAATTTTCGCAACCTATTCATCTGACAAAGGGCTAATATTCAGAATCTACAATGAACTTAAACAAATTTACAAGAAAAAGACAAACAACCCCATCAAAAAGTGGGCGAAGGACATGAACAGACCCTTCTCAAAAGAAGACATTTATGCAGCCAAAAAATACATGAAAAAATGCTCACCATCACTGGCCATCAGAGAAATGCAAATCAAAACCACAATGAGATACCATCTCACACCAGTTAGAATGGCGATCATTAAAAAGTCAGGAAATAACAGGTGCTGGGGAGGATGTGGAGAAATAGGAACACTTTTACACTGTTGGTGGTACGGTAAACTAGTTCAACCCTTGTGGAAGTCAGTGTGGCGATTCCTCAGGGATCTAGAACTAGAAATACCATTTGACCCAGCCATCCCATTACTGGGTATATACCCAAAGGACTATAAATCATGCTGCTATAAAGACACATGCACACGTATGTTTACTGCAGCACTATTCATAATAGCAAAGACTTGGAACCAACCCAAATGTCCATCAATGATAGACTGGATTAAGAAAATGTGGCACATATACACCATGGAATACTATGCAGCCATAAAAAATGATGAGTTCATATCCTTTGTAGGGACATGGATGAAATTGGAAATCATCATTCTCAGTAAACTATCGCAAGAACAAAAAACCAAACACTGCATATTCTCACTCATAGGTGGGAATTGAAGAATGAGAACACATGGACACAGGAAGGGGAATATCACACTCTGGGGACTGTTGTGGGGTGGGGGAGGGGGGAGGGATAGCTTTAGGAGATATACCTAATGCTAAATGACGAGTTAGTGGGTGCAGCACACCAGCATGGCACATGTATACATATGTAACTAACCTGCACATTGTGCACATGTACCCTAAAACTTAAAGTATAATAATAATAATAAATAAAATAAAATAAAAAACAAGAAAAAGCAAAAAAAGAAAAAGAGTTAAGAGACTACCACGAACAAGTTGGGTCTATACTATAAATGCAAAGATAATTCAATATTAGGAAATCAATCAACAGACCTTATTAATAGGTCTAAGAAAAAAAATTATGTGATGACTCTATTAATGCTGGAAAGGTTTTTGACAAAATTAAGCACTCAAGAAAATATAAATAGTTTGCTATGTGATTAACATGATAATACATATATGCCAAAATCCTAAAGGAAACATCTTACTGGAGAAACACAAGAGGTATTCCCACTAAGGTCAGGAATAAAGTACTGATACCTACTAGCTCCACTAATATTTAACATTGCACTGGAGGTATTAACCAAAGTATTAAAGATAAGAGAAACAAATTAGAAGCCTAAGAATTGGAAAAGATAAAGTAAAACAATCTGTATTTGTAGATGACATGACAGGGTATGCGCCATCCAAAAAAGTAAGCACTAGACACATGTGGCTCCTGAGCACTTGCAATGTGACTAGTTCAAACTGAGATGTGCTGTAAATATAAAATGCACACTGGATTTTGAAGACACAGTAGAAAAAGAATGTAAACTATTTCACTAATAATGTCTTATATTGGTTACATATTGAAATGATAATGTTTTGGATATTATGGATTAAATATAGTATTAAAATTAATTTCACCTGCTTTTTTTTTTTTTTTTTTTTGAGATGGAGTCTTGCTCTGTTGCCCAGGCTGGAGTGCAGTGGCGTGAACTCGGCTCACTGCAACCTCTGCCTCCTGGGTTCAAGCGATTCTCCTGCCTCAGCCTCCTGAGTAGTTGGGATTACAGGTACCCACCGCCACGCCCAGCTAATTTCTGTATTTTTAGTAGAGATAGGGTTTCACCACATTGGCCAGGATGGTCTCGATCTCCTGACCTTGTGATCTGCCCGCCTTGGCCTCCCAAAGTGTTGGGATTACAAGCATGAGCCACCACGCCCAGCCTTTCTTTTTAAAATGTACTACAAAAATTTTAATTATGTACATAGCTCAAATTACATTTCTATTGGACAGTGCATCCCTATAAAATCAGTGATGAAGCTAGCTCAAACAGTGAAAGAATTGAGCAAGGTAACAGAATACGTAACTGACATACAAAACTCAACAGCCTTCATATATAGCAAATCAGTTAGATAATGTAACAGAGGCAGAAATACTCAGGAACAAAGTTAACAGGAAATATGAAAAATCCATATGAAGATAATTACAAAACACTGCTGAAAGACACACAAGTAGACTTGACAAAAAGACATCTATCCTTGTTCTTTTATTTTTCAATATCATCAAGTTGTTAGTTCTAAGTTAACTTACAAACTTAATGCAACCTCAATAAAAATACAAAGAAACCTTTCCCCACTGCCCCTGCCCTGCCCTGCCCCTGGAGCTGGATAAGTTGACATTAAACTTTGTATGTATTAAAAAAAACCACAACCAGGCACTGTAGCTCACACTGGTAGTCCCAGCTACTCAGGAGGCTGAGGTGGGAGGGTCACTTGAGGCTAGGAATTCAAGACCAGCCTATGCAACATAGCAAGATGCTGTCTCTAAACAACAGCAACAACAACAAACTAGCTGGGTGCAGCAGTGCATACCTGTAGTACCACCTGCTTGGGAAGCTGATCGTTTGAGCTCAGGAGTTGGAGACCAGCCTGAGCAATATAATGAGACCCTTGTTTCAAAAAACAAAACAAAACCAAAAAAAAAAAAAAAACCCCAAACACACAAAGCAGAAACCATAACAATAACTAAGAAAACAACAGAATGTGAGAGCTGAGGGAATTAGCCTTAGCAGACATTAAAATACAAAGCTTCTATTATGAAAACTGTGGTACTGGTACACCAATGGACAGGCACACCAATGGAATAGAAAAACAGACCCAACTATACACATAAATCTGGGATATGATAAAAGCAGTATCTCAAATTACTAGGGCAAAGATGAAGACATTAATAAATGATAGTGGAACAATGGATGGCCACTGGAAAAACACAAATTAGATCTATTTCTCACACCAAATACAAGAATAAATTCCAAATGGATCAGAGATGTAACAATAAAAAAGAAAAACAATATATAAGTACTAGAGGAAAATATAGGTGAATTCCTATAATGAAAGGTTAATAAATTTAACTATAAAATTAAAACTTTTGCATGAGAAACAAATGAAAAACTACCATAAGCAAAGTACAAATTGGGAGAAAATATTTACGATATATGTTACAATAAAAGGGTGTATCTAACATACAAAGGACTTTTAAAATTGAGAGGAAAAAAGACCTATAATCACACGGGTAAATGAGCAAAAGAAATGACAACCTGTAAAAGAAAAAAAAAAGATAAAATGGCACCCTAGACATATGAAAAGATGTTAAACTTCACTCATAAAAAGAGAAATGCAAATTAAAATTATATTGAGAAACCAGTTCTCACCCATCAGATTGGCAAAAAAGTCAAAAGCTTGATAATATACTCTGTTGGTGAGGCTACGGGAAAACAAGCACATTGCTGGTGAGAATGAAAACTGGTAGCATCTCTGTGGAAGGGAATTTGGCAGTATCTAACAAAACTATATTTGCCTTTACCCTTGGACCCAAGAATACCGCTTCTGGTCATTTACCCTGAAGATACACCTCCAAATATGAAAATACATGTGTACAAGTTTATTAAGCAATACATATACAGTATTACATATTATTGTACAATATACTATATATAATAATCTATACACTATATATAGTTTCTGGTGTGTGTGTGTGTGTGTGTGTGTGTGTATTTATTTATGCAATGGTAGCATTATTTGTAATTGTAAAATACCAGAAACTATATTGATTGTATACACACACACATACACAATGGAGTAGTCTACAGCTTAGAATAAGGGAGATCTTTGTGAACTTGCAAAGGAGTGACTCCCAGGGTATACTGTTAAGTAAAAGAAGAAAGCAAAGTACAAAAGAGAATATAGAGCATGCTAACTTTTGTGTAAGAAGGGTAGGAAAACACACATAAATTTGCTTACTTTTGTAAAATGAAACATTGGAGGATAAACCAGAAAATAGTGAAAGTGATTGCTTAAAGAGGGTAGTGGTGGTGGAAGGAATAAGGTAGAAGAGAAAGGGTGGACGATACTTCTCTTAGTAAATGTTTTGTATGACTTTTGACTCTTGGAAGCAAGTTAATTTTCTATATATTCAAAAAATAAAATTAAATCCATAAAGATAAGGACAAAAACTGAACCTTAAACTGAATGCAAACAGGAACAAATAAACTCAACTATATTTTATTTTTTTAGGGATAGGGTCTGACTCTGTCACCTAGCCTGGTGTGCAGTGGCTCAATCATAACTCGTTGCAGCCTCGGACTCCTAGGCTCAAGCGATCCTCCCAGCTTAGTTTCCTGAGTAGCTAGCTGGGACTACAGATGTGTGTCCCCATGCCTGGCTAATTCACAACTGTGTTTTAAATGAATAACATAATTACACTGAAGGAAAAAAAGTAATTCAAGTAATTTTTGAACAGAGTACTTTAAGTACTTTAACCATCTAAGGAGGAAAAAAACGTAAACAAATCTTGAACTCTTCTAAGAGTTTTTCCATAGTGGTATGCATATAGAATTCTGAAACTTATTTTATGTGTATTATAGGATGTTGGCGGAAACTAAGATTCATACTGTAGAAAAAGGGGAGATGTAAAATATTTACCAACCTGTAAATGATGGGCATGTCCCAGGAGTGTCATTGAACAGATTTCTCTTCTCTGTCTACACTCTAGTCCTTAGGTAAGTGGTTCTTAAACTTTAGTCTGCATGGCTTGTTAAAATTCAGATTGCTGAGCCCCAGCCTCTGAGTTTCTGCTTTAGTAGGTCTGGGAATTTGCTTTTCTGGGCAGTGCTGATGCTGCTGGTCTGGGGACCACATTTTCAGAACACAACCCTAGGATCTCCTCTAGCCTCATGGCTTTAAATTCTACCTATAATTAAAACTTCCAAGTTTATATTACCAGCTTAGAAATTTCCCTTAAACTTCTTGTTTTTAATACAATTTCCCACTTGAAAATCTATTAGACATTCTAAGCATAGTATATCTGCAACTGAAGTTCTGACTCACCTATCTCAGTCCATAGACTTGTTCTTCCCAAGACTTCTCTATCTCCTTTCAAATGGCACAAGCTAAAAACCTTGGAGTTGTCCTTGACCCCTCTCTTCTTCTTATATTCCTGTCCTATTAGCAGTCCATGAGCTATAACTTGAAAATGTATTAACAATCTGATCGTTTTTCATAAGTCCCCTTCATACTTCTTTGGCCTAAGCCACCATCATCTCTAACCTGGGTTTTTACAATAAGCCTTTTGAATGGTTTGTCTCTGCTCCTCTACTCTAATTTGAACACAGCTACCAGAGTGAGCCTGTTAAAACATGCTTCAGATCTCACCATTCCTTTGCTCAAAACCTTCAATAGCTTCCCCTTTCACTCAGAACTAAAGCCAAGGTCCTTATGCTGAACTTTGGAGCCCTATATGATCTGATTCCTCATTATTTTTCTGACCTACTTCCTACCACTCTCCCTTGATTATTCCACTCTAACCATGTTGTCTCTTTTTTTTTTTTTTTTTTTTTTGAGACAGAGTCTTGCTCTGTTGCCCAGGCTGGAGTGCAGTGGTACAATCTCAGATCACTGCAACCTCTACCTCCCAGGTTCAAGCGAGTCTCGTGCCTCAGCCTCTCGAGTAGCTGGGACTACAGGCATGTGCCACCATGCCTGGCTAATTTTTGTATTTTTAGTAGAGATGAGGTTTTGCCATGTTGGCCAGGCTAATCTCAAGCTCCTGGCCTTAACTGATCCACCTGCCTCACTCTCCCAAAGTGCTGGGATTACAGGTGTGAGCCACCATGCCTGGCCAATATTGTCCTTTTTGCTAGTGATTCTCAAACTCTTTGGTGTCAAGACCGCTTTACACTCTTAAAATTTATGGAGGTCCACAAAGAGTTGTTATGTGTTGTATCTATCAACATTTATCATATTAGAAATTAAAACTTAGATACAATATGAATTTTAAGTTAACACAAACATGTTAACACCTTTTTATGAAATTATATTTTCCAAAACAATAAGTTTAGTGAAAAGAACATTATTTTATATTTTTGCAAATCTCTTCATCTCTGATCTAACAGAAGGCAGTTAGATGCTCATATCTGCTTCTGCATTCAATCTGTTGCCATACGTAATTTTTGGTTGAAGTTACAAAGAAACTCCAGACTCATGGGATATGTAGCTGGAAAAGGGAGGAGTACTGAAATAACCTTTTCAGGTAATTGTGGATATTCTCCTTTGATTCTAAACCAAAAAAAAAAAAGATAAATGCTTGAGGTGATTGATATCCCAATAACCCTGATTTAATCCTTACACACTGTATGCCTGTATCAAAATATCACATGTACCCCATAAATATGTATAACAATTACATACCTACAATTAAAAATAATTTTTTAAATTAAAAGTTAAAAAAATTAAAAAGCTCACTCTGAAACTCAGCAAGTGGTAGTTTCTTTAAAAATGTTAGTTGAAGGCCAGGCGCGGTGGCTCACGCCTGTAATCCCAGCACTTTGGGAGGCTGAGGCGGGTGGATCATGAGGTCAGGAGATCGAGACCATCCTGGCTAACACGGTGAAACCCCATCTCTACTAAAAATACAAAAAATTAGCTGGGCGCAGTGGCGGGTGCCTGTAGTCGCAGCTACTTGGGAGGCTGAGGCAGGAGAATGGTGTGAACCTGGGAGGCGGAGCTTGCTGTGAGCCAAGATAGCACCACTGCACTCCGGCCTGGGCGAAAGAGCGAGACTCCGTGTCAAAAAAAAAAAAAAAAAAAAATGTTAGTTGAGAGACACAACAAAAAAAGACACTTTTAGACCAATATCCCTGATGAACATGGATGCAAAAATCCTCAATAAAATACTGGCAAACCGAATCCAGCAGCATGTCAAAAAGCTTATACATCATGATCAAGCTGGCTTCATCCCTGGGATGCAAGGCTGGTTCAACATACGCAAATCAACAAACGTAATCCATCATATAAACAGAACTAAAGATAAAAACCACATGATTATCTCAATAGATGCAGAAAAGGCCTTCGACAAAATTTAACAGCATTTCATGCTAAAAACTCTCAATAAACTAGGTATTGATGGGATGTATCTCAAAATAATAAGAGTTATTTATGACAAACCCACAGCCAATATCATACTGAATGAGCAAAAACTGGAAGCATTCCCTTTGAAAACTGGCACAAGAAGGGAAGCCCTCTCTCACCACTCCTATTCAACATAGTGTTGGAAGTTCTGGCCAGGGCAATCAGGCAAGAGAAAGAAATAAAGGGTATTCAATTAGGAAAAGAGGAAGTCAAATTGTCCCTGTTTGCAGATGACATGATTGTATATTTAGAAAACCCCATCATCTCAGCCCAAAATCTCCTTAAGCTGATACGCAACTTCAGCAAAGTCTCAGGATACAAAATCACAAGCATTCCTATACACCAATAACAGACAAACAGAGAGCCAAATCATGAGTGAACTCCCAATCACAATTGCTTCAAAGAGAATAAAATACCTAGGAATCCAACTTACAAAGGATGTGAAGGACCTCTTCAAGGAGAACTACAAACCACTGCTCAATGAAATAAAAGAGGACACAAACAAATGGAAGAACATTCCATGCTCATGGATAGGAAGAATCAATATTGTGAAAAATGGCCATACTGCCCAAGGTACTTTACAGATTCAATGCCATCCCCATCAAGCTACCAATGACTTTCTTCACAGAATTGGAAAAAACTACTTTAAAGTTCATATGGAACCAAAAAAGAGCCCGCATTGCCAAGACAATCCTAAACCAAAAGAATAAAGCTGGAGGCATCACGCTACCTGACTTCAAACAATACTACAAGGTTACAGTAACCAAAACAGCATGGTAGTGGTACCAAAACAGAGGTATAGACCAATGGAACAGAATAGAGCCCTTGGAAGTAATACCACACATCTACAACCATCTGATCTTTGACAAACCTGAGAAAAACAAGAAATAGGGAAAGGATTTCCTATTTAATAAATGGTGCTGGGAAAACTGGCTGGCCATATGTAGAAAGCTGAAACTGGATCCCTTCCTTACACCTTATACAAAAATTAATTCAAGATGGATTAAAGACTTAAATGTTAGACCTAAAACCATAAAAATCCTAGGAGAAAACCTAGGCAATACCATTCAGGACATAGGCATGGGCAAGGACTTCATGTCTAAAACACCAAAAGCAATGGCAACAAAAGCCAAAATTGACAAATGGGATCTAATTAAACGAAAGAGCTTCTGCACAGCAAAAGAACTATCAGCAGAGTGAACAGGCAACCTACAAAATGGGAGAAAATTTTTGCAATCTACCCATCTGACAAAAGGCTAATATCCAGAATCTACAAAGAACTTAAACAAATTTACAAGAAAAAATCAAATAACCCCATCAAAAAGTGGGCAAAGGATATGAACAGCCACTTCTCAAAAGAAGACATTTATGCAGCCAACAGACACATGAAAAAATGCTCATCATCACTGGCCATCAGAGAAATGCAAATCAAAACCACAATGAGATACCATCTCACACCAGTTAGAATGGCGATCATTAAAAAGTCAGGAAACAACAGGTGCTGGAGAGGATGTGGAGAAATAGGAATGCTTTTACACTACTGGTGGGACTGTAAACTAGTTCAACCATTGTGGAAGACAGTGTGGCGATTCCTCAAGGATCTAGAACTAGAAATACCATTTGACCCAGCAATCCCATTACTGGGCATATACCCAAAGGATTATAAATCATGCTGCTATAAAGACACACGCACACATATGTTTATTGCGGCACTATTCACAATAGCAAAGACTTGGAACCAACCCAAATGTCCATCAATGATAGACTGGATTAAGAAAATGTGGCACACGTACACCATGGAATACTATGCAGCCATAAAAAAGGATGAGTTCATGTCCTTTGTAGGGACATGGATGAAGCTGGAAACCATCATTCTCAGCAAACTATCGCAAGGACAGAAAACTAAACACCGCATGTTCTCACTCATAGATGGGAATTCAACAATGAGATCACTTGGACACAGGGTGAGGAACATCACACACGGGGCTGTCATGGGGTGGGGGGAGGGGGGAGGAATAGCATTAGGAGATATACCTAATGTAAATGACGAGTTAGTGGGTGCAGCACACCAGCATGGCACATGTATACATATGTAACAAACCTGCACGTTGTGCACGTGTACCCTAGAACTTAAAGTATAATAATAATAAAAAAAGTTAATCAAAATGTGAAAGTTGAAATAATACTAATAAACTTTTCATATTCTGTTAATATTAAAATCTTTTAGTCTATCTTGTACTTTGAATGAATTTTTAATCCATGCCTGATTTTGTAATATCATGCATTGGTCATTTGTAAAACACTGTTTCACTGAGTTATACAGATTTCCCAAATATCAGCATATTTTATTATTCAGTATCAAAAATACACATTAGTTGGTATCACCACAATCTCATCAGAAAAGTCTTTAAGTACGGGGAAGCTGTCAAGATTATGGTGGCAGGCACAAGGTTTCCAAAATTCTAATTTTCATTTGAAAGCTTGAATTTTATCATTGCTAACAAATGCTATTAGCTGTTTTCTCTAAAGTGACAGGCTCACTTAGTTCATTTTTGAGAAAACGTCTGCCAAACACCCAAATCTGAATAACGAGTTTGTCTTGTTAGTCATTCTTTCAAGTAAAAATGGAGTTTCATAAAAAAGTAGCTAGTTCAGCTGACAGCTCAATTATACAAGCGTTTTTTCTTCAGGCAACCACAGTACATCAGTACGCACCAGAATTGCACTAGTCATACTTCTCATTTCATCGCAAAGAATGTTAAGATATCTACTCAAAGGCTGGGATTTAATAAGCTTAATAAATTTTACTGCTTCATCAAGGACACTGTTAAGTGAACTTGGCTTATGCCCGAGTTGCTTTTTGGTTTTGTTTTGGTCCCCCTGCAACATGTGGCAATCAAGTATATCATTACTATTACTATAGTTGGTGCCTTGATTTGTGTCAAGGTGCCAGCAGTTTTACTTACCATTGCTTTTATACCAATCAATGCAAATATTAACCCAGTAAAAAAGGCAAGTAGAGTTAACATTATGAAAATGGTCTTGACCTTGAAGATGCTGTGAAAGGGTCTTGGGGATCCCAAGGATCCAAGGAGTACAGTTTGAGAATTGTTAAACTAAGCAAACTATTGCTTTGGTGCACTTAAACTTTCAACTCTCTTTACTAAGAAAGAATTTCTTTCTCCCTCTTAGTGGTAGATAAAATAATTTTTTTAAAAAGAAAAAAAAGAGCCAGGCATCATGGCTCACGCCTGTAATCCCAGCACTTTGGGAGGCTGAGACTGGTAGATCACCTGAGGTCAGAAGTTTTGACCAGCCTGGCCAACATGATGAAACCCCGTCTCTACTAAAAATACAAAAATTAGCCGGACTTGGTAGCAGGTGCCTGTAATCCCAGCTAATCAGGTGGCTAAGGCAGGAGAATTGCTAGAACCCAGAAGGCGGAGGTTGCAGTGAGCTGAGATTGCACCATTGCACTCCAGCCTGTGGAGCAGAGTGAGACTCTGCCTCAAAAAAAAAAAAAAAATTCTTTTTCCTAGACAGCCATATCTCTGCTCAAATGATACCTTTCAGTGAAGCTTTCCCTCATCATCCTATATAAAACAATACCTCCAACCCATCACCCCCAAACCCCTGGCACTCTCTATTCTCCTTCTTCTGCTTTACCTGTCTTTATTTTTTCTCCAGATAAATTATCGCTACCAGTTTACCTGTTTATGTCTCTCTCAACTAGAATACAACTTCTTAAGGACTATGTTGTTATGTCCACATCTTACAATTATGCTTTACACATGGTGGGTGCTCAATAAATGTTAGTTGAGTGAATAAATGTAACCCATACTCTAGCATTTGATTCTAGAATTCTGCTTCACTTTGACTGCTTTTTCAGTGGTTTATGTTTTATTTCCCTAGCAGACTACAAATTCTCAAAACAGAGGCTAACCTATATTCCATGTAGTCCCCAAAGCTTTGGGCCTTGGATATACTATGTGCAGTCTTTTTCCTAGGGAATATTTGCAGTCCCACAGTCACAATTCTGAGTAAAACCTATTCCCAAGTGACAGCACACGTATTGGGCAGTGAAAACTGGGAAAAAAATTAGACATATTTCCTCTGGTTTGTAATAAGTTCTACTGTAGTTATGAATGTTGTAACTGGTATATGACAGTGCTGACCTCCTACCTCCTGGGGTCTATGTTTTCTATATAAAAATATGCTGGAAGCAGGAAAATGTGCCATTCTGATGCTATATTCTGGTCGATTTTAAGCAGATGATTCTTGGTTGAACATGCGAATATATATATTTCAAATGAGCAGATTTGGCTCTGTGCAGCCAAGATTCTTAAAAATATTCTTTCTTTGACACCGTCTTGTATTTCTGGGAAACTAAGGATACGTTCCTTGGCATTGAGAAAAATGCTTAAGTAAGTTTATCATATCATTATTAAAAAAGAAAATTTGGACCATTAAACTAGGGGAATAATTAAGCAAACAATTGCATATCCATTCAATTGACTCTTACATAATAACTTAAAATGATGGTTATAAAGATTGTATAACAACACAGAACAAGATAGATAATATTTAGTGAAAAACAGAATAGGATAGCATACAGTAAAATATACAGTGTGATTAAACTGCATTTTTAAAAACTGTAAAAAATAAAAACCAGAATAGAATATACAAAATGTTAACAATAGCAAAAGAGGTTAGGAAGGTAGGAAGCTCAGGTTAACACTAGATTCAATAATACTAGCAATAATAGGAACAGACACTGAACTTTTATGACTTATTACAATTATTAACGGAATGATTTACCCAACACAGTCTTAGAATACTGAAAGTTGGAAGCAACCTTATGTCATCTAGTTTAACCTTTTTAAAAAATAGATGGAGAAACTAAACATTATAGAGGAAAAATACTTGCTTAAGATCTCCCAGGAAATAAATAGCAAAGGTGGAGCTGGACATTTGAACATGGTGTGTGATTTTAAGGAAGTTACTTCATTTCTCTGCATTGTAGTTTCTTCATTTGTAAAATAGATAATAGTACTTACCTACAGATTATTGTCAAGATTACATGAAATAACAATTGAAGAGATCAGTCCGGCACTGGCTACATAGTGAACGCTCAATAAACCTTAGCCTTGTTCTCATCTGACTGTAGTGAACTTTCTGCTACTATGTTGCTACGTGGGAGGTGAAGAGCAGGGTAGATTGGAGAGGAAAAGAAATAAAACACTCATCAGGCAACTACGGCAAAATGATACTCTTGACCCTAATTGTTCTGGGACCCTGAAACTCTGCTCCTGTAGAGGATACAGTCAAAGGGAATCCTGTTCTATGGCCATAGTGGACCAACATGACTACACAAAGTGCAGACAGGCTAGTATCTTTTTCTTTCTCCTTTCCCTACCTTTTTTCTCATTCTTCTCATGCTAATAATTAGTATGAAACAATCCTAATGCTTACCACTTCACAGGCAGTAACTGGGCTATTAGATGGGACCAGCTGCTAAAGGGATTACACACATTAGCAGCAATTTCCAGTCTTTCAAACTAGTTCAAAGAACATGCTAGTTTTTAATCACTCTGGGGCCCTTCAGTTCTGCTCCAGTTTTGGCAATGTGCAATATGTCTAAGTATACAAAAGGGCAAAAATACTTTACCTAAAATAATAAATGGATAATTAGTTTAGTGTTCTTGAAGTAAAATGTATATCTAGAAATCAAGTTAGTTTGTCAGATACTGGCTCAGAGTATTGGCCTTTAAGGTTAGGAGAAATTGTTATCTTTTACTGGAAACTCATCTGGACAACTAGTCTTCTTAATTTGCAACTCTGCTGACTGATTTCAGACTTAGCTTTCTGGTTGTTCATGTTTAGATCTAGCATATTCTGCTAATGACACGGTCTACCTCCAACTCAGCATTTATTCTTTTTGCTTAGTTTGGCATCAAGTCCACGGTTTCCCTAGCATTTGATCTTAGTCTGCTTCTAGTTTTAGGATCCTCTAGTACTGAAAGCTTAAAGGAATGCGGCTCAAAAAAGAATGTCTTTTCCAGAGAAACTGTCTCCCGAATGTCTCAAATTCATTTCTTTTCTTTTTTAGAAACAGGGTGTCACTCTGTCACCCAGGCTGGAGTGCAGTGGCACGATCATAGTTCACTGTAGCCTCAAACTCCTGGGCTCAAGCAATCCTCCTGCCTCAGTCTCCCAAGTAGTTGGGACTACAGGCATGTGCCACCACAGCTAGCTAATCAAATTCATTTCTTCCACTCAAATACCACTGCCTCAACTTTAATATACATCCTCAAAATCCCTTGTCTTAATCACTGAAATGGTGAACTAACCAGTCTCTCTCCCTCTAACTTATTCTAACCCATCATTACCTCTATTCCTTATCTAACAGGTCATAAAGATCTGTCTAAAACACAAATGTGATCATGTCACTCCTTTGGTTAAAATTCTTCAATAGTCTCTTTGTAATATTTTCTGTGTAAATTCAGAATAAGCCGTGCTATTCTTTCACCTTGTCTGATTTCAGTTTCTTGACATAGTCTCTGTGCTTAAGTTTTTGGAACGATTCTTTTTCTTAGCTGGTGCCTTGCATGTTAGCCCCCTGGAATTAATTGCCTCTCGAACTGGTTATCAACTCTAAACATCCTTCAGCAAATGACACAAATCCCAATAAGTTCTATCCAGTCTTCCCTCTTTTTCACCTACTCAGTCTCTATTAGTATTATTTTGAGCTTTATATATTATATATTTCTGGGTAACTCTTAAATATTTCATTCTATTTTGACAACTATTTCACAAGCACCTGCTTCTGTAATACACATAAACTGAAACTTTTAAATACTACTTATGAAAGACTCACCTTATTTATTATCATACAAACAACATATATCATTTGGTAGCTAATTCAAGTAAAACTTGAGAAAGTGACCTTTTACCAGGCTTCAATTTCCTTATTCACAAAATAACAGCATTAAAATAGAAAATAACTCACATTTTTTGAATGCTTAATATGTGCCAGGTGTTCTAATATGTAAATTCTTAACTCCTTACAACAACCCTGTGAGTAGGTACTGTTACTGCCTCAATTTATAGATGAAGAAACAAAGACTAATGGAAGTTAAATAATTTGCTAAGGGAGGTTAAGTGAAGTGACAGTAAATTGCTAAAAAGGTCATTTTGAAAATTCTGTGAGAATTTTATGGTTCTGAAAAAATATACAGATGTAGCTCTTTTTTCACAAGATGGCACTGAAGACAAAGAAGGAAGCTCCTGTCCCTCCCAAAGCCAAAGCCAAAGCAAGGCCTTTGAGGGCCAAAAAGACAGTACTGAAAAGTGACCACAGGCACTCCCTCCCTCCCCCTTCCTCCCCCCGACCCCCACCCCCCGCCAGCCCACAAATGTACATGTCACCAACCTGGCAGCCCAAGACACTACAGCTCTGGAGGCAGCCCAAATATCCTTGGAAGGGCACCCACAGGAGAAAGAAATAAGCGTGACCGCTATGCCATTATTAAGTCCCTCCTGACCACTGGGTCAGCCATGAAGAAGATAGAAGACAACAACACACTTGTGGATGTCAAAATCAACAAGTACCAGATCAAACAGGTTGTAAAGAAGCTCTATGACACTGATGTGGTCAACACCCTGATCAGGCCTGAGGGAGAGAAGAAGGCAGATGTTTGACTGGCTCCTGATTATGATGCTCTGGATGTTGCCAACAAAACTGGGATTATCTAAAGTGAGTCCAGCTGGCTAATTCTAAATGTATATATTTTCACCATAAAAATATAGCAAATCTAAACAGGATGCAGAATAAAATCAAATCAGCAACAGTTCTTTCTATCTTATATTACATTAGTGCTTTGAAGGATCTCTCTTCCACTCCTAATCCTTCTCATTCTACTCCCAACACACATTTCAAACGCATCCAAACTCCCAGCTGCTGGTTTAAAAAAGGGCCCTGGAATTTCCTGTAGGTCTCACTATGCATTTCCAAAATCACAGATGGAAACCTATCATATGAGACTTACACTTCATAATTCTCAAAGTACTTTAACATTCATTAATTTACCCCATATTCACAATTATCTCAGCCTTATTTACCTAACGGTTATCTCTAAATCTCCTTTGAGGCATAGAGAAGTGAAGTGTGGTATGAAAGAAAGAACACTGACTTTGAAGTCAGAAACCCATGGAATTAGGTTCAAGTCCTTGCAAATAACCTCTTTAAGTTATGGGTTATTATGAAGTTTAGCTGAGATAAAGTTTGAGAATGTGGATATGAGTACTGTGTCTGACATGACCTAGGGACTCCATAAATCTTAGTTTCTTATTCTTCCCCTCAACCTTTCTGAGCCCGTTTCCTTATGTAAAATATGGGCAAATACTATAAATCCCACTGGAGGTTTGTGAAGTTTACTCAGATAATGTATCAAAGTGTCTTTAGGACCTTGTATGGGCTTGCTAAATGTTAACTTTCTTTCTTCTTAAGATGATGCTCAGTAAACATGCTCTAAACAACATTAGAAAAGGTGATTAGTTTAATCTAGTACTAAACAGGAGAAAAACAAAAGTTTAAACATATTTTTATGGTCTAGCCTGGTGACCTACACTCTTTTCCATGGAAAGCTCAAAATAAGACTGTGTCTATAGGTATACTCTGATTATTGATTATATATAAATGAGTGAATTCAGCTCTAAGGTAGGCTTCTATGTTTTTATACAGCAAATACTGTATTTCCCTATTGATTTGAGTGAAGAAAAGTTATCACAAGATAAAAAAGAGCAAGTATCTGATGAAAACTTTTACTAAGGAGAATACTAAGTTTATCAAAACCCGGGTATGGTGATAAAAGAGAATTGTAAAAGCACTTTCCACTTAGCCTGGGCAACATAGTGAGATCTCGTCTCTAACAACAACAAAAAAAGGTACTTTCCCAGTCTTATAAATTACCATTTCTACCCCCTAGGCAGCAAAAAAAATTAACTACCAGAAAATCCCCTCATCTAGCATGGCCATTATGTCTTTAAGTTTGGTTCAACTTGCGCTGAGACTAGACAAGGAGTAACGTAAAGCATCTACCATGACCATTACAGAATACAAAAATATAAAAACACAATCCCTTATCTTTAACATGTGAGGTCATAGGATAGCCTTTTCTTTTCTTTTTCTTTTTTTTTTTTTTTTGAGACGGAGTCTCACTCTATTGCCCATGCTGGAGTGCAGTGGCACGATCTCGGCTCACTGCAACCTCTGCCTCCTGGGTTCAAGTTATTCTTCTGCTTCAGCCTCCCAAGTAGCTGGGACTACAGGCACCTGCCACCACGCCCAGCTCATTTTTGTATTTTTAGTACAGACAGGGTTTCACCATATTGGTCAGGCTGGTCTCGAACTCCTGACCCCGTGATCCGCCTGCCTTGGCCTCCCAAAGTGCTGGGATTACAAGCGTGACCCACTGCACCCAGCCAGTATAGTCCTTTTTAAAGGGAAATCAGAATGCCTCTCCATTTCACACTAATGAGGCTGTCCCTGCAGTCTAGAGTTTATTCTAGGCATAGCATTGTAAACTTAAATGGATCAAGAAAAGAAAACTCTAAAGTCAAAGCTGAACCTGGGGTTGGGGAGGCGGGGAGAAAAAAAAAAAGAAGAGAGCTCAAGATGATGAGGGGCTTAGAAACTATACAATCTCAAAAATAGCGGGGAAAAAAAGACCTAGGGAAACAAGAGTATGTGAAAAGGTTTTGGATGAAAGAAAAACCAAATTAGAGCCAATGGATAGATACTGGGGAAAGCATATTTCAGCTTACAGTAAAAAACAGTATTTTTAGACATTTGTGCTATCACAAATTAAAAGTGCTCCTTTGGGAGGTTATAATCTCTGCCTGTGGGAGCATTTAAGTAACAGCAAATAAGCATTTATAGGGATGGTTTCAAGATGAGTCTTAAGTTAGGTGGGAGGTTGAATTTGATTTCCTCTAGCCCCAGCACTCTAAGACTCTATGACTTTTTACTTTCCTCACATCTCACATTTAATAGTAGGGCAAATAACTGATTCTTAACCAATGTAACTTTTAGATGGGAGAGAAATGGTAAAGAGTAACTCTGAAGTCTGTATTTATTGATAAGATGTAAAGCTCATTCTGGTGGATATACACATTTTTTCAAAATTTTTAATTTTCATTTGAAACCTTAAATTTATAATTCACAGAAAATGCTTATAGGTTGCCTTCCTTGAAGTGATCAGATCATTTCATTTTGGAGAAAATGTCTGCTAAATATCCAAGTCCGCTGTTTTTTTCAAGCAAAGATAATATTCCATGAAAAAAGTAGCTAGTTGAGCTTACAACTCAAACAATTGCACAAATGCTTTTTCCTGAGTCAACTATCATACTTGGATATTTTAAAAATGGAGACACTGGACTCACAGAAGTTAAAAGACTTGCCAAAGGCCACATAGCTAAAGCTAGGAGTTGAACCTAGATCTTTTGGTCTCCAAAGTCTATATTCTTTCCACTATGTTACTCTGAAACCAATGAATAAAACACTAGTGTATACCTGAATAAAAGAGAGAAGATAAAGAACTAAACATGCCTAGTTATAATAATGAAGGACACTAGGCCTCTGCTGCCTTCTAGGTTTCTCTAAATAATCCTTAGGAGTCTTAACTGCCCAAAAGAATTTATCATCAGATTTCTCGTCTCTATAGCAACAACAGAGCATAGGGAATTGGGAATAAATTAATAAAATGTAAAATAGGCTATTGTGCATGCACACGCATGTGTGTGTGTGTGTGTCTACATGGCATAGGAGAGCATGAACAATGGAAAAGAAAAAAAGAGCTGGGGAAAATCCATTTGGTTTATCAGTTTCCTGGAATGGAATCTTATTTTTCATTCACAGTAGTGTATCATTGGCCTTGGTATAGTAATTTAGAGGATATGTTTTTTATTAGCTTTGCTCAACTTGGCTGGGTTCAGCTATGTGCTGCCAGCTGGGCTGATGCCAAGGCTGAAACTCCAGTCTTCTAAATTCCAGTTCACTTAAACAGCATGGGTTGCCTCCTGCTCTGATCCAGCTCAGTTAACACTTTTGGTACTCCATATCCAGCTCCTTTTTTCTCTCCTGACTCATTCCTACAACATGGATAGAGGACCTCTGCAACTACAAAGACATGTCACATTTTCCTGGGGACTTCAGGCTGATAAATCTGCAGAGAGTGGGGGAAAACAGATAACTAAAATCATGCATGATAGGACCACAAACTTCAAAAGCCTCATATTACTGAAACTAAAAGGTGCAACTGACCTTAGTTTTCTAGGGCAGTAGGTAAGATGATTCAGGAGCAGTTTCGGCAAGTGGAGGGCTATATTTTCTTAGAAGATGGTCTGCTAATGGCTAGTCAAGCTTAGGCCACTCAGAAAGGTGGCATGAAAGCACATGGTGAGAAAGCACCTGCTAGTCAGCCACACAGTCAAAAACATTCCAGCTTTCCTTAGCACAAGACAATAAATTTTAACAGCTTACAACCACAATCCTGCCTTCTTGCCATATCACCCTCAGAACCTCCTCTTTTTTCTTTGCTTGGTTTGAGTTTGCCAGGTTTTTCTCATCTTCTTAACATATATGAATGTTTATGTTTTGTTTTTTTTCTATTAAGTCATTATTGAGATTCAGAAATTCTCATTTATAACTGTAATAGTTCCTCAAAAATAATCTAGGGAATCAAGGGAAGAAAATTTTTTTTTTTTTCTTTAAGACAGAGTCTCACTCTGTCACCCAGGTTGGAGTGCAGTGGCATGATCTCGGCTCACTGAAACCTCCACCTCCCAGGTTCAAGCGATTCTTCTGTCTCAGTCTCTTAAGTTGCTACGATTACAGGCATGAGCCGCCACTCCTGGCTAATTTTTTTTTATTTTTTTATTTTCAGTAGAGATGGAGTTTCACCATGTTGGCCAGGCTGGTCTCAAACTCCTGACCTCCAGTGATCCATTCGCCTTGGCCTCCCAAAGTGCTGGGATTATAGGCATGAGCCACTGCGCCCGGCCCAAGGGAAGAAATTTAGTAACACAATTTATCACTGGTTTTCAGTAAGATTTTCCTGAAAATCACCAACACTTATTTAAAATTGGGGATTTTGTAAATTGATATGTATTGATGCTGGCACAGTGGGTGTTACAATAAAAGCTTGCCAAAAAAACCCTATATGGGTTCTATGTATTCCCAAGAAAACAGTAAATGTGGTCAAATTTATGAACTGCATAAATCACATCTCACTATTTCAAACAGCTTGAGAGATGCCAATTGTTTCATTATACATGTCGAAAACTGCTACCATTCTCAGGCATCTGGAGTTTGTGAGGGCAAGAGAGAGAGCGAATGGGCAGAGTCAAGGGGCAGCTTAAGGATTCTGGAAGAGAGATATGGAATGGGAGTTTTTTTTTCTGGTCCCTTGGGCAGACCTAATTACAATCAGTGGGAGAACCCAGATTCTCTGCTTCATAATCTACTCCACCCATCTCACTTCCCCATTTTCCTATTTCTATTTGTGTACCACAAGCATATAACCAAGAAAAAATCAGTTATGAGAGTACTGGTTCACTGCAGAAGCCTCATCTCATATTTATTTTTCCTGACCAAAATAGAGCACTTTCCTGGCTCTGCGTGCAGTTCCCTTTTCTTGGGAGGCCTGGGGATCTTGATTCAGATGCAACTAACGCACAGTGGGCATCTACTACGTGCTACATGGTGCTATGCATTTGCCACCAATTTTCTCATTTCAATCATTCAATCAACTGGGGAGGCAGACACTTGTCTATAACCTCCAGTGAACCTAGCACTGCTAACATGAGCCTGTAACTGTGGATAGATAGGTGAATAAAGGACGGATTTACCAGATGTGATGAGATCACAAGGCCAAAGCTGAAATAAGGACAGAGACTATATGCATACGTGTGTTTATGGAAGGAGGAAATGGTATATAAATAGGGGCAAGGTCTGGACACAATATATCTGAGAGGGTTAAAGGGAAAATAGTACCTGAGTGGCTATTCTCATTAAAGGCACCAAAAAGTTAGCTTTGATTTGCAATCTTTCAACACAAATAAATGATAAATGTTTGTGGTGACAGATATCCCAATGACCCTGATTTGATCATTAAGCATTGTATGTATGTATCAAAATATCACAGGTACCCCATCAAAATGTACAATTATTACATATCAATAAACAAAAAAGAATTTGCTTCACTTATTAACCAACATGCTCATATCTTTTCTGACAGTGAACTACTGAACTAGTGGCTAGTGAACACACCTTCTCAGGAGACAAGAGGGGTATATTAGCTGCCAAACCTGTAGAGACCACACCCTCCTGGTTGTTGTGGCTTATTAGGAAAAAAAGCTGGGTGGAAGGGCAGGGGGTGGTCCAGGTGTAGAGGTGTACATGTGTTTAGTAACTGAGAGGTGAGTGAATATGGGCTCTGGAAACAAATCTTAGTGCCCTGTGCCACTCTTACTTTTGGCCATTAGGTTTCCAAAATTAAAAAACCGTAACATTAAACAGCCTTTTTTTTTTTTTGAGATGGAGTTTCACTCTTGTTGCCCAGGCTGGAGTGCAGTGGCACAATCTCGGCTCACTGTAACCTCTGCCTCCTGGGTTCAAGTGATTCTCCTGCTTCAATATCCGAAGTAGCTGGGATTACAGATGCCCACCATCATGCTCAGCTAATTTTTTTTTTTTTTGTATTTTTGTAGAGACAGGGTTTCACCATGTTGGCCAAGCTGGTCTTGAACTCTGGTCCTCAGGTGATCCACCTGTCTCAGCCTCCCAAAATGCTGGGATTACAGGCATGAGCCACTGTGCCTGGCCTTAAATAGCTTTTAATAATCTGTCAAATTTGTCATAGATGCGAGTAGTATTCTTATTTTTTGTAATTAAGTGAATATCTGAATAACGGCTTTAGATGAGGATCAACAGAAATGGAATCAGAAAATATAGTATAACCTATTTCAGTTAACAGATATTACTGAATAAATGGCATGTTCCAAGTGGTGGGGACATAAAGAGGCAGTTAATAAATTCATTCCATTTAACATGGACTCCAGGTAGAAAACAATCCCAACTTCCTAGACATGACAGAAAGAAGAATTTTAGCTCCTCATAAATACTTACACTGAAAACTTGGCATTATTTTACATGGTACAGGGCTTGTTTGTTAAATAAATAAAATAGTCACAATAGGTGATACACATTAAGAACTTGCATTTTGTCTTCTTTATTCAAAGAATATGCCCCCCACCCCATCTTATCCTCACCACCATGTCACTGCTTCAATTTTCTCTCTCACCTGGAATATTATAACAGCTTGTTAACTGGCATCCCTGACTCCAGCATCTGAATCCGTCCTTTCATTGTTGCCAAAATGGTCCTTCTAAAACACAAATCTGAGCTGTAACTCTACTACTTAAAAGCCCATTTGATAGTTTTTTTTTTTTTTTGAGACAGAGTCTTGCTCTGTCACTCAGGCTGGAGTGCAGTGGCACGATCTTGGCTCACTGCAACCTCTACCTCCTGGGTTCAAGCGATTCTCCTGCCTCAGCCTCCCTAGTAGCTGTGATTACAGGTGCACGCCACCATGCCCAGCTAATTTTTGTATTTTTAGTAGAGACAGGGTTTCACCAACTTGGCCAGGCTGGTCTCGAACTCCTGACCTCAGGTGATCTGCCCGCCTCGGCCTCCCAAAGTGCTGGGATTACAAGTGTGAGCCACCACGCCCAGCCAATAGTTCTTGATTTAGTTTGGATATTTTGTCCCTGCCCAAATCTCACGTCAAACTGTAAGCCCCAGCGTTGGAGGTGGGGCCTGGTGGGAGGTGTTTGGGTCATGGGGGTGGATTCCTCAGGGTGTGGTTCTGTCCTTGAGATAGTGAGTGAGTTCTGGTTGTTGTAAAAGTGTGACACCCCCCTCCCCACACTGCCATCTGCCTGCTCCAGCTTTGCCTTCTACCATGAGTAAAAGCTCCCTGAGGCCTCCCCAGAAGCCAAGCTATGCAGCACCGTGTTTATACAGCCTGCAGAACTCTAAGCCAATTAAACCTTTTTTCTTTATAAATTACCCAGTCTTAGGTATTTCTTTATGGCAATGCAAGAACAGCCTAATACAGTTCTCGATGCTCATAAGGTAAAAATCCAGATCCTTAAGATGGTCTATGAGGGAAGCATTCTGCGCCTTCCTCTGCTGTGCCTTATCTCTTTCTGCTCCTCTACTTACACCCTACAATCTAGCCATTTTCTTTTTTCCTTTTTCTTTTTTTGAGATGGAGTCTCACTCTGTCACCCAGGCTGGAGTGCAGTGGCGCAATCTCAGCTCACTGCAACCTCTGCCTCCCAGGTTCAAGCGATTCTCCTGCCTCAGCCTCCCGAGTAGCAGGGACTGCAGACGTCAGCCACCACACCTGGCTAATTTTTGTATTTTTAGTAGAGACGGGGTTTCACCATATTGGTCAGGCTGGTCGCTAACTCTTCACCTTGTGATCCACCCGCCTCTGCCTCCCAAAGTGCTGGGATTATAGGCGTGAGCCACCACGCCCGGCCTTAACTATTTTTTAATTCCTTGACCATACTTTTTTTTTTTTTTAACTTCTGGCCCTACACTAATCTGTTTCCACTGCTAGAGAGAATTTTTTCTCTACCTTCCCATTCTTAAGGTTTCAGCTTAGACATCACTTCATTTGGAAGCCTTCGTTTGGAAGTCTTGTCCTTTATTCATCCATTTACCCAATAGCTATAGAGCAGCCCATGTTAGACATGCTAGGCTCAAGGGAGGTTATAGAGATCTCCAACCTCCAGTCCCCTCAATCTAGGTTGGGGTCCCTCTGTACTTTATTCCTCCAAAGTCGTACTTTATTGGTCTATATGTTCACAAAACTGTAAACACTAACGGCAGAATCTCCATCAACTGAGCCAATGACTAGTACTTAATCATGACTTGATAGTTAGAATTTGAATAAATGGATGGATGAGGAAGATCAGTCTATCAGGTGACCTCATGTTGAGACCTACAAGTTAGCCTTAAGTTGTATTATTCTTGCCTCTATCCTAGTTTTTCTCTCTGTAGTCTAGGATTACATTTTTTTTTCTTTCTTGAGACAGAGTCTTGCTCTGTCACCAGGCTGGAGTGCAGTGGCATGATCTTGGCTCACTGCAACCTCTGCCTCCTGGGTTCAAGCGATTCTCCTGCCTCAGCCTCCCGAGTAGCTGGGACTACAGGTGGGCACCACCACACCCAGCTAATTTTTGTATTTTCAGTAGAGACGGGGTTTCACCATGTTGGCCAGGATGGTCTCGATCTCTTGACCTTGTGATCTGCCTGCCTCGGCCTCCCAAAGTGCTGGGATTACAGGCGTGAGCCACTGCGCCTAGCCTAGGATTACAATTTAATTAACTCTTTCTGCCCTAGAATCCCAAAGTGATTGTGGCATAATTTCGTATGTGGTTTTAAAACAAAAAGAGAACATTCTTTAAGTATGGAAAGCACTTTCCAAATAAAAAAAGGAAAAGATATTCTGAAAGTTTTGTTTCTAAGCATCAAATTATTACCCTCCAGACCAGTGTAAGAATCCTGTACGTGAGCCACGATGTTGAGTCCGATTTTGAAATTTTTGCTTTGTACAAAGAAACCTGTCGCAGGTAGAAAGGGTAGACTGAGAGGGTAAAGGAGGCCTGGTTGACCATGTACTCTAACAGGTATGCTAAAGTGCAGCACCTCTACTAGATTCCCATATTTGGATTAGCATGTAGACAGCAGACAGATCCAGTTTAACAACATATGAAGTCACAAGAGACGAATGTACTAATCCAGAATAGCAATATATTAATTTATAATAAAAATATAAAGTAGCTTGGGTCTCATGTTGTCTCGCTGCTATCAATCCACATAGGGAGCTAAGGTATAATCTGAAACTGGCTTTCCCAGCCTGAAATCAGAGCAAGGGGAAGTCAAGTGGATTATCATGATGGCTAAAGGTATGATTAGCATCATAGTCATGCCATATGTACTGAATTCTTCATTTTGCTTTTTACATTTAAAAACTAAAGCATGTATCTGTTTCAGTTTTATTTTAAGTCACAAAAAATAAGCTAAAAGTAAAAAGCTTCTGCCTTTTATAACCAAGTACTCTGGATTAGTTGGACGCTTGGTAGTTACTACCCATCAGAGTTGGCTTGGCCACAGGAGTTTAGCAACTAAAAGGGATACTACTTGGCTTAGAAAAGGAGAAAAAGAGAGGCAGCAGACAGCTGGCACACAGGAATTACTTCAAAAAGGCAGAGATAGGTGATAGGTGAGCTGATGAACCTAAAATCATGTAGGAGACAGAGGCACAGGAGTCACCTGCTACCTATTCCCAAGATCATTAAACTAGATAGTATTACAGAGGTAAAAGTGCCCACTAGGGATCATGTAGTTCAGCCTCTCACATGTAAGAATGACTTGCTCAATGACGTAACCAAGTTTGTGGCCTGGCTGGGACTAGAACCCAGTTCAGTGCTCTGATACTACACCATACTTTTTCTTTCCTATTTTTTATCAGGATTTGGAAGCCAAAATCCAGGGTCTCAAATGAAGCTTTGAAGAAGGGCCAAAGGAGAATGGGAAGAGTATCAGGGAGACAAGTGTGAAAACAATATGCCTCAGTGATATATTGGTCCTGACAGGTGGCTCTACTAAAAGATCTCCATGGTTTCACTCTCTAGACTCAGATATCAACAGAGCCAAGTCATTTAATTATCTGAGCTTCAGTTTTCTCATAAATAAAATGTATCTGAAAATAATTATACCTTGTTCAGAGTTACCAGAAGATAAAATGAAAATCTGTGTGTAAAGGAACATTAAATAAATATTGGTTTTTCCTATTTGCCATGAGCAGGAAACATTATCTTACTCTGAATTTTTAACATTTGCATACTAATGACCAGAAGGTAGGAAAGAAGGAGGAAATAGTATGATTAGAAAGAGAACAGGCTTACACACAGAGAACAACTTGTTTTGTGAAATGAATTGAGTAACCACATTTTTTCCACATTGCATCACTTGCTCCTTAGCCAGGACATGGAGACTGCTGGCCAAACTTCTGCTGTTATAGAAAGCGCTTTTGTAGGACTTACTGAGGGTGTAAAGTGTGGGAGGAGACAGTTGTTAGAGGGAACAACCTAACTGCTGGAATGATGACTGAAGCACCTGGTCTGGAAATGTCACCTGGAAGGTCTCTCTCTACCTTCTGAGCCTGGTCCTCTGACCATCTTCTGTTGAAAATCTAAGGACTCCAGAGACACAGAAGAGAGGAAAACAGTCAGCAAACTTCTCTGGAAGCATCAGCCACAGAGTGAGTCATATTTCTTATCAGCAAGGTTTGCAGCCAAAAAGGAATGCATATCCAGCAACCTGGACACAAAGACCGTCAGCTCTGTTGGCTCTGGAGAACTGCCTAACTGCTCTAGATTTATCAGTCAAAAGAACAGTGAATTCCCTAGGCATGAAAATGAGAAAATCAACCTATTAACTGAATAAAGCCCAGAGCACCAAGGCTTATCCTGTTTTAGCCTCAAGTAACAAAAATGACTCTGCTATCAGTTCCAAGGTACCTCGCTTCTTGCTGCTTCCACAGAGCTATTACCTCACAGTGCTTCCTCACAATGCATTTACCATACTGACCCCAGGGTACTTGTTTCTTGCATCACAGAGAGGAGTGGCACTTTCCTGAGCCAAGAAGTGTGTTTCCCTTTCATTCTGCCCGAGGATCTCTCCACCTCAGTGCAACTATCCTAATCCAAGCAACCTCATTTCTTCCTTGTCCACAATTACCACTGTACAACTCATTCTCCACAGACCAGCTCAAGTAATTTTTTTTAGATAATAGCTTTATTGACATAAGTTACATACCACAAATTCACCCTACATTTGTGTTTTCTAAGATATTCAGAGTTGTGCAAACATCATCCCTAATTTTAAAACATTTTCATTATCCTCAAAAGAAACCCCAATAGCAGTCATTTCCCATTTTCCCTCCCCTAGTCACTGGCAACCACGAATCTACTTCTGTCTATGTGTATTTGCCAATTCTGGACATTTCATATAAATGTAATCATCAATGATTATCTTTTGTGACTGGCTTTTCATTTAGCATAATGTTATTAAGATGCATCTATACTGTAGCATGTATTAGTACTTTATTCCTTTTTTATTGCCAATTAGTATTTTGTCCTCTAGCTATACCACATTTTATTTATCCATTTATCAGATGATGAACATTTGGGTTGTTTTATCTTTTTGGCTACTATAAATAATGCTGCCATGAATGTTCATTATGTGTTTTTGTGTGAACATATGTTTCTATTCTTTTGGGTATATATCTATGAGTGGACTTACTGGGTCACATGGTAACTCTTTAACATTTTGAGTAACATCCAAACTGTTTTCTAAAGTGGTTGCAGCATTTTCCAATCTCACCAGCAATGATCGAGAATTCCAGTTTTTCCACATTCTCAGCAACATTTGTTATTATCTGTCTTTTGCTTATAGCTGTATCCATGGGTGTGAAGTTGTATTTCACTGTGGCTTTGATTTGCATTTCCCTAATGATGAATGATATTGAGCATCTTAAGTGCTTATTGGCTATCTGTGTATGTTATCTGGAGAAATATCTATCCAAATCCTTTCCTTATTTTTAAATTGGGTTGTCTTTTTTATTATTGAGTTATAGGTGTTCTTTTATATTCTGGATACAAGTCCAAGTGATTTTTTTAAAGTAAATCAAATCTTGTCACTTCCCTGGCTTAGTACCTTCTAATGGTTCCCTAATATGTTTAGAATAAAATCCAATATTCCCACTCTGGTTTACAAGGTCCTACATGATTTGGCACCTGTCCACTTCTCCAACATCATCTTGCACTGCTTGTTTTTGTTTGAGACAGAGTCTCGCTCTGTCGCCCAGGCTGCAGTGTATTGGTGCGATCTTGGCTCACTGCAACCTCTGCCTCTCAGGTTCAAGCAATTCTCCTCCCTCAGCCTCCTGAGTAGCTGAGATTACAGGCGTGTTACCACCACGCCTTGCTAATTTTTGTATTTTTAGTAGAGATGGGGCTTCACCATGTTGGCCAGGGTGGTCTCAAACTCCTGAGCTCAGGTGATCTGCCTGCCTTGGCCTCCCAAAGTGCTGGGATTACAGATGTGAGCCACTGCACCCAGCCCCTTGTACCACTTTCTTGCTCAGGCAATGCATTCTAGTCACAGCAGTCTGCTTTCTGCCCTTGGAACACAGCAAACTCACTCATGTCTCAGCATCATTATATTAGTTGTTCCTTCTGCCTGCCTGGAAGTCTCTTTCCTTGGATGACTCCTTCTCATCATTCAGGTCTCAATTCAAGTATCAACTTTTCAGACAAATTTCTTGAAAAGAAATTCTTCCTAAACAAGTTTCCCCTCTACAAAGAACTTTTGTGAATGATAAATATGTTCATTATTTTCATTGTGGTAATGGTTTCATGGATGTATATAGATGTCAAAACTTTTCAAATTGTACACTTTAAATACATGCCATTTATCTTATGTCAATTATATTTCAATAGGGCTATTAAACAAAAAAAACCCTTTACAATTATACCTTCACTGTCACTATCCCATCATACTTTATTTCCTTAGGAGAAATTATTTTATTTCTGTCTATAAAAATTATCTATATGAAATTATCTTATTTCTTGATTTAAATGTTTACCATCTGTTTCACCCAACTAGAATGGAGGTGTCATGAGCACAGCAATGTTGTTCATTTTTGTCACTTGTGTACTCTCAGCTTGGCTTACAATTAGGTGCTCAATAAATATTTGGCTAATTGAATGAATGAATTCAACAGAGGTTTAGAAAAAGATCCTCAGACAATAAGAAGGGTGACTTTTCATTCCCTCAGATTCACCAGTACTTTTTAGACTTAAGAGGATGAGATTATTATTATTATCTTTACTAAAAGCAGCTACCTCAAAATCTATTCTGGACCTTCTCCACTGTCATCATCTGTATCATTTTATTGTTCATTTAGTCTGTGACACTATTCTAGTACTTTATATATACTCTCTCATAGGTAGTGGTTAGTTTTATAATAATGATAATATAGCATATTGTAATAATCATATAGTATAATATGATATAGTTATAATATAGAATATAACTATAATAGCAGCAGTAATACAATAAAAATTTGTTTAGTACTTGCTAGTCATCAACTTTTCATGTAAGCATTTTACCCATGTAATCTCATTTATTCCTCACAATAACTTCATAAAGTAGGTTTTCTACTTCATGATGTGGAATTTGTAGTTTAAGGAGGTAAATTAACTGCCCAAAGCTACACAGCTGATAAAAGGCAAAGATGGACCTCAAACCCATGTCTATCTTACTTCAAAGCTTGTTCTTTTTCCATCCTGCTACAGTGCTTCTCAACTATTTTTACAATACAGTGTTACTCCAGCTTTTATCCAAAGCCCCTAAGGTCAGAGGAAGGTGTGTGCCTTGGGAATACTAGTACTCAAACTTTGTAATGGGTTAGGGACAAAAGTAAGAGAGATGAAAAGCTGGTTGCCTGAGAATAAACCAGGATATGTAGAGCAAAGAATTATTACTTTATCCCAAATGCCATATGCGGTTTCATTTGACACTTAATACTTAACTGTTTCTAATTGCTCCCTGGTAGACCTGGGTTTTTACCTAAGCTGCTGGCCCTTGCTCCTCCCCTGCATACTAGTGAAGTATACTGGTGAAGATATGATCATGACAGCCCTGGGTAGTCTCCCTTATCATCTGGGTCCTGATTTCAAGAGCACGTAGATGGGCCTTTACCTTTGGTGCCAGGAGGCTGCAGGTTGTCTCCAGTCAAGGAACACCAGCCCACAGGGAAGATGTCTCGGGAGTCGAAGCGGCACCAGTAGTCAAAGGCCCCTCGCCACCCATCAAAAGTGACAAGCACCTCTGAGCCCCGAACCTCCCCAATAGTGGCTGGGCAAATGAAATGAGGGTTCTTCCTGTCCACAGCTTCTAGCTTCATTCCCATTTTGAAGAAGTTGTGGGAAGGCGATGGTGGCTCCTAGATGAGAAACAGAAACATACACACCTAGACACAAAGAGAGGCCATTATGCCAATAGACTACTATCTAATTTGGATGATTAAAAAGTGACTGCTACATGAGACTTATAATGGATATATAGCCTTTCTTTTAAATTAATTTTAAATTCAATATTTCAATATTTAAAGTATTACTTTATTAATCCTAACATTTTGACAACTTTGCTTCAGATTTTTTAAAAAGGAAATAAAAGGTTGCAGATAAAGTTGAATCTCCCTTTCTGCCCTTCCCATATTCCATTCCCCCTCTACCTACCACGGAGGTAACAGCTACCCATGCATGTTTTATATTTTACTATATACATACATACCCATTTGCCTGCTTTTAAATTTTATATAAATGGTATTATACTGTATATATCATTGTACAATTTGCTTTTTGTTTAGCAGTATGTTTTTGAAATC
Organism: Homo sapiens; assembly: GCF_000001405.40. Classification (NCBI taxonomy): domain Eukaryota; kingdom Metazoa; phylum Chordata; class Mammalia; order Primates; family Hominidae; genus Homo; species Homo sapiens. The sequence goes on from NC_000001.11 coordinate 41,113,971, forward strand.
TGCCCATGTTGATAAATTTAGCTCTGATTCATTTTAACTTGTAATAGTATTTCATTGTATATATATATCGAAATTTATTCATTCTCCTTTGGACACTTAAAGATCTTTCCAATTGTTTACTATTTTAAAAGAGTTTTAACCACCATCCTTGCACTTCTTTGTATATGTGTAGGAAGGTTTCTTTAGGTTATACATCTAGGTGTAGAATTCCTGAATTCCTGGGTTATAGGGTAGATATATACATCTTCTGCTTTATCAAATATTTTTAACTTGTACTCCAAAGTGGTTGTAACATTGTATACTTTCACCGGAAGTGTAGAGAGTTCCTGGGTGCTAATTTGTAATGCAGTTACATAGATCAAGTTTCAAAAAATGTGTTGTACATTCTATTCTGTTCCCTTAATCTTACTATCTGATCCTGTACCAATAACATAGTCTTATTAAATGGATATCTGATAGGAAAAGTCCCCCTACTTTGTCATTCTTCAATATTGTTTTTGCTATTCATTCTCTGTCTTTCATATAAATTTCAATCAGTTTTTTCGAGTTCCATATATAAACCCTATTAGGATTTTGACTGGAATTACAACGAATTTATAGATAAATTTGGGTGGAAATAACCTTTATTATATACTATCAAGCCTTCCCATCCATAAACATGATAGTCTTTTCCACTTGTTAAGATTTCCTTTCTCTCTCTCTCTCTCTCTCTCTTTCTTTTTTGGAGAAAGGGTCTGGTTCTGTCACCCAGGCTGGAGTGCAGTGGTGTAATCCTGGCTCACTGCAACCTCTGCCTCCCAGGGTCAAGTGATCCTCCTACCTCAGCCTCCCAAGTAGCTGGGATTACAGGCACACACCACCACACTCTGCTAATTTTTGTTATTTTTTGTAGAGATGGGGTTTTACCATGTTGCCCAAGCTGGTCTCGAACTCCTGACCTCAAGTGATCCGTATGCCTTGGCCTCCCAAAAAGTGCTGGGATTACAGGCATGAGCCACCGTGCCTGGCCAAGATTTCTTTAATGCAGATTTCTTCAACATACATTTAAAAATTTCCTCTATAAATATCTCATGCTTTTTTACTAACTTTTTTTCTAGGCAAATTACAATTCCATTGCTATCATAAGTGGCATTTAAAAAATTTATTTTCAAATCATTTAAATTTAACTGTTGTTAAATGCAAATAAAGTGATTTTTAAAAATTGACCAACTTATTCGATACTGATTATTAGCTTATGCTGATTGACATACCAATTCTTGTGTGCTTGATTTATCAATTGTTAAGAGATAAGTCTTCAAATATTCCCTAGTGATTTGTGGATTTTCCAATTTTACCATGTAATTTTGTCAAATTTTGCTCTATTATACTTTGAGATTACATTTTCTAGGAGCATGTACATTTATGACTGTTTTATCTTCCTGGTGAACTGTACTTTATGATAATTAGATAGTGACCTCTTTAATGCATTTTATTTATTTATTTCTAGAATCAGGGTCTTGCTCTGTCACCCAGGCTGGTGTGCAATGGTGCAAACACAGCTCCCTGCAGCCTCAATCTCCTGGGCTTAAGCGATTCTTCCACCTCGGTCTCCCAAGTAGCTGCGACTACAGGCACGTGCCACCACTCTTAGCTAATTTTTAAATTTTTTCTAGAGACGGGGTCTTGCTACAGGTGGCCCAGGCTGGTCTCAAATTCCTGGACTCAGTGCTTTTAGCATCATTTAGACTTTTAGTATCAAAGTCTTGCGTGATTTCCGTATAGTTTATGCCAGCTTTATTTTGATAAAAGTTCATCTGGCACATCTTTCATATTCTTTTATTTTCTTTTTTAAAAATTAAAAAATTTGTTTTCCATCATTCCCACCCTCTGTAGATTTCTTTTACTTTCAACATTTTTGTCATTATGTTTAGTGTCTCTTATACATAGCATATAGCTAGATTTTTAAAAATCTGATCTATGTATGATTATAATGAGCTTAAGCTCATTTCTTGTGATAATTGATGTATCTGAATTTATTACAACTACCTTATTGTCTATGTTTCTATTTAATTTGAATTTCCAAAGTTCTTTTTTCTCCTTTTCAATCAACTAAGTTTTCTTCTATTTTCCCCCTCCACTGATCCGGAAGTTAAACATTCTACTTGGAGTCTTTTGGTAGATCCCTTTACTGCACAGCTGGCATAACAAAGTCTAAAACTCATCTTTATTTCTAGTCCCAAAGAATACAAGAACTACTCCTGAGTTACATAAGTGCTAGGTAATTCAGAAGCAGGATGCTCTTAGTGTTGAGACTTAACTAGCAGCATAGGCAAACCTAATTTAATACCCTTTACAGTAACTTTTACCCCATTAGAAAATTCAACTGATAGACTCACTGCCTCACTTCTTGAGAAGCAATAACAAATACAGGTTTTGGATCCCTGTTCTGCCGCTTACTAGCCACGTGATCTTGAGCAAGCTCCTAATTCAAAAGTATTTGTTTCCTTAACTATTAAATGGAAATAATAATTCTTAGTTCATAAAGTTAGCTGTGGGTATTACATGAGATAGTATATATAAAGTCCCAAACATATCGTAGGCAATAAAAAAAGTCTCCTTCTTTTCTCTGTTTAGAACATGAACTCTACAGAACTCCAAGATCTATAATAAGAATAGCGCCTTTAGATTTGTATTACATTTAACATATTCTACTAATAATACATTTTAACTTCTTAACAAGCCCGACAGGTAAACAGAGATTACTGGAAGCTGGGACCATATAATCTAATCTATGGGACCTTATAGTCTAATATATTCCTCTGGGGATAATTGCTGCTTCATAAGCTACTAAAAAATCCTTCTGAACTAATTTCTGAGAAGGCATCTTCAGGCCATAAGTAAATGTGGACATCAAAGTCTCAATATTTGACCTTAAGCAGCCTGGAGCTGGTGATATCTGAGGGATAGCCTACCTTGTGGAAAATCCTGATGGGAGCCATCTCTGCTCCATTTAGCGTCTTCAAAAGGAACATGGGCCAAGAAGACGCATTCAGCCGAAATCCTGCAGCAAGCATAATGGGCAACAGATTAAAAGTATGTTTCAAAAATGAATGGTGATGTGGGTGGCAAGCCACCCAGGTGCCGAGGCAAGAGACCGAGGGCACGAGCTCTTCCAGTATAATAAAATATATAAAATAAGAATAGTTATACTAGATATAGATCATAGATATGATTATATATGAATATCATTCATCATTAGTTTGTAGCAATTATTCTTTATTCCAATATTATAATAATCCTCGCTCTACAATCATAACCTAGGAAAAACCAGGCCATACAGAGATAGGAGCTGAGGGGACATAGTGAGAAGTGACCAGAAGACAAGAGTGCGAGCCTTCTGTTATGCCCGGACAGGGCCACCAGAGGGCTCCTTGGTCTAGCGGTAACACCAGCGTCTGGGAAGACGCCCGTTGCCAAGCGGACCGTGGTCTAGTGGTAGCGTCAGTGTCAAGGAAAAACACCCATTACTTAGAGACCGGGAAAGGGAGTCACCCTTTCCCCGGGGAAGTTTAGAGAAGACTCTACTCCTCCACCTCTTGCGGAGGGCCTGACGTCAGTCAGGCCCGCCTGCAGTTATCCAAAGGTCTAACTGTCTCCCTGTGATGCTGTGCTTCAGTGGTCATGTTCCTAGTTCGCCTTCATGTTCCATCCTGTACACCTGGCTCTGCCTTTTAGTTAGCAGTAGCAAATTAGTGAAAGTACTAAAAGTCTCTGATTAGTAGAAATAATGGCGTAAGCTGTCTCTCTCTCTCTCCTCTCTCTCTCTCTGCCTCGGCTGCCAGGCAGGGAAGGGCCCCCTGTCCAGTGGACACGTGACCCACGTGACCTTACCTATCATGGGAGACGGCTCACACTCCTTACCCTGCCCCTTTGTCTTGTATCCAATAAATATCAGCGCAGCCTGGCATTCAGGGCCACTACTGGTCTCTGTGTCTTGGTGGCAGTGGTCCCCCTGGGCCCAGCTGTCTTTTATCTCTTCGTCTTGTGTCTTTATTTCTACACTCTCTTGTCTCCGCACACAGGGAGAAAACCCACCAACCCTGTGGGGCTGGACTCTACATTATGATATCAAGTTCAGCCTTTAGAATCCAGCTACTCCTATGCTGTGATAGTTACAGAATCACAGACTGTTAAGAAAGGACTTAAGGGTTAAAAAGGAGAAACACCTCATTAGACAGATGAAGAAAATGAGGCACATAAGAGAGAATGTAACTTGTCCAAGGTAATGCTGTAAAGTAAATAGTGGGACAGAGTCTCCAAACCAAGTTTCCTAAGACAAGTACTACAGAACACATAACGTAATGCCTAGAAAACTTTCTAGGCATTTGAAAAATCCAAAAAAGATGTGATAGGATTAACGAATACTTAGAGATGATCTGGACAGTAGAGTATGAAAGGGGATCTAATAATCTCTTAAGAAGAAACCAAACATGTCAACCGATAAACCCAATATATAAGTAAATCATTTTGGTTCCTCTCAATGTAAACTAACTCACTACTTCTCTTATCACTTTCTGTCTTGCACACATACACACACCAAGTACAAAATACTTTCTGAAGTTCATTGTTTACTTAAACAACTAAGGACCAAGGAATGACATTGGAAAGGATTGTCCTATCCAAAAATCTTCATTTTGCAAAAGAGTAAAAAGAAGCCTAGAGAGGTTAACTGTCCATTATCACCTATCAATGAATTGTAAAAATAAGATCATTATTACAGTTAGGTCTTCCAATTAGAGCCCCAAGTGCTTCTTTCAATTTGCTTCAACTCTGCATCCTGAGATAACAAAACCTAATGTTTTTTGAGCATTTCCCAAACTACCTCAGCCTTCCCACTCCAAACAAAAGAACAGATAAGCTGCACCCAAGCTGCAAAGCTGGAAATAACAGCAGCAGCAGTATCTGATGTTATTGAGCACTTTACTGTTCACTATGCCAATCACTTTCTATTGACTATCTAATCCTCAAGACAGCCCTAGGAGGTAGATATTATCTTCATTTTATAGATGAGGAAACAGGTACAATTTATTTGAAGTTAAATAAATTGCTTAAGATTTCAAAGTGAGCAAACGAAAAGACAGGATTAAAATTCAGGCAATCTGACTCCTGAGCCCACACTTTAAAACTGGCAATGTATGGGTAAAATGAAAAGGGAAGATTCAGCTTTTGGAAAAAAGTATCAATTAACAACTGTAATTAAAGTTAGGAGGAGGAGGTGACAAGGAAATGCAAATAAAAAAAGAGTTACCACTCCATACTATTTAAACTTTTAGTCCCAAAGCTGGCTAGGCTAAGCCAGCCTTCCCAAGGTAAAGAGATTTCTTGGGACAGCCCATCCATATCAACAGCAATGTGGACTTTCCTATCACTCAATCTAAAACTGCCATCACTTCCTTTTTGCTTGCCCAGCTTTTTTTTCCCTTTAGGGCAAAAAAAAAACAAAAAAAAAAAAACCCCACCGTAACTCCACATGATTTGGTGGGCACGTCAACCACATATGTGGTCCTTACCTACCTGGCCTTGGGGTAAAACACAATGCTGTTTAAGAGCATCAAATTCCCCTAGACCAAGAGTGTATATGTGTCTATGTCCCATGTTAGGCCAGTTGTTTTTTGACATGAGATTGACGTTGGAGAAGAACATCTTTCTTTGTCTGAGAACATGCCCATAAGGATGTTTGCAGTTTGGGCACTGCTACATGGAGAACAGACCTGAGAATAAAGCCAAAGTACAGCATGGGATGGAGACACATAATAGTGTTTAAAACCCAGTACTCAGACACTCAACACCAGATAAATCCTTGGACTTCTTGGTTATATGAGTTAATAATTCCTGCCTCCTCCTTTTTTCCCTCTCTAATCTGGTTTGAGCTGGGTTTTTAACTGCTACTCTTCTTTTGACAATGGTTTAAAAAAATTAAATCCCTCCAGAAATTCAAGCGTGGTGTTTATGTGGGAAAACAACTCTCCTTAGGTCAGGGAAGGGCTGAAGCAAGCCAAACCCAGAGCAGCTTTGCCATGAGTGGTTTGGTACACCTATGGATAAGGTAAAGCAAGGCACTACTGTTTTAGAGAAGTGGTCTATACACCTTGGTATAGGGAGGCCTGCACAATTAGAAAATTCAGGTTTAATGCCTATAGTTATCAATGACTAGAGTGCCTAGCCATGTAATTCCCAATTCCATTTTTGAGGTAGGGGTTACTGGGGGGTTTCTATCTCATCTGAAGCTTAAGGAGCTAAAAAATCCTCTCAGCTTTGGAAATCATTACAATATTATCATAATAGTTAATATATATTGAATGCTTACCATGTATTAAACATTTTATATGCCATTTCTTACTCAATATTTGAAATAACATGGGCAGGCACTATTATTATCCCTACTCTACAGATGATAAAAAATGAAAACTCAGAGAAGCAGCTTGTCTAGGGTCATGCTAGTAAATGCCGGAGACAGATTTCAATATATGGTGGTTGGATACCAAACTTTGTGGTTCTTTACTATGTTTCACTACCAGCAGGATTCTTCAAGAGTACAGGGGCAAAGCAGAAATATTTTGAACCCAAGAAATTGCTAAGGTATCTTATTCCTCAATCCGCTAGGTGATGTGGGACTCTATCCCTTCAAATTCAAGTATATCCATAATTTACCTCAATATTCTTGGGCAATCATAGATAGTAGATAATTTTAACATTGAAAGGGACCTCAGAGGCCATGAAGTACAAAGATCTTACATTGCAGATGATGAAACTGAAGTCCAGAGAGGCTAAGAAACTTGTTCATGGTCACACAAGCCAATCTTACACTGTCAGGCTGGAACCCCAGGACTTCTTATTTGGTTCTCTTTTATTACACTATGTTTATTACACTATCTCTTTTATTACACTATGTTGCCTCCAAAAGTTAACATTTATTGTACACATATCATGAGCCAGCTCCTTGTGCTAAGCATTTGCAGTGGATCACTACTACTATTCTGAATCAGATACTAGAGGAGTAGCAGTTTCTGGTGCCAGACTGCCTGAATTTAAATCCAGCTTTGCCACTTACCAGGTACATAACTTTTGGAAAATTACAAAACCTCTCTCTAGCTTCAGTTTCCTCAACAACAGCATGGGATAAGAATCAATGGGTTGTTCTAAAGATTAAATAGGCTAATACATGCAAAGGACTTAAAACACTGCCTGGCATACAGGCAGGAGTTAGATAAACATTGGCTATTATTTTTGTAACTATAGATGAAAAAACTGAGGCTTAGAGAAATTAAGTAAAATATCCAAAGTTAGTAAGTTAGTAAATAGCAGAGCCAGGATTTGAACCCAACTACTCCGTCTCCAGAGCTTTCATAACTAATCATCACATTAATATCGTCAAATATTTTATCACTCAGTCCTACCACACTGTCTCTAGGTAAGAAGGGTTGGAGTCATAAACTTGTGAAAGAGAGAAAAGAAGGAAGATGAAAACAGTAATTTGAGGCTCTATTCAAATTAGGCAACGACCTAGGCTGTCTATAAGGAAAAGGACAGGTGGGTAAGAGGAAATCCTAATCTCTAAATGTAGAGCACCTCAGTGCTCAGTCATTGCTTCTGTCTTCTTCTTGGTCCCCACTTTCTTCCTGTTAAATGATGACTGTCAATTTATATATCTAGCCAAAACCTCTGCTCAGGGTTTCATGTTCATATATCCAACTACCTCAGTCTATAACTCTACTTGGATGTCTAAGAAAACGTAAAATGAATAAGTTTAAGACAGTACTCTTGATTCTACTATTCCCTCCAAACTTGTTCTTTCCTCCAGTTATCCCATCTCAGTTTAATAGGTGGCACCCCTTATTAAACCCAGGTGCTCAGACCTAAAAGACTAGAAGTCATCCTTGATTCTTCCCTTTCTATCACCCACCAAACCCAATTAATCAGCAAGTCTTGATGGCTTTCCCACTTAATATATGCTAGATCGACCCACATTTCACCATCTCTACTGCTATATTACCCTAATTTAAGCCAGAGTCAAACTTTGCCTAGACAACTCCAACAGCCTTCTAACTGGACCTCAGCCCTCTACTTTTGCAGCCAGAATAATATGGTTATGTTTTTAAAAATATAAATCAGGTCACATTACCTTATGCTCAAATTTCACAACACAAAACAGATCTAAACTCTTTATTATTCATGTTTACAAGGCTTACATGATCTGGACCTTGCTTACTCCTCATTACTCATCTCTTATCACTCCCTTGTACCCCTATTCATTGGTCTTTCTGTTCTCAAATATACCAAGCTGTTTCCCTCTGCCTCAAACACCTTTTAATCAACTCTTTACAGTTAGTTATTTGCTGAGACATCACTTCCTCAGAAAGGTGTTCCTTGACTACTTTACCCAAAATAGACTCCTAAATCTATCCTGCTTCCTTCTTATTTATTCCTAGCCCCTATCACCATCTGAATTTTCTTTTTAAAAAGTTTAATGTGTATGTCTTCTCCAACTAGAATACAAAATCCTTGATAGTTTTATTGAATTAAGGAAAAAACCCTCCATTTATTAAATGGGTGCCAAGAATTGATGAACGCTTTATTATGTTATTCCACTTAATCCACAAAAACAACATGGGGAAGAATTTATTAATCATCTTGCAGGTAAGGGCACTGAAACTCAACGTTACAAGTCAAGGTAAAGCAACTTACCAGTAGTCACACAACTAAGGTAGTGAGTGGCTAAGTTAATATTACAAAGTCAGATCTCTTTTAATTCCAAACACAGGCTGCAAGTGCTCTGTGTTTACCAAGGATTCATTTTTTAAAACTTCATAAAGAACCACTTCTAAAGTGCTTCTAGGTGCTCCCAAGACTATGGGACCACTGGATAAGCTAGGGTCCATCTCTTTAAACTGGCCAGCTGATGAAACTGGATTTAAGAGTGGAGCTGCAGGCCGGGCACAGTGGCTTTCACCTGTAATCGCAGCATTTTGGGAGACTGACGCAGGAGGATCACTTCAGCCCAAAATTTAAAGACCAGCCTGGGCAACACAGTGAGACCCTGTTTCTACAAAAAATACAAAAAATTAGCTGGGTGTGGTGGTGTGTGCTTGTAGTCCCAGCTACGTGGAAGGCTCATGCAGGATGACTGCTGTAGCCTGGGGATGTCGAGGCTGCAGTGAGCTATGATTGTGACGCTGCATTCCAGCCTGAGTGACACAGCGAGACTCTGCCTCAATACATACATACATACATGTGGAGCAGCAGGACTATAATCTAATCATAGTCCATGCCCTCTGGTGGCAGGTAACAGAAGAGCATTCACACCAGGAATTGATCAGTGACAGAAACATACAAAGGATTCCTTTGAAGTTACTGTATATACTAAAGCATGTGACCAAATTTGCTGGGTAAGCAGTTTACACTGAGATCGTGACTCACTTGACTAGGGGCCTCATTAAAGGCTAGCTTCTACTCCAGCTCAGTGACTCTCAAACTTGGACTGGAATCCCCTAGGGAACATTAAAGAATACATCAGATCCACTCCCAGAAATCCCTATTTAACTGATCTGAAGTTAAGGCCTAGACCCTGAAAATTTTAAGAGCTCCCTAGGTGATTTTAACAGGTAGCCAAGTTTGAGAACTATGCTCTAGACAGCCCTCTTTAGAAGAAACAATCACAGTATTAAGTAGAAGAATCAGTCAGTAATAACAGGGAGCTGTGAGGAGAAGAGTGGCAGCTTTGAGATAACTGAGGAGAATCATTCTACTCTACTACATGTTTTATCCTTGGAGGACTCCACTGCAAAAGAGTAATATCCCTTATGAGAACAGAACACACATACGTATACATATACACCATGCAAGATTTTAATGGAAAAGGATGCTCTTCCAGAGCAATGTTTTCCAAATATAGACCAGTTGTGTCAGTATCTCAGGAGAGCCATTTTGCCATGCAGAATCCCAAGCCCCATTACCTAGAGCTTCTGATTCAGCAACTCTAGAAAGAAGTCCAGAGAAGGCCTGGGGAACATGGACACACAAACATATGTACAATTATATATAAATAATTTTATTTTTTTAATTTTATTTTGAAAAGTTATAAACCTAGAGAAAATAGCAAAAACTATATAATGAACAATTATGTACCCTTCAACTAGATTCAACAACTATTACCATTTTCCCACATCTGCTTTTCATCTACATATATTAATGCTTCCACCCCTGAACTATATGAAAGTTGGAGATGTTACGACACTTCACCCCTAAATATATCAGTATATTTGAAAAAAGACATTCCCCTACAAAATTGCAGTATTATCACACTCAGGAAATTTAATTAAAAATATTCTCATTTGTCCCTAAAATGTTCTTTAAAACTGTTGATTTTTAAATACAGGATCCAATCAAGAATCACATACTGCAATTGGTTGTCATGTTTCTTCAGTCTCCTTTAATGTAGAATTCATGTATAATAGTCCTGTTGCCTTTTGTTTGCTTTGTATGACACTGACATTTTTGAAGAGTCTGGATTGTTTTACAGAATGTCCCACAGTTTGGACTTCTTCTGATCGTTTCCTCATAATTACATTCATGCTGAAGAGCTTATTTATTTATTTATTTATTTATTTATTTATTTTGAGACAGGGTCTTTCTCTGTTGCCCAGGCTGGTGTGCAGTGGTGCAATCATGGCTCACAGCAGCCTTCAACTCCTGGGCTCAGGTGATCCCCCTGAGCAACTAGGACTAAGGGTGTGCACCACCACACCTGGCCAATTTTTCTATTTTTTGTAGTGATGGGGGACTTGCTATATTGCCCAGGCTGGTCTTGAATTTCTGGCCTCAAGTAATCATTCCGCCTCAGCCTCCCAAAGTGCTGGCTCTGATTACAGGCATAAACTGCTAGGCCTGGCCTGCTAAAGAGATTTGATAAAAAATATTATACAGGTGATGTGGAGTATTTCTCATTGCAATACTGCAGGAGGCACATAATGTCAGTTTGTCTAATTACTGAAGATACAAAATTTGATCACATGTTAAGAGGTGATTGACAGTGTTCTTCACTGTAATTTCCCTTTGTAATTTACAGGCAATCAGTGGAGAGAAACTTTGAGACTGTGAACATCCTATTCCTCAGTATGTTTTTTTACCTAATAGTTTAAGCATTTATTGGTTACTCTTGCCTGACTCAATTATTAAAATAGTTGCAAAAAAGTAATTTTCTCTCATTCCTTCTATATATTTTTTTTAGACAGGGTTTTGCTTTGTCCCCCAGGCTGAAATTCAGTGGCGAGATCTCCGCTCACTGCAGCCTAGACTTCCCGGGCTCAGCTGATTCTTCCTTTTCAGCCTCCTGAGTAGCCGGCACTACAGGTGTGTGTCATCATGCCCAGATAATTTTTGTATTTTTTTGTAGGGACAGAGTTTCACCATGTTGCCCAGGCTGGTCTCAAACTCCTGGGCTCATGTGATCCACTCATCTCGGCCTCCCAAAGTGCTGGGATTACAGGTGTGAGCCACTTTGCCCAGCCTCATTCCTTCTATATTTATTGGCTGGCATTCTGTAAAGGAGATTTCTTCCCTCCAACTTTAATTTTTTTTTTTTGAGAAGAGGTTTTACTCTGTCACCCAGGCTGGAGTGCAATAGCATGATCATGGCTCACTGCAGCCTCGACCTCCCAGACTCAAGGGGATACTCCCACCTCAGTCTCCCAAGTAGCTGGGACCACAGATGCGTGACACCATGTCCAGCTCATTTTTAATGTTTTCCAGTAGAGATGGGGGTCTTGCCATGTTGCCCAGGCTGGTCTCGAACTCCTAGGCTTAAGGGATCCTCCTGCCTCAGCTTCCCAAAGTGTTGGGATTACAGGTGTATCAGGTGATTTTTAGAAACCAAAATCAAGGTGTCGTCATTGCTACTGAGATGTAATTGCTTCTAGGCCCTTTCAATGAACAGTGCTTGGAAAATACATATGTATATACACACACACATACAAATCATATGTTACATATATGTATTACTTGAATAGGATGCATACATATAAATATATTTTAAAGGCCAGAGTAGATACAGATATTCTCCAATTCAAATCCAATACTACAGGGTTCTTCCTCATCTTTTTCCATATTAGAATCTTATTTATTCATTTGCTCTATTTTCAATATCTGCAAATTAGTCTCAGATAACCATGCCAAAACCACAAACATTATTAAGAAGTCAAAATTTCTTTGCAGTCCATTTTTTCCTTAGAATATGCCCCATATTAAAGGTATACTGTGAAGGTTCTATGTTAAAATTTTATTTGAATTAATAGTTTTTTCAATGTGGTTATTACATCCATTTGATTCAGTTTTGTTTGTTTCTAATCAATTTTAGGGTTTGCTTTGTTCATCTTTTTTAGTTTAATTTTATTTATTAAGTAAAATACTTAGTTCAAAAGTCAAAAGAATATTAAAAGGTATTTTCAAAAGCCTCACTCTTATCCCAGTACTTTCTACCTTATTCCAAGACATGCCTAATGGGTGATCTTTTCATTATTTTCTGGCTTGACATTCCTGTGTTTCTTTTTACAAAAATAAATTTAAAATGCATACTTTCATATGTTATATATGTGTGCATATGTGTATACATACATATTTCCCCTTCTCTTTCCCAAAAGTTAGCGTATTATATATACTTTCTGCAACTTTCTTTTTTCACATTAATGATATATCTTAGAAATCACTCCATATTAGTTTACACAGATCTTCCTCATTCTATTTTATGGTTGAATGGTACTTCATTGTGTGAATGTACTATATAACATTCAATCAATCTCTTAATGTTGCAAAAAAATAACCATGTGTATATTGCTTTATTTTTGTGGCAGTACATCTTTAAAATCAAATTCCTGAAGTGGGATCCCTGGGTCAACTAATAAATGCATATGTGGTTTTTCTCAGATACTGATGAATTGTATGCCCTCCCTCTCTGGTGTGAAATGTACCATTCTGCATGTCCCCAGCAAAAAAAAATGAGAACGCTTATTTCCCCACAGCCTTGCTGTCTCCTCAAGCTTTGGAATTTTTGTCAATCTGGTAAGAAAGAATATCTTACTGTGGTTTTAATCTGCACTTATTTTATTATGAGTGGTGTGAATTTTCATATGTCTGAGGACCATTTGTATATCTTCTGTCAACTGTTCATGCCTTAAGATCATTTTTCTATAGGTTTTAGTCTTAAAAAATTTTTCTATTTTTCTATTTATGAGTGTTCTTTATGAATTAGGGAGAGTTATCTGTGCCTTATGTTGCAAATATTTTCTCCCATTTATCATTTGTCTTTTAGCTTTGCTTGGAGTGTTTTTTTCCCCTAAAAATGTTTTAAAAAGTCAAATTTGTCGGTCTATCTAGATTTTGAATCATATTTAAAAAGGCTTTCCCCACCCCAAGTTTATAAAGGAATTTGTGTTTTCCTAGTACTTATATAGTCATTTTTTTACATTTTGATCTCTAATCCACGTGCAGTTTATTCTGACATACGCTGTGATATATGGATTCAATTGTATCTTTTCCTAATGGCTATTAACTTATCCCAATGTCATTTATGAAAAAGTCAATTTTATCCAATTTAATATGCCAACCACTATGGACTGAATCTCCATCCCCCAAATTAATATGTTGAAGTCCTAATCCTCAATATAACTGTACCCAGAGACAGGGTTGTTAGGAGATGATGAAGGTTAAGTGAAGTCACGGGGTAGAGCCCTTATTTGATAGAACTATGGTCTTATAAGAAGAGGAAGAGCTCTCTTCCTCCCTCCACTTCCCTCCCTTCCTTCTTCCTTCTCCTGTGAGAACACAGTGAGAAGGCAGCCATAAGATGGCTGTCTGCAAGCAAGAAGAGGACCCTCAGCAGAAATCAACCCCTGCCAGAACCTTGATCTTGGACTTTCCAGTCTTTAGAACTGTGAGAAAAAAAAATCCTGTTGTTTAAACCAGACAGTCTGTGGTATTTCACTGACAGCCTCAGCAGACTACCACACTACCTTTATCATATAGCAAATTTTCATATACAGTCAGATCTATCTCTGGATTTGCTATTTATTTTACACTGCTCAGTCTGCCTATTCATGTGCCAGTTCCATATAATTTTAATTTCAGAGGCTTTAAAGTATGTTTTAATAGCTAATGGGATTACTCTCTGCACATTGCTCTTCTTTTTTAGGAGTTCCTAGCTATTTTTGAATTATTATATGTACACTACAAATTTTATTATATTTACCTACAAATTTTCCTCATTGCTTTGCAGAGATCCATTTTTTCCATGTTATCATTTTCTTTCTGCTTTAAGGACTTCACTTAACCTTTCTTGTAGTACTGATATGCTTGTGATTAATTCTCTAAGCTTTTATATTTCTGCAAATGTCTTCATTTTTATTTTTGAAAGACATTCTTGCTTGGTATAGAATTCTAGCTTAACAACTTGTTTTCCTTTTAGAACTTAAAAATGCTGCTCCACTGTATTCTGGCTTGCACTGTTTCTGACGAGAAGTTGCTGTCATTCTTTGTTCTTCTATATATCATGTGCTTGTTTTTCTCTGGCTGCTCTTAAGACTTTTCTCTTTATCGTGGGTTTTCAGCAATTTGATGATGATGTGCCTTGTGTGGTTTATTTCATATTTCTCCTGCTTGGGGTTCATTGAGCTTCTCTGATTTGTGAAGTTATAGTTTTCATAGTATTCAAAAATTTTTCAAGCATTATTTTTCTAATAATTTCTTATGTGCTCCTTATCTCTCCTTCAGGACTCCAGTTATATATGTTATAGGCTACGTGAAGTTGTTCCATGGCTCACTGATGCTTTCTTTTTCAGTTCTTTTTCTCTCTGTGTTTCATTTGGATAGTTTATACTGCTGTTTTTAAGTCTGCTCATCTTCCTCCTGAAGCAATTCCAACAGTAATATGTTGTGGATCCATTCAGTTTATTCTTCACTTGAGATATTATCTTGTATGTTCTACCTCTAAAGTTCAATTTGGTTCTTTTAAATCTAAATCCTACATTTCTCTACTCATGACGCTCATGATTTCCTCTATCTTCTTGAACATATGCAATATAAACAACTGCTTTAATGTCCTTGTCTATTAATTCTATAATCTGTGTTATTTCTGGATTCTAATTATAATGGGTGAGTTTTTCTCTTGCTTGTTTGCATGCCTGGTAATTTTTTTTGTGGTAAAATATATATCAAATTTACAGTTTTAATCATTTTAAAGTGTACAGTTCTGTGACATTAAGTCCATTCACATTATTAGGCAACTATCACCACCATCCATCTCCAGGACATTTTCATTTTCCCCAACTGAAACTCTGTACCTATTATCAACCTCTTCACCTCCTCCTCCCTCAGCTCCTGGCAACTACTATTGTACTTTCTGTCTCTATACATTTGACTTCTCTAGATGTCTCATCTAAGTGAAATCATACAATATTTGTGCTTTTATAACTGGCTTATTTCACTTAGCATGTCGTCGAGGTTCACCTATGTTGTAGCATGTGTTATAATTTCCTTCCTCTTTAAGGCTGAATAATATTCCCATTGCATCTCTCTCTCTTCCCCAGCCCCGCTCTCTTTCTGTGTGTGCGTATGTGTGACATTTTCTTTATCCATTCTTCCATCAACAGACACTTGAGTGGCTTCTACCTTTTGGCTATTGTGACTAATGCTGCTAAACACGGGTATTCAAATATCTGCCCAAGTCCCTGCTTTCAGTCCTTCTGAGTATATACCCAGAAATGGAACTGCTGAATCACAGAATTCTACTTTTACTTTTTAAGAAAATAGTTGGGGGTCTCACTATGTTGCCCAGGCTGGCCTCGAACTCCTGGGTTCAAGCGATCCTCCTGCCTCAGCCTTCCAGGTAGTTGGGACTACAGGTGCATGATATTTTTAACTTTCTGAGAAACTCCCATTTTACATTCCTACCAGCAACAGACATTCCCATTTCTCCACATCCTCATCAACACTTGTTATTTTCTGTTTTTTTCCTAATACCCATCCTAATGAATGTGAAGTGTCATCTCAATGCAGTTTTAATTTGTAGTTCCCTAATGATTAGTGATCATGAACATATTTTCATGTGCTAATTGGCCATTTGTACATCTTCTTTGGAAAAAAATATATTCAAGTCCTTTGCTAATTTTTGAAATGGGTTTTTTGTTGTTGAGGTTTAGGAGTTTTTATTTTTAATTTTTTAAATATCATAAACCTTGAATAACACAGTTGCAGGAGTTTTTAAAAATATTTTTTGAATATTAACCCCTTATCAGATATATGTTTTGTGAATTTTTTTTCTAATTCTGTGGGCTGCCTTTTCACTATGTCAATAGTGTCCTTTGATGCACAAAAGTTTTGAATTTTGATGTAGTCTAATTTATGTATGTTTTTCTTTTGTTGCCTGTGCTTTTGGTGTCATATTCAAATCTAATGTCATAAAGCTTTTCTTCTAAGAGTTTTATGGATTTAGACCCCACATTCAGGCCTTTGATACATTTTGAGTTAATTTTTGTATATAGTGTAAGGTTAAGTTCCAACTTCATTTTTTTGCATGTGTATATGTCATTTTTCTAGCATTACTGAATTAGATATGTAAGTATAAAAAATTAGCTTCACAATTCACACACCATAAAATTTACTCTTTTAAGTATATAGTTCAATGGGTTTTAGTACTCTGTGAACATACAAAGTGTGCAAACATCACTTTATCTAATTTTAAAATATTTTCATCACTCCTCCAAAAAGAGGCCCAATACCTATTAGCAGCCACTCCCCATCCCCACTTCAAGCTGGACTCTGGAAACCACAAATCTACTTTCTGCTTACATGGATTTGGCTATTTTTTCCCATTGTGTGAGCTGTCTTTTCACTTCTTGATGATGAAGCTTTTTAGTTTTGATGAAGTTCAAGTTATCTATTTTTTCTTTTGTTTTTTTGTGCTTTTGGTGCTGTATTATCTAATCCAAGGTCATGAAGATTTCCTCCTGTTTTCTTCGAAGAGTTTTCTCATTTTAGCTCTTACATTTAGGTCCATGATCCACTTGAAATTAATTTTTGTATATGGCATAGAGGTAGGGTCCAACTTCATTTTTTTCTATGTGAATATCCATTTGTTCCTCACCAGCTGTTGAAAATCACATTGAACTGTCTTGGCATCCTTGTGAAAAATCAATTGACCATAAATTGGTAGGTTCATTTCTGTACTCTTAATTCTAATTCATGGATCTATATGTCTGTCTTCATGCCAGAACCACAATGTCTTCAGTACTATAGCTTTGTAGTAAGTTTTGAAATCAGAAAATGTGAGTCCTCCACCTTTGTTTTCCCTTTTGAATATTGCTATGATTATTCTGGGTCCCTTATAAGAATTTTAGAACCAATTTGTCAATTTCTGCAAAATAGGCAGTTGGGATTTTGATAGGGACTGCACTGCATCTATAGATCAATTTGGAGAATATTACTGATAGTTAAGTGATTTGCAAACATTATCTCCTAGTCTGTGGCCTGTATTTTCTTTTTTCTAATTTTTCAACTATTATTATTTTGTATTATACTTTAAATTCTGGGGTACATGTGCACAACGTGCAGGTTTGTCACATAGGTATACAGGTGCCATGTTGGTTTGCTGCACCCATCAACTCGTCATTTACATTAGGTATTTCTCCTAATGCTATCTCTCCCCCAGCCTCCCACCCCCCAGCAGGCCCTGGTGTGTGATGTTCTTTTCCCTGTGTCCACGTGTTCTCATTGTTCAACTCGCACTTATGAGAATGTGCAGTGTTTGGTTTTCTGTCCTTGTGATAGTTTGCTGAGAATGATGGTTTCCAGCTTCATCCATGTCCCTACAAAGGACATGAACTCATCCTTTTTATGGCTGCATAGTATTCCATGGTGTATATGTGCCACATTTTCTTTATCCAGTCTATTATTGATGGATATTTGGGTTGGTCCAATTGTTTGCTATTGTGAATAGTGCTGCAATAAATATATGTGTGCATGTGTCTTTATAGTAGCATGATTCATAATCCTTTGGGTATATACCCAGTAATGGGATCACTGGGTCAAATGGTATTTCTAGTTCTAGATCCTTGAAGAATCGCGACACTGTCTTCCACAATGGGTGAACTAATTTACATACCCACCAACAGTGTAAAAGTGTTCCTATTTCTCCACATCCTCTCCAGCATCTATTGTTTCCAGACTTTTTAATGATCGCCATTCTAACTGGCGTGAGATGGTATCTCACTGTGATTTTGATTTGCATTTCTCTAATGACCAGTGATGATGAGCATTTTTTCATGTGTCTGTTGGCTGCATAAATGTCTTCTTTTGAGAAGTGTCTGTTCATATCTGTTGCCCACTTTTTGATGGGATTGTTTGTGTTTTTCTTGTAAATTTGTTTTTCTTTGTAAATTCTGGGTATTAGCCCTTTGTCAGATGGGTAGATTGCAAAAATTTCCTCCTATTCTGTAGGTTGCCTGTTCACTCTGCTGATGGTTTCTTTTGCTGTGCAGAAGTTCTTTATTTTAATTAGATCCCATTTGTCAATTTTGGCTTTTGTTGCCATTGCTTTTGGTGTTTTACTCATGAAGTCTTTGCCCATGCCTATGTCCTGAATGGTACTGCCCAGGTTTTCTTCTAGGGCTTTTACAGGTTTAGGTTTTACATTTAAGTCTTTAATCCATCTTGAGTTAATTTTTGTATAAGGTGTAAGGAGTCCAGTTTCAGGTTTCTACATATGGCCAGCCAGTTTTCCCAGCACCATTTATTAAATAGGGAATCCTTTCCCCATTTCTTGTTTTTGTCATGTTTGTCAAAGATCAGATGGTTGTAGATGTGTGGTATTATTTCTGAGGCCTCTGTACTGTTCCATTGGTCTATATATCTGTTTTGGTACCAGTGCCATGCTATTCTGGTTACTGTAGCCTTGTAGTATAGTTTGAAGTCAGGTAGCATGATGCCTCCAGCTTTGTCCTTTTTGCTTAGGATTGTCTTGGTCATGTGGGCTCTTTTTTGGTTCCATATGAAATTTAAAGTAGTTTTTTCCCATTCTGTGAAGAAAGTCAGTGGTAGCTTGATGGGGATAGCACTGAACCTATAAATTACTTTGGGCAGTATGGCCATTTTCACGATATTGATTCATCCTATCCGTGAGCGTGGAATGTTCTTCCATTTGTTTGTGTCCTTTTATTTCGTTGAGCAGTGGTTTGTAGTTCTCCTTGAAGAGGTCCTTCACATCCTTTGTAAGTTGGATTCCTAGGTATTTTATTCTTTTTGTATCAATGGTGAATGGGAGTTCACTCAAGAGAAAGCAGAAAAGATCTAAAATCGACACCCTAACATCACAATGAAAAGAACTAGAGAAGCAAGAGCAAACAAATTCAAAAGTTAGCAGAAGACAAGAAATAACTAAGGTAAGTGCAGAACTGAAGGAGATAGAAACACAATAAACCCTTCAAAAAAATCAATAAATCCAGGAACTGGTTTTTTTGAAAAGATCAACAAAATATAGACTGCTAGCAAGACTAATAAAGAAGAAAAGAGAGAAGAATCAAATGGATGCAATAAAAAATGATAAAGTGGATATCACCACTGATCCCACAGAAATACAAACTACCATCAGAGAATACTATAAACGCCTCTATGCAAATAAACTAGAAAATCTAGAAGAAATGGATAAATTCCTGGACACATACACTCTCCCAAGACTAAATCAGGAAGAAGCTGAATCTCTAAATAGACCAAAGGTTCTGAAATTGAGGCAATAATTAATAGCCTACCAACCAAAAAAAGTCCAGGACCAGATGGATTCATAGTCAAATTCTACCAGAGGTACAAAGAGGAGCTGGTACCATTCCTTCTGAAAGGATTCGAAGCAAAAGAAAAAGAGGGAATCCTCCCTAACTCATTTTATGAGGCCAGCATCACCCTTATACCAAAGCGTAGCAGAGACACAACAAAAAAACAGAATTTTAGACCACTATCACTGATGAACATTGATGCAAAAATCCTCAATAAAACACTGACAAACCGAATCCAGCAGCACATCAAAAAGCGTATCCACAACAATCAAGTCGGCTTCATCCCTGGGAAGCAAGGCTAGTTCAACATACGCAAATCAATAAACGTAATCCATCACATAAACAGAACCAATGACAAACACCACATGATTATCTTAATAGATGCAGAAAAGGCCTTTGACAAAATTCAACAGCACTTCATGCTAAAAACTCTCAATAAATTAGGTATTGATGGGACGTATCTCAAAATAATAAGAGCTATTTATGACAAACCCACAGCCAATATCATACTGAATGGGCAAAAACTGGAAGCATTCCCTTTCAAAACTGGCACAAGACAAGGATGCCCTCTCTCACCACTCCTATTCAACGTAGTATTAGAAGTTCTGGCTAGGGCAATCAGGCAAGAGAAAGAAATAAAGGGTATTCAATTAAGAAAAGAGGAAGTCAAATTGTCTCTGTTCACAGATGACACGATTGTATATTCAGAAAACCCCATCTTCTCAGCCCCAAGCTGATAAGCAACTTCAGCAAAGTCTCAGGATACAAAGTCAATATGTATTTTCATTCTCTTACCAGTGTCTATTGAAGAGCAGAAGTTCTTAATTTTGACAAAGTCTACTCTATGACTTATTTTTTAATCATGCTTTTTGGTCAGGTTTTTCAAAGTTTTCTTTATGTAAGTTTCACACATTTGTTAGTTTTCCCTCACCCCTTACCTGCTATTGAAAATGGGAGTTTGTCTTCCATGTATCTTCTATCAGGTTATTTTAAACCATTAAGTAAAATGTTGGCTTTAGTACTGAGGTATAAACATACTTTTTTCCAAGTTAAGTATATAGTACCCATTTTCTGGTTTATTATTTTTTTTTGCTAGTAGTGTGTTGAATTTTGTCAAAGCTCATATGATTTTATTCCTTAGCTTTTTTAATATGTTGAATTCTATTAATGATTTTTCTAAAGTTAAATATTTTCATTCTCCCCAAAATCCAACCTACTATTATGTCTTGATGAATTGTTGTTTTAAATATGTTAAATCCTAATTCCTTTTATTTAGGATTTTAATAACAGTATTCATACATGAGATTATACATCTGCATGTGTGTGTGGGCACATGTGTATAAATCAGGTTTAGGCAACACAGTTCTATGTGTCTCATAAAAACAATTCAGATGCTTTCCTACTTTTTCTGTGATCTAGAATGACACTATTCAGTACAATAGCCACTAGCCACATCAGGCCTTACATGCTTTAGCTGTGTCCCCACCCAAATCCTCATCTTGAATTGTAGTTCCCATAATCCCCACATATGATGATAGGGACCCAGTGGGAGGTAAGTGAATCATGGGGGCAGTTTCCCCTATGCTATTCTCATGATAATGAGTAAGTTCTCACAAGATCTGATGGTTTTATAAGGGGCTTCCCCCTTTGCTCAGCTCTCATTCTTCTCTTTCCTGCTGCCCTGTGAAGAAGGATGTGTTTGCTTCCCCTTCCACCATGAATGTAAGTTTCCTGAGGCCTCCCTAGCCATGCTGAACTGTGAGTCAATTAAACCTCTTCCCTTTATAATTACCCAGTCTCTGTTATGTCCTTATAGCAGCAGGAGAACGGACTAATACAAGGCCTTTTAAGTTACAATTAAATACAATTTAAAATTCAATTCCTTAGTCACAGTAGCCAGTTCAAGTGCTTACTCACTTGCTGTATGTGGCTGGTGAGGATCATGCTGAATAGAACAGATACAAAATATTTCCACCATTGCAGAAAGTTCTGCTGGGTATTGTTGAACTACAACTCAACTAGCACTAAGACTATCTGCTCCTTAAGGTTTGGTAATTTCCCTGTGACATAATCTACACATGGTGCTTACTGTAGGTGCAGTTCCTTGAAAACTTTTGTATATTTTCTTTTTTTTTTTTTTTGAGACAGGATCTCACTCTTTCACTCAGGCTGGAGTGTAGTGGTACAATCTCAACTCACTGCAATCTCCACATCCCAGGCTCAAGTGATCCTTCCACCTCAGCCTCCCAAGTAGCTGGGACTATGGGCGTGAGCCACCACGCCTGGTTAATTTTGTTATTTTTTTTGCAGAGATAGAGTTTTGCCATGCTGCCCAGGCTGGTCTCAAACTTCTGAGCTCAAGCAATCTGTCTGCCTTGGACTCCAAAAGTGCTGGGATCACAGGTGTGAGCCACCATGCCTGGCCATGTTTTCTATATCTGTTTAAATATTGTAATGCTATTGAAGTTAATTTTGACAAATAGTATTTCCTACTTCAACCTAACTTTTCAAATTTATCTGCATAGTTATTTCCCCTTTGTCATTTCTTCTTTTCTTTCTTTCTTTTTTTTTTTTTTGAGACGGAGTCTCACTCTGTTGCCAGGCTGGAGTGCACTGGCGCAATCTTGGCTCACTGCAACCGCCACCTCCCAGGTTCAAGTGATTCTCCTCAGCCTCCTGAGTAGCTGGGACTACAGGCATGCACCACCGTGCCCAGCTAATTTTTGTATTTTTAGTAGAGACGGGGTTTTACCATGTTGGCCAGGATGGTCTCAATCTCTTGACCTTGTGATCTGCCCACCTCGGCCTCCGAAAGTGCTGGGATTACAGGTGTGAGCCATTGTGCCCGGCCATTTCTTATTTTCTATGTTTGTGCCTACTCTCCTTTTTTCTTTACTATGCTAACTAGTGGTTTGTCTATTTCATGGACATTTTTTCTCCCAAAGGACAGTACTTTTTTTTTTTTTTTTTTTTTTGAGACAGTATCTCACCCTGTGGCCTAGGTTGCAGTGCAGTGGTATGACCATAACTCACTGTAACCTCAAACTCCTGGGTGCAAGCAATCCTTCTGCTTCAGCCTCCTAAAAGCCAGGACAACAGGCATATGCCACCATGCTGGGCTAATTTTTAAAAACATTTTTGTTGAGACAGGGTCTTGCTATGTTACCCAGGCTGGTCTTGAACTCCTAGCCTCAAAGTGATCCTCTTGCCTTGGCCACGCAAAGTTCTGAGATTACAGGCATGAATTACCATGCCCGGCCAGGACCAGTACTTTGAATTAACTTTGAATTATTGCTTTTCTGTTTTCTGCCTCATTAATTTCCTTTATCTTTTTTTTCTTCTTGCTTTGTAATTCTTTTTCTAGCTCTTTGAGTTGGGAATTTAAATCCCAATTTTCATCCTTTCATTTTTACTGATGTTAAATATTTAAGGCTATACATTTTCTTCTAAGTACTGCTTTAATTATATCTCAAAATTCTGATGTATGATGTTTATTATCATCGTGTTTTAGGAATTTTGCAAACTTTGTTTATATCTCCCCTGTTCAACTAAGAGCTATTTAGATTTTTAAATTTCAAGGCAGATCATTTATAAGGATCTAAAGTTTGACATGCATACATATGCACACACACACACACATACACCTACGATCTACCTGATTTCTTAAAGCCTTTCATACTTTTACTTTTTGTCCTCTTGACCTGTCTTGCCTTGAAAGAGCTGTGTTGAGCCTTCATTAGTACATTTGTCTGCATCTCTTTCTAAGCAGCAGCATCCTTACCCTCACCTTGGGTGGTTTCATAGTAGAGTTACTGTAGAGAGATATCTCTCAACGAACAGCTTTCCTGAGCACCATAGAGGGGAGTTCCTAGCAAGTTCCACCAACATAGCACCACAGTGATTTCTCTGTCATTGAGAGAACACAGCCCTATACCTCAGCCCTCAGGATGGGGGAGGAGAGGCTCTTCCTTGGGCACTTTATCTCAGCCTCAGAGTCTGGCTTTTCTTTATGTTTGCTACTCATATAATTTCTTTAGAGTTATCTTTCCTTTACTAACTGATCCCTCATTACTCCAATCCTCTGTTATAGTTAACAATTATATTAAACTTTCTATGTTCAAATTACTGTGTTGTTTCTCTCTTCACTGGACTGAGCCTGATACACACATACACTATTCTACCCTTGTCCCTTGCTTTGTTTTTGTCTTAAATTGATCATCTCTTGCTTTGATGAAGAGCTTTCTCTAATTTATTCCTCAGAATGGGCTTGGGGTTATAATATTCCCTGAGTTCTGCATGCTGAAAACGATTTCAGTATAACCTCAATACCTGAAAAACAGCTGCAAACTTGACTTTCTTTACCTTGTAAAAGACTTGGCTTTTTTTTTGCCAGAAGTTTAGAAGAAATTTTCTTAGAATACAATAGTTTTACTAAAATATGTCTTAGAGTTGACCAATCTGAATCAAAAGTAGGTCCTATAAATATAAAGGTAAAGGTCTGCTTTAATTTTTGGAAAGTTTTCTTATTTAAGTGTTAATTCTGTTCCATTGTTTTGTTTATCTTCTTTTGGGTTTTCAGTTATACATACATATACATATCGTGTACATATACATATTGGATTTTTGTTCATTATCTTCTATATCTAACAGTTCCTTTGAGATACTTTTTAACCTTTTCTAATATTTATTTTTATTCTCTTGGCTTTTTATTTCCCTCCTTAATGTCCCTTATTACATTTTCAGTTGAGTCTATTGTCCTGTTGTTCACCTTGGAATTCAGTCTTCCACTGAGATAATTTTGTCTTTTTTTTCTTGAGTTTGGACAATACTATTTTCACATCTTCTTGTCTATTGTGCATGTCTAGCTTGACTTTTACAACCTATGATTCAAGGTATTTTTTTCATATCTGCCAAGACTTGTTTAACTCAAGTTGAGTTGCTGTGCAACAGGTTTCCTCTGATTAGTCGTTGGTTTTGGAAGCATTTTCAGTAGTTGAAATGGTTTTATCCTCATCTTATGTTTTTCTTCATATTGAAGCTTTTTATAAATTTTCAAGTGCTATTTTCTCACCATTTTTATATATCTTAAATTTTCCCAGACCAGCAAAAAAACAAAAGGTTCTATTGGCAGGGAACTTGGGTCATGAGTTGGCATAGTGAAATACAATTTCTTTAATAGATGGGCCTGTTTAAGGTAGGATGAGAAGAATGGTATGCCTTTTATTCTGTATAATCCTAAATTTTACCCCCTGCTGTCTTTTTTTCCCTTCAACGTTAAGTCTCCCTCTTCCACAGAGGAAGTTTTCTCCCCAGGACTGCCATCTCCAGTCCACTTTCAACTTTGACTCTCCTTTCCAATTCCAATAGTTTGTGCTCTAATCCACAAGATCTTAGCTCTGTTCTCAGTATTTCCCATTCTGGGTGGGACTATCTCATTCTGGGGGCAATTTTGGCTCTGTTAGGCCCCCATTGTTCTCTCCCTTTTTTATACAATTTCCACCTACATAAATTCTTCGTTATGTATGGTCTGGTACTGGCTCTGCTGGTTTCAGATCTTTATATCCCCATTAAAAAGTAACTGATAATTGTGGCATTCTCGGCTCCTAGTTATATTTAGGCATAAGTTATGGGTGGATTGTTTCCTTTTTGATCTGTAGGTTTCTGGAGAATTTTTGGAAATATTTGATTTACATGGTCACTATGTTCCCTGAGAACTTGTATTTTTTAATAGCCTCTCAAATGCTTCTAAATAGTGATTCATAAAGTAGTGCAAGAATAACACACTACAGTGTAAGAATGAAGAGCATCTCCATGTTACTGCAATGTCATATTTAGGACATATCACTAAATGAAAAAAGGCAGGGGATAGATACACACATACACACATAGACACACACACATGCCTAAATTTTTTATAAAATTGAATGATAAACTATAGGATTAAAAAGAAGTGGTTACCTATGGCAGAAGGAAAGACCAAGGTGAAAGAGATTTCTCTGAATATACTCTGTTTTATAGACTTGACTTTTCAGAATTATATATATTTCAGAATTATATATAATAATGTATTTATAAAGCAAAATTAAATTTTAAAAAGCAATTCCACAAAATAAAACATAAAATGAAGCAAATGAACCTTAGTTATTAAGTTGGTGGTACAGTCACTTAGACAGAAACTAATCTAAATGACCTTATAACACTTATTAAGGGTATTTTTCTTAAGGGTAAGGAAAAAATGCAAATAAACACTGTTAATAATCAAACTGGTGGTAGTGTTGGTATTGTTATTCTGAGACTGTTAGATGAGTGATACGGAATAAAGCAAATGAGTTACTGTGTTAACATGGAGAACTAGGGTTTTGTTGTGGTACAAAGGAGATTCAAATTTAAGGTAGCAGAGATGAAGCAGGTAAAAATACCTCTGTCCCTTAGTGAGAAGTATCAATTTGAACCAATGATATTTTACCCCAATAACTTTTTTTTTTTTTTTTAGACGCAGTCTCAGTCTGTTGCCCAGGCTGGAGTGCAGTGGTGCAATCCCGGCTCACTGCAACCTTCGCCTCCCGGGTTCAACTGATTCTCCTGCCTCAGCCTCCCACGTAGCTGGGACTACAGGCACATGCCACAACACCCAGCTAATTTTTGTATTTTCAGTAGAGACGAGGTTTCACCATGTTGGCCAGAATGATCTCGATCTCCTGACCTTGCGATCTGCCCGCCTCGGCCTCCCAAAGTGCTGGGATTACAGGTGTGAGCCACTGCACCCAGCCAATAATCTTTTTAAAAAGGTAGTTCCTGCCTCTCTATACCAAAAAGACTAGAAAGGGTGACCAACCTAGTAGCACTGAGCACTCTAGTGTTCTGATTATGGTCTCTAAATACCATTTCCCAATAAAAGGAGCCCAGGAACCTAGAAGAACTAGCTGATTCCATATTTGGGGCAAAAAATATATAAGATGAACCTGGAACATGTTGAAATTGCAAAAATCCAAGAGAGCTATCAAATAGTATCAAACAGTATATAAAAGAGTCAGGAGACAACTTGACAAGTTTCCTTCTGGCAAAAGATGGGATAATTCAAGCATCAATAAGGTCAATTGGTGTGATGGAGTGAAACACAACAAATATGTATGAAGTTTTGAGCTTATGATACTAAGCAACAACAACAAAATCCTCCTTAAATATTTTTGGAGGATGCTAATAAACCAATTCATTGAAAATTGGTAAATAAAGAAATAAAGCATGCATTTAAACTGTTTTTCCTGTGTGAACTATATCTCAAAATAACTAAATAGTTGATGAAAGTTTATGTTAACAGATGTATTCCATTAATTTATGTAGACAGAATGGCAGGATTAGATTTTTCCATTTTGTAACCATATGAATTATAGATTTAAATCAGGGGCAGCAAACTACAGTTGGCAGGCTGACAACCTGTTTTTGTAAATCAAGTTTTATTAGAACACAACCCTGTTTGTTTATGTATTGTCAACAGCTGCCTTAGCAGAAAGACAAAGCTAAGTAATTATAACAGAGAATGTATGATCTGTAAAGCCTAAAATATTCACTATCAGATCTGTCAAGAAAAATGTCAACCCTGATCTAGACTATGAGCAGCAATGGCTGCTACATTATATTACATTATAAAACAAGAGACAACCAGACTATACATGCTTCTTGATAGAAATAAATATCACCAGCTATGAAATATTCTTATGAAAAAATTGAACCAGAATCTGATCAAGTCTCTACATTTAGCTACCAATTTTAGGAACTAGAGGACACAGAAACATGTTGAATGATACCACAAGAATACAATCAACAAAATATAATTTTAGAAAATTTAAAAGACAAATGACTTAGGTTTTTAAACAAATAAACTGCAAGAAAAATTAGAGCAGATAAGAACTTGTAGATTTAAAGAAGCTTAAAGGACATATCAACTAACTGCAATGTGAGGATTCTAGTTAGATTGATTCAAAAAACTGATTAAAAAAGAGAGAGACAGACAGAGACAGACAATCCAGAAAATTTAAACACATTAAAATATTTGTTGATATTAAGACATTATCATTGGCTTATTTGTATGTGATAATTGTATGGTTATGTTTAAGACATCCTTGCCCATGACAGAGACATACTAAATACTTTCATGATAAAATCATGCTATGTTTAACAATTGGAGGTGGGGACAGAAAGTGTATACAAGTATAGATAAAATTATATTGACTTCAACAATGAAGGTTACATGAGCATTCACTATGCTATTTTTCTCTACCTTTTTATATGTTTGAAATTTTACATTACAAATTTTTTTTTAATGGGGGAAAACGTTAAATAAGTACCTAGGGAGCCCATGATACATGCTCTCTAATTCTCAATTTAGCACAGCTTCCTGAGAGGAAGTATAGTCAAAGTCCATAATCTAACTCTCTCGGTCCCCCATTGAGACTCACTGTAATAGTGATTGACAGTAACTGATAAGAAGGGCTGAATCCCTCAGATTTATTGAGGCAAAAGCTGGAGGGGAATCTGATCTGGAAAGAAAAACCTAGTGAGGTTATTAGCTTAAATTTTAAAAAATGATTTTTATGTAATAATGGATTCGAAGCGAGAAAACTCCAAGGACCAGGTGAGAATTAGTGAGAAAGGAGATAAGAGATCCTTATAACAGCCATGCTTTCTACTGGCAGATTTTCTCTCATTTCTTGTCATTATGATAGGATTTGGTGAAAGCTTTATGCTTTTTGAGATAGGTTAAACGGCAAGACCTCCTTCCATTCTCTCTCTCAGGTAAATGGGCACTGGCCAAGAAGAACAAAGGGTGTGATTTCTTGTTAGAAAGAATTTGGAAGAAGCCTGGATATCATAAGCTAATGTAGAGATGGAGATGTCCAAATTGTGCAGCTTGTTTCATTTTGGGTGGGCCTTTTTAGGAGACTATATGAAAAATAAGGGATAAGCTGGGTACCCTAGGCTTTCCCATAATAGGATGTTCAGTTTTTGGACGCTAACTATTAATAATTGGCTAGAAAGAGTTTGGGTTTACTTACTCACCAAGAGGTGGCTGTAGCATACCCCCATTCTTTTCACAGTTCCCAATAGGCTGGATTTCAGCTGAGTCAACCAGCCGCCAGAAGTCATTTTTGTTGTCGCTCCCATCAAGGCGCAGGCGAAGGCGGGCACCTGTCAGTCCAACTACTGTGGCAATACAGGTGGATGTGGTGTTCCTGGGGTCCTGTGCTTCCAATTTCATACTGATCTTGAACTCGTTGCTTGGAGGTGTGTAGGACTGGGAAAAACAAGGCATGAGGTATAGACAGATTAAGAGTAAAACCCCAAAATTCATGTTTTGGATTCAGATTGGTTATAGCTGGGCCAGGGACAACCAACTGAATTATTCCCTAATAATTAAGAATGGTTTCATGCAAAAGAAACAATGAAAGATAAGATGAAGGGGAAAAAATTACTTTCCAACGAAGCATCAAATAGACCCATACCAGTTAAAAAAAGGACAAGAATGTCTTATATAGGCCAGTTAATTAAATGTTTTCTCATTCTATAATTCTCTAACTCCCTACCCTTCCAGGTAGGGACTTTTAATCCCTTTTTAGTCTTTTTAGGACTACTACGTCCTATTAAACTACCATATTCTTAGTGTCTCTTTGTGGAATATTTCAGTATATTGGTGTGTATATCTACCACACAGACTATTGAGGGTTAATTTTTTCTTATTTTGACAACTTACTAATCAAGTCATACAATAGACATACAATAAACTATACACTTTAGTAAGTCTTGACATATGTATATACTCATATTACTATATACACCATATAAACCTGTGAAAGTATCACCACGATAAAAATAATGAACATGGCCATTATCCTCAAGCTCTCACATGCTCTTTTGTAATCTCTTCTTCTGGCCCCTCCAGGACCTCTGCACCCAGGCAACCAATGATCTACTTTCTATCACTGTAGATTGCTTTGCGTTTTCTAGTCTTAGATGGAATCATAGAAGATGTACTTTCTTTTTTGTCTAGCTTCTTTCACTCAGCATAACTACTCTGATAATTCATCCATATTAGTAATTCATTTCCTTTTATTGTTGAGTGGTATAACCATGCTGACGGAGATTTGGTTTGTTCCAGCTCTTGGCGATTACAAATAAAGCTGCTAGAAACATTTAAGTACAAATTTTTGTGTAGGGAAATACACTTTCTTTTTTCTTGCACAAATACCTAGGAGTGAAATGGCTGGATCACATGGTAGGTATATGTTTAAATCACAAAACAGAAAATTAACCCTTTTAAGGTATACAATTCAATGATTTTTAGAATATTCTCAGAGTTGTGTAAACACCATCCCTATCTAATTTTATAACATTTCCATAATCCCCTCAAAATGAACCCCCTGCCCCAGTGGAGTCATTCCCCATTACCCTCTCAGCCCAGTCCCTAGAAACCATTAATCTACTTTCTGTTTCCATGGATTTACCTATTCTGGACATTTCATATAGATGGAATTATATAATGTGTGGCCAATATGTGAATAGTTTCTTTCATTTAGCAAAATGGATTCAAGGTTCACCCATGTCAATGAGTGTATCAGTACTTCATTCCTTTTCATTGATGAACAATATTCCATTGTATGGATATACATTTTGCTTACTCATTCATCAGCTGATGGACATTTGGGTTGTTTCCTCTTTTTGGCTATTATGAATAATGATGTGATAAACATTTATGGTATATTTTTCTGTGGACATGTTTTCTATTCTCTTACGTATATACTTATGAGTGAAACTGCTGGGTCATGTGGTAACTCTGTTTAACACTTTGGGTAACCTCTGAACTGTCTTCTCAAGTAGCTATAGGATTTCATAATTTTACCACCAATGTACAAGGGTTCCAATTTCTACACATTCTCACCAACACTTGCCATTGTTTGTCTTTTTGATGTTAGAGTCATCTAGTCAATGTGATGTATATCTCATTGCAGTTTTGATTAGCATTTCTCTAATGACTACTGAGTATCTTTAATGTGCCTAACTGGTCATTTGTATATATTTGGAGAAATATCTATTCAAATTCTTTGTCCATTTTAAAATCATGTTGTCTTTTAATTTCCGAGTTTTAAGAGTTCTTTCTATATTCTGGATACAAGTCCTTTACCAGATATATAATTCTCAAATATTTTCTCCCATTGTGTGGGTTGTTCTTTTCACTTTCCTGATGGTGTGGAAACAAAAATCTTTTAATTTTGATGAAGTTTAAATTATCTATTTTTTCTTTTGTTGTTTATGTTTTTGGTGTTATAATATCTAATCCAAGGTCATGAAGATTTCCTTCTATGTTTTCTTTAAAGAGTTTTGCAGTTTTAACTCTTACATTTAGGTCCATGATCCACTTGAAGTTAATTTTTGTATATGGCATAGAGGTAGAGTCCAACTTCACTTTTTTTTATGTGGATAACCAGCTGTACCTGCACCAGTTGTTGAAAAACCCACTGAACTGTCTTGGTACCCTTGTCAAAAATCGATCGATCATAAATTGATGGGTCAATTTCTGTACTCTCAATTTTAATTCATGGATCTATATGTCTATTTTCCTGCCAGAACCATTATGTCTTAAGTACTGTAGCTTTGTAGTAAGTTTTGAAATCAGGAAATGTGAATCCTTCAGCTTTGTTCTCTCTTTTCAAGATTGCTATGGCTATTCTGGGTCTCTTGTAAGAATTTTAGAATGAATTTGTCAATTTCTGCAAAAAAGGCAGCTGGGATTTTGACAGAGATTGTGTTGAATCTACAGATCAATTTGGAAAATAATGCTGTCAGTTATGTGATTTGCAAATATAGTCATGTTCTGCATAATGATGTCTGGTCAAAAACAGACTATGTATAGATTGTGGTCCCATAAGACTACAATGGAGCTAAAAAATTCCTGTATCCTAGTTATAATGCAGCTGTCTTAAGGTCCTAGAGCAACACATTACTCACATTTGTGGTGATGCTGGTGTAAAAAAACCTACTGTGCTGCCAGCTGTATAAAAGTATAGCACATACAATTATGTACAGTACATAATACTTGATAACAATTGACTATGTTACTGGTTTATGTGTTTACTATATATTTTAAATCATTATTTTAGAGTGTATTCTTTATACGAAAATAAAAGTTAACTAAAAAATAGCCTCAGGCAGCTCCTTTAGGAGGTATTCCAGAAGAAGGCATTGTTACCATAGGAGATTACAGCTCCATCCATGCATGTAACTGTCCCTGAAGACCTTCCAGTAGGCTCAGAAGTAGAAATGGAAGACAGTGATACTGATGATCCCGAGTCTGTGTAGGCCTAGGGTAATGTCTTAAGTTTTTTAACAAAAAGAGTTTAAAAGGTAAAAAAAAAAAAAATTAAAAATTATTTTTCTACAGCTGTACAATGTGTTTCAAGCTAAGTATTATTATAAGAGTCAAAAAAGTTAAAAAATTAAGTTTATAAAGCGAAAAATTTACAGTAAGCTAAGGTTAACTCTTTACTGAAGAATGAAAAATTTTTAAATAAATTTAGTGTAGCCTGGGTGTACAGCGTTTATAACGTTGACAGTGGTACGCAGTTCACCA
This sequence comes from Homo sapiens, assembly GCF_000001405.40. Lineage (NCBI taxonomy): Eukaryota > Metazoa > Chordata > Mammalia > Primates > Hominidae > Homo > Homo sapiens. The sequence goes on from NC_000001.11 coordinate 41,146,443, forward strand.
CTTACTCACTGACTCACCCAGAGCAATTTCCAGTCCTCCAAGCTCCATTCAAGGTAAGTGCCTGATACGGGTGTACAAGTTTTAATATACCTTTTATACCATATTTTTTTTTTTACTGTACCTTTTCCATGTTTAGATATGTTTACATAGACGAATACCATTGTGTTACAACTACCTACAGTATTCAGTATAGTAATATGCTGGACAGTTTTGTAGCCTAGGAAGAATAGGCTATGGTCTAGGTGTGTAGTAGGCTATAGCATCCAGGTTTGTGCAAGTATATTCTATGTTCACACGACGATGAAATTGCTTAACAATTCATTTCTCAGAGCATATCCCTATCGTTAAGCAATGCAAAACTATTCTCTCATAGTCTGTGACCTGTATTTTTGTTCTCTTACCAGTATCTTTTGAAGAGCAGAAGTTCTTAATTTTGACAAAGTCCACTCTATTTTTTTAATGAATCAAAATTTTGGTCAGGCATCTTCTAAGGTTTTCTTTATATAAATTTTTCGTATTTGTTAGTTCCTCCCCCACCCCACCCAAAGTAGTTGAACCATTCTGCATTTTCACCAGCAGCATATGAAAGTTCCATTTGTTCTACATCTTTGCCACTATTTAATATGGTCAGTCTTTTGAAAATCAGAGCCATTTAAATAAATGTATAGTGATAGCTCACTAATCACTTTTATTTTGTATTTCCCTAATGAAATAATGGTATTGAGCATCTCTATTCATGTACTTATTTGCCCTGTATACATTTTCCTTGGTGTTTGTTCTAAATCTTTCGACCCAGATCCCTTTTATTTCTTTTTCTGGCCCATTTGCATTGGTAATACAATACTGAATAAAAGTGGCAAGAGCAGATATCCTTGTCTTGTTCCTGATCTTAAGGGGAAAGCATTTAGTCTTTCACCATTAAGTAAGATATTCTTTGTAGACTATTAATAAATGCCCTTTAGAGTTTAGGATTTAGAAAGTTCCCTTCTATTTCTAGTTTGGTGAGAGTTTTTATTTAGTAATGGACATTTAATTTTGTGAAATGCAGGTACTTGGAAAGAATGTGTATCTACATATGTTGGACAGTATTCTATGTATGTCAGTTAGGTCAAGTTAGTTCATAGTGTTGTTCAAATCCACTATATATTTGCTGATTTTTTTTCTCTACTTGTTCTTTTATTACACAGAGAGGAGTATTAAAAGTCTGACTATAGATAATTTTGGATTTATCTATTTCTCCTAATAGTTCTATTGGTTTTTGCTTCATGTCAGGATTTGTCTGATTTCTTTATCATTATAAAATTAACTTCCTTAACCCTGTTAATATTATTTGAAGTGTACTTTGATATTAATATAGCCATTTCAGCTTTATTATAGCTAATGTCAGCATGGTACATCATCTTCATACATTTACTTTTAACCTATTTAAAGCATAATTTTTCCAATCATAGCAAGCTCGATAGTAAAGAAACAGAAAAAAGTGTAAGTTTTTGAAGGCAGTATATAATTGGGTTTTGCTTTTTATCCAATGTGCCAATTTCCGCTTTTTAACATTTAAACCATTTACATTTGATTATTGATATAGCTGGGTTTAAATAAAACATTTTGCTATTTTTTCCCATTATTCTAGTGGTTGCATTAGAGTTTATAGTACAAACATCTTTAACTTACCACAGTCTACCTTATCAAGTAAGATAGTACTACTTCATGCATGAGAACCTTGTAATAGTATACTTAAGATTCCTCCCTTCCTGCCTTTGTGCTACTCTTATCATCCATTTTACTTATATGTTATCATCCTCACAATATACGGTTATTGTCTACACAATTATCTTTTACACAGATTTAAATAAGAAAACATCTTATATATCTATCCTTATAATGACAATTTCCAGTGACCTTCATTTCTTTGTATAGATCTGTTATTTCATTTGATATCATTTTCTTTCTGCTTGATGAACCTCCTTTAACATTTCTTGAGGTGTGAGTCTGTGAGTAATGAATTCCTTCAGCTTTTGTAAATCTGAAAATATCTTTATTTCACCTTTGTGTTTGAAAGACATTTTTGCTGGCTGCAGTAGTCCAGGTTGACAGGTTTTTTATTTTTCTTTTAGTACTTTCAAGGTGTTGTTCAATTTTGTGCTTGCTTATATTGTTTCTGACAAGAAATATAATTCTTACATTAGTTATCCTATATATAAAGTGTCTTTTTTCTCTGGCTGCTGTTGAGTTTTCTCTATCAATGGTTTTGTGCAATTTGATTATGATATGCCTCTGAGTAGTTTTCTTCTATTATCTTTGGGATTCCTTGAATTTCTTGATTCTGTGGACCTATAGTTTTATTTATTTATTTACTTATTTATTTTGAGACACAGTCTCGCTCTGTCGCCCAGGCTGCAGTGCAGTGGCATGATCTCAGCTCACTGCAAGCTCCGCCTCCCAGGTTCATAAAATTCTCCTGCCTCAGCCTCCCCAGTAGCTGGGACTACAGGTGCCCTTCACCATGCCCGGCTAATTTTTTTGTATTTTTAGCAGAGATGGGGTTTCACCGTGTTAGCCAGGATGGTCTTAATCTCCTGACTTCACGATCCGCCCACCTCAGCCTCCTAAATTGCTGGGATTACAGGCCTGAGACACCATGCCCAGCTGTTATTTTTAATTTTGGAAAAATTTTAGCCATTATTTCTTCAAATATTTTTTCTATCCCCCATCACTTCTCTCCTCTGGGACTCCAATTACACGTCTATTTGGTCACCTGAAGTTAACCCATAGTTCACAGGTTCTAAATTCCTTTTTCTCTTTGTGTTTCATTTTGAATAGTTTCTATTGTTATGTTTTCAAGTTTACTAATTTCTTCTGGCATTAATCCAATCTAGTGTATTTTTCATTTCCCACATAGTAGCCCAGTGAGTCTTTTTAATATCTTCCATGTCTCTGCTTAATATCTGAATATAACAAATATATTAAAATAATTATTTTAATGTGTTTGTCTGCTATTCTATGATCTGTATAGAGTCTGAGTCAGTTTCAATCAATTATTCTCTAGATTATTGGTTGCATTTTCCTGCCTCTTTGCATGCCTGGTAGTCTTTGATTGAAAGTTAGATCTGGTGAATTTTACCTGATGGGTACTGGATATTCTTGCATTCCTATAAATCTTCTTGGGCTTTGTTCCTCGATGCAGTTAAGTTATTTGTGAAGTAGTTTGATCTTCTTGAGTTTTACCTTTATGATTTGTCAGGCCGGACTGAAGCAATACTCAGGCTAAGGTTAATTATTTTCCAATATGAGCAACACCTTCCTGAGTATCATACCCAGTGCCCAATCAATTATGAGATGTTCTAGTCTAGCTGGTGAGATCAGGAACTATTCTCAGCCCTGTGTGAGTGCCAGGTTCTATTCCTTTGAATCCTTTCAGATAGTTTTTTCCTTTGGCCTTAGGTAGTTTTCTCATATGCATTTATAAAATGGTAGTCTTTTCCTGGACCCTCTGAAGATCACTGTGGTTTTCTTTGTGTGCAGCTTTCTCCTCCTGACACTCTGTCCTAAAAATTCTAGCCACCTTGGTTTCTCTGGACTCACATTTTTTTTTTCTTCCATTTCCTCCAATTAGGGAGTCTGCTGGGCTCAACATGAGTTCCCTTTCCCTGGGCCATGGTCTGGAAACTGTTAAGACAGTAAGCTAGAAAATCATAGAGGTAGCTCAACTCATTTGTTTTCTCTCTCTCAGAGATCACTGTTTGGCTGCTTGATTTTTAGTGACTTAAAAACCATTGTTGGCTAGGCCCGGTGGCTCACACCTGTAATCCCACCACTTTGGGAGGCCAAGGTGGGTGGATCACCTGAAATCAGGAGCTGGAGACCAGCCTGGCCAACATAATGAGACCCTGTCTCTACTAAAAGTACAAAAATTAGCCAGGCATGTTGGTGTGCACCTGTAGTCCCAGCTACTCGGGAGGCTGAGGCAGGAGAATCACCTGAAGCCGGGAGGCAGAAGTTGCAGTGAGCCAAGATCAAGACACCGCACTCCAGCCTGGGTGACAGAGCGAGACTCTGTCTCAAAACAAAACAAAACAAAACAAACCATTATTAACATATGTTGTCTTTTTAAATAAATTGTTTCAGGTGGAAGTATAAATTCAGTCCCTTTTATTTCAAATGAGCAGAAGTCCTGAACTTGTATTTCTACTTAGAAAACAGACAAAATTCTATGGCCGGGCACGGTGGCTCATGCTTGTAATCCCAGCACTTTGGGAGGCCGAGGCGGGCAGATCATGAGGTCAGGAGATCGAGACCATCCTGGCTAACACGGTGAAACCCCGTCTCTATTAAAAATACAAAAAAATTAGCCGGGCATGGTGGCAGGTGCCTGTAGTCCCAGCTACTCGGGAGGCTGAGGCAGGAGAATGGTATGTACCCAGGAGGCGGAGCTTGCATTAAGCCGAGATTGCGCCACTGCACTCCAGTCTGGGCGACAGAGTGAGACACCATCTCAAAAAAAAAAAAAAAAAAAAAGAAAACAGACAAAATTCAAACTCAACCTGAAATGTTGACAGTTTGAGGAAATAACCCTTGAGTACTAAAGGAAAGGATTGTAGGTAACTTCCTGACGTTTAACTTTGTTTAGCACCAAACACTTCTTTGCTTATCAGCCATATCAAACACTGACACAGTCAATACCATCTGTGCATTGTCTGGGTTACTTAATCCTTCTGGGAAACTCTGGATGACCTCTGATGAGCTCCTGAGATGCTTCACAGTGGGACTCAGTGTCAACATTCTTGTAGAAAGATAAGATTGTGACAGGAGTGCTGAGTACAGAGAAAGAAATACTGCTCCATTTTCAACAATGTCTATGGACTATAACTCTCTTTCCTGTCCGAATTAAGAGCTCTAGTAAAAATTAGCAGTTGTTTTCAGTAACACAGAATATCCTCAAGGAGGTAAAGAAGGAGGCAAGGGTGTTACTTGGGATGAAGGTGGAAAGAATGTCTGCTGCCAAAACTCACAGTGACCAAATTTTACTTCTTGAGCTGTGTTCTTCCCATAGAAGTTTATTCTGGGGCCCTCAGGTAAGAAGCCCAAGGGCTTCCACCTCCTGTTTTGATTGTCTAAAAACCATAAAAAAATGACTTATCTTCCACCTACTAAAGATGTTGAAAATCAATTACCTGCTTGAAGCAATGGACAGGCGCTGGGACTGAACATGTTTCTTTTAGGTATTTGTCCCAGGTAAAATGACCTGTAAAGGAAATAGAAATCTATATCACAGTCAACTTCCTAAAAAAAATGTTTTCAGGGTATAATCTACACTAAACAGTAAGCTATTTGTAGACTGGTTTTGAGCATAAAAAATATAATTTTTTTCCTGTTTGAGCTCAAAGGAGTATTAAGGGGAAGAATCTAAGTGACCTGAGCGGATGTTTTAGATTCACGTTTTAAAATAATGGTCTAAAGATGGCTTAGGGTGTTATTTATGTTCATTCCTAAAGTGATCCAAAATGCCAAAGCAAGATATACTAGTACTTCAAAGAAGTGACCAGGAAGCTAATGGAAAACAGAATAGAAGAGGCAGAAAGTGGGTGGGGAGATTCCTTTTGAACAATCTGACTCTTGGAAAGGTCCCTCACCGCTGTCAAGTGGCAGCTTTTAACACCCAATATGGTTGGATTCCAGCATCTCAGCTCAGGAAGAATGAAGAAAAGGCTGTCTAGAGACAAGGGGCGAGATGATTTGAGGGGAGGGGAAGCCAGATGAGTGAGATTATAGTTGAATCCTCACTCTAAAAACTGGCTCTCTCTCACCTACCCCCGCTGCACCCCCATCCTAGCCACCGCTGTGTTGCTCTGGGGTGCAAAGTGACAAAGAACTGTTAATTTAGAGCAAAGTAGGACCTGGGAAGCATGTCTGATGATAGTAAATAAGAACAAGCTGGGGAGTCTGTAGAATCTTTTAGCCTCTTGAACTGGCCTTACAGCCTCTAAAAGTTTGAAGAACACTGTCCTAGATAAACAATCTTCAAGGTGACACTGTGCTGGGGGAAGGGAAAACATCTTAAGGCAGGAACATTTGATACAGACCTCATTGGATCACTAAAGATTATCAAGTTCTTTATTTAAAGGTTAAACCAATTACCAGTCTCCCCCTAATACCCACCTAGAGGTGACCCCATGATGGAGCAGGGAAGGTCCCAGAGAATCTCACAAGCTAAAACACTGTAGCAAACCAGCATTTCTTGAAGTTTCCTCTGTAGTGGAGCAGCACAGAGCCCCTTTGGGCCATGCAAAAAGCACTAGATGCTGGGAATAAAAATGAGTCACTGAATGAAGAAATCTAAATCACTCCAAAGATGATGCCAAGACTTTACACTCTATTTATTTTATAGCTTCTGTTTTATAACTGGTTCCTTTCCCACTACCCTTAACTAAGCCAAATAGATTTGGCCAGAAATCACAGTCAGTTCTGAACTATTTCATGAACTAGCTGATGATTAATCAACATGACTAGACAGTTAGTCCATAGGGCAAATGAGATGACTATTTTCTGAAGTCAAGGTTTAAAGGCGTTATCAGAATTTAATGAAGAGTTTGCTTCTAGTTGACAGGGCCCTAAAGCAAGGACTGAATACATTTCATCATTGTTTGCTGTTAGAAAAATAAAACATTACAATTTATTATTCCATCCTTACAAATGAAAGATTAAATCAAATAGTAAGTTTTGGATTTCCCTGGATTGAGAATCTTCAACTCTGGCATCTAGAGCAGCACTGTCCAATAAAACTTTCTGTGCTGACTAAAATGTTCTGTATCTGTGCTAGCCAATAAGGTAGCCACTAGCCACATAACTATTGGATACTTGAAATGTGGGTACGTAAGAAACTAAATTTTTTAAATTTTAATTAACTTAAATTTAAATCCCCACACATAGCTAATAGTTACTGTATTAGGAAGCACAGATCAAGAGTTTTGGTCAGTCCTGGGTAACTGCTTATATTAGCTTAAGTTCTGACTAAAAGCACCAAAGAGACTTTGGTCTTAAGAATAATGGCAGCATCAGGGGTACCACAACAATTAGGGTATTAATTACAGTTCTCCATTATACATATCAACCATGGTAATCAATCCCTATTCTGTAATGTACACAGGCTAGAAACCTCAGCCCTTTTACCACTTAGGAAACACTCTATCACTAACTGGATGAAAAGGAACCTCTGTTTAAAGTAGTTCACCCACTGTGATGGCTGACTGGCTTGAACCATACCTAGATGGTATTTTCCTTTTATTTGACTTCTTGGGCTACCTAAGGCTTAGTTCCTTATTATCAGGTGAATTGCAAAATAAGATAATTTTTATGACTTAGTAAGAATGTTTGGACACCTATTGTAATGCCCATGATGAAGCCAGACATAATATTCTGCCATATCTCCAAGCACTAAAGTAACCACAAAAGAAATAGGACAGGCACCAAGGTATAGATCCAGAGTTAGCAAGTCTTCTGTTAAGGACAATATAATAAAAATTTTATGCTTTCTAGGCCATACAGTCTATGTCATAGCTACTCAGCTCCACCACTCCAGTGTGAAAGCAGCCACAGACAGTATGTGTGCCTAAATTAGCATGGCTGTTCCACTCAAACTTTATTTACACAAACAGGCAGAGGGCTGGATTTGACCTCCCAATAGTAGTTTGCCAGACCTCTGGTATAAATCATTGACTCTCAAGTGATACTTATAGTCTCATTTCTTTAAACAAAGTTCTGGGCCTCACCTTCAGAAGTTCTTATTCAGTAGGCTCCAAGTGTGGCCTGAGAATATGTATTTTCCAAGGCTCCCTAGGTAATTTGGATTAACATCTGTGACTAAGAACTACTACTGGTGTAGTTTAAATAATGTAATATTGGGAGTCTGAAGATGTTGGTAAAAGTCTTGTTTCTACAGCTAACTATCTTGGGTAAATTACTTAATCCTTCCAAGCCTAAGTTTACTCATGTGAAAGATGAAGACAATATCTGTCTTACAAGATTGTATATAGATTCTTCATTCAATAAATATTTAAACTTCTCCAAGTACAAAGAACTGTGTTAAATGTTAGGGGAACAAGGTAAGACATGATTTCTCAATTCATGGAGCTTTCAGTCTAGAGATAAACAGAGACATTAATAAACATAACACAAATAATCTGTTATGATAATGATAAAGTTTACGAGGTAGTACAGGTTGTCTTGAGATTGCAGAACATGAAAATCTCATTCATCCTTGGGCTCAGAGATTATTACGAAGATTAATATTATTAACTAACATAGGTATAATGTTTTATAATTTAAACATATATAATGTGAGTGTTTTCAATTATTCCAACATTATAATTCAAAATATTCAAACAGTATAATTTGAATGTTTTCAATTATTCATTCAACAGATACTTATTAACTATCCTCTATGTGCCAGGCAATATGACAGGGGTCCCTGCCCTCATTTACATGCTGGTATATGATGAGACACAACTAACACATAAACAATAAATAAACAAGGCAGTAAGTGAAAAGAACTTGAAGGGAATAAAATGAGGTGATGTGATAGAGACTGGGAGCTATCTTAGTAAAGTCATGGACAGATACTCTTCAGAGGAAATGTCTAAGCTAAGACTTTACAGATGAGAAAAAGCCATCTCATTTAGTAAATAATGCTTATAAAAGTGTTTTTATAAACTCTGATGCATACCACGTGATAGTTACATTTATTATTAAAAAAGAAAAAAAGGTACCTGCCCTGAAGAGACTTAAAAATGGCATTAAAGTACCTTGGCCCATAAAATATGGGCATAAGAGGTCACCTAGTTAAATGCATGAATCACCTTCTCTAATATTCATTCATTCAGCAAATATTTACTAAATACCTAGTATATGTTAAGCCTGGTTCTAGGCACTGGTGATATATAGCAAAATACAATACAGCCAAAGTTTGCCCACATGGAGCTTACAACAAACAAACAAACAATGTTTTGCTCCACATGGAGCAAAAACAAACAAACAAACAAACAAACAATATTTTGCTCCACATGGAGCAAAAACAAACAAACAAACAAACAAACAAATACGTCAGCTGGTCCAGAGGGTAACAGAGACACCAGATTAATTATACAATTCCTGGCTATTTTGAAATTTAAAAAAATAAAAGTAAGAGGTAAAGAAGGTGTGCTATTTTAGCCAGGGCAGTCAAAAAAGACATCTTGATAAGGTGATACAAAAGTTGACATTTGGGCCGGGCGCAGTAGTTCACTCCTGTAATCCCAGCACTTTGGGAGGCTGAGGCGGGCAGATCACCTGAGGTCAGGAGTTCAAGACCAGCCTGGCCAACATGATGAAACCTCGTCTCTACTAAAAGAAATACAAAAATTAGCTGGGCGTGGTGGCAGGCACCTATAATCCCAGCTACTTGGGAGGCTAAGGCAGGAGAACTGCTTGAACCCGGGAGGTGGAGGTTGCAATGAGCTAAGATCGCACCACTGCACTCTAGCCTAGGTGACAGAGTAAGACTCCGTCTCAAAAAAAAAAAAAAAAAAAAAAAGCTGAGATTTGAATGGTCCTTCCAGCCTCTGCTGAAATACTTCCAGTCATGGGACACTCATTATTTAGCTATTTAGCTATTACTCAACAGTACAAATGGACAGACCGCTCTTTATAGTCAGCCAACATCTGCCTTCTAACCTCTACTGGTCCTAGATATATCTAATCTCTATGTCCCAAATCCCTCAACTGCTCCTAATTTGACAGGCTGGCTACTCATGTCTGGCTACTGTTCTGGCCACATTCCTTTACAAGAACTCTACTTTGTTCAACCTAAATGTGAACCCAAATTCTTAAAAACAATTAAGCATAATCAACATCTTTAGATCAGAAATTCCACTCCACTATTACCGTATAAATAGTGTTCCATGTACCAAAATTTAAATAACAATATATTTGTTAAACGCCACTGATGGTAATTTAAGTGTCTTTATTTTATTTTTTTTGAGACGGGGTCTTGCTTTGAGTCAGTGTCAGGCTGGAGTACAGTGGTGTGAACACAGCTAATTGCAGCCTTGACCTCCCGGGCTCAAGCGATCCTCTCATCTCAGCCTCCCTAGTAGCTGGGACTACAGGTGTGTGCCACCATTCCTAGCTAATTTTTGTATTTTTTGTAGAGACAGGGCTATGCCAAATTGCCCAGGCTGTTCTCGAACTCCTGAGCTCAAGTGATCTAACTGCCTCGGCCTCCCAAAGTGCTGGGATTACAGGCATGAGACACAGATTTGGGATTTGTCCTAAGGGTGGGATTAGTGGACAAAGAGCATGCATAGTTTAGATTTTGATACAACATATATATTGCTGAAATATCCTCTAGAAAGAACATACTGATTTTTCTTCTTAGAGGCAGGGTTTCCCTATGGTGCCCAGGCTAGTTGCAAACTCCTAGGCTTGTCATCTTCCTGCCTCGGACTCCCAAAGTGCTGGGATTACAAGTATAAGCCAACTTTTTTTTTTTTTTTTTTTTTGAGACAAAGCCTCACTCAGATACCCAGGATGGAGTGTGGTGGCACAATCATATCTCACTGTAACCCCGATCTGGACTCAAGCAACCCTCCCCGCTCAGTCTCCAGAGTAGCCGGGACTACAGGTGTGCACCACTATGCTTGGCTAATTTTTTTCTTTGTAGTAGAGACAAGGTCTCACTATATTGCCCAGACTCAATTTCTATTCCTACCGAAAGTACACAGGTGTGTTTACCACATATTTGCTAAAACTGTGTTTTAACAATTTCCATAATTTTGACAAATCTTATCAGTGAAAAAATAAAATACTATTATAATTTTATTTGCAATTCTTTGATTACTAATAAAGTCAAAGATCTCTTTAGGCTTATCAGCCAGTCTGTATTTTATTTAGCCATTTTTCTGCTGAGATATTCTTTTGTTTTCTCATAGATTCTAGGAGTTCTTTGTAGATTAAGGAAAAGTCACTAGAAGAATTTTTACTTAATAGAAATAAAGCATCTAGAGAAAGTGTTCTTTTCACTATACCACAGGGTCCCTCTGAAAAGACACAGACTTTCAGGCAACAGAAAGAGAGCCTTAGATAAGGCAGAGAAATCAGAGGTGTTTTCGAAGGTCCAGGCAGATATCCTGATATGAGAAAGGTCTGGATTTGGGAGGCTTCACAGATGTAGAATCACAATATTCAAGCTACAAAGGACCTTAGTGTTTCCTAAAACTCATGGCTTTCTTGGTCCCATATCTTTGCCCATGTTACTCACACTCAGTGACTAAAGCTCAGCAAAAATTTTACATTTTCTGTCAGAAGGCTTTGCAGAAAAGGGCTGGACAAATTTTACCATCTCCCTATCTCCTATAACATCCTGTTCACATCATATCACCATAATTATTTATGTAAGCTCTTTATGGATGGGGGCTTATATTCATTTTTAAAATCTTTACTGTTTAACACAGTGCCTGAAATTTAATAGAGGCTCAATATGAGTTTCTGAGTGAATGAAAAGAAGCACACAAGTAATATTCCTATTCTTTCTTGGACTAATAAAATAATACCTGGGATATAGTTCTGAAAACTACACTTTGAGAGAGAGCAAATCTGAGTTTAAATGATTACCTAGTGATGGTAAACAGACCCAAAACCACATCACCTGAGGACCAGGTGAAGGAACATGAACAATTAGCATGAGTAAAAAAGTGAAGTCTCAGAGCCATTCCCCATCCATCCAACAAATATTTATAGTGTGTGTCAAAGCACTGTGCTGAGTGCTGGACATATAACTGTAATCAAAATATCATCCTTAACCTCACAGAGCTTCAGTCTAGTGACAGACAGAGAATCTAGTGAGGGACAGAGACTAAACAGTCACCACTAAGATAATGTGATAAGTGCTACACTGGAGAGACAGAGGGTGCTACAGGAGCACCCAGAGTGCTTGTGGAAACTTACCAAAGAAAGCTCTAGGCTTCTAAGCTAAAGTGTAAAAGGATAAGCAGGAGTCAAAGAAAAAGGAAACTCTTTTTGTTTGTTTCAGACAGAAAGAAAGGCATTATAAAGGCCCAGACATGAGAAAAAGCAGTTCTAAATGCAGATCTTTTGGTATGGCTGCTGGGTGGAGTTTACAGAAAAAGTAGTTTAGAAAAAGGTTACAGATAAAGGCAGTGTTCAGTCATTAGCGAGCCAAATATACTGTATTACTGAGAAGAGGAAGTCTTCAAGCGTTTGGGGTGAAGTCATTCTGGCTGTAGTGTAAAGAATGGGCAGGAGGGTGATAGGGCTGGAGGCAAAAAAGACTAGTTAGGAAGCTGTTTTAATAATCTAGGTGTGAGATTCAACTATGAAAGCGGCAGAGTGGCAATGAGAAGGCAGTCCCTAGAGCTTCTCTCTAAAAATCAGGGCCAGTAAGTGAAAAATAGGCTAACCCTGTTTCATATGGCCAGAAAGTCAGAGGGATGACTAACAGAAATTACAAAAAGAGCAAATTTTTGACCAATAAATATGTCTAAATATGAAATGAATTACGTGAGGAGGTTCTAAGTCCTCAAAAACTTGAGGAGTTCAAGATAAGACATTTTACAAAAAATTCAAAATGTTGAGTTTTAAATGCTGGGCAAGGGTAGATTATTTTATGGTCTTTTCCAACTTTGAGATTCCACAGATCTACTGAATTTTATTTCAGTTTGCTATTTGGAGCTGCTCCTTATGCTAGATGGTAAAAATGAAATATGCAGGATTAACTTACATCAGAGGATATGCCTATGCAACCAATGCTCTAGGAAAAATACACTTTCAAATTTTAACATCTTTTAGTAACTGATATACTCTATGTTAAATTGAGTACCCACATTTCACAACTCCCCATCAACAGTTTACAATATGCCTTAAGCTGTCACTGAGCTACAATTGTTATTATCATTCATATTAGCGACAAAACCAAAAACAACAGCAGCTATCACTGTCTTCCATTTGCCTGTACCATGCCAGACTACGTCCATTATCTCCTGTGTTCATTATAACCTGCAAAGTAGGTTTTACTCCCATTTTAAAGATGAGGAAATAGGCTTAGAAAGATTAAGTAATTTGCCTGAAGTCACAAAACTGGTAAGTGGGAATAGGAATTTGAACCTTGGTTCAAATTGTCTGACTCCTATGTCCATGTTTTTTCTACCACACATCAGTACCTTAAAAAGCTTGAGGAAAGTTTTAAAGAATAATAAAAAATAACTATCATTTATCAAGTGCCAGGCACCTTTACCTGCATTATTTCATTTCATTCATTTCTTCAGCTCACATTCATAGAATGCTTCACTTCAAAGAATGTCAGAAGATTTGACTTTTAGAGTAAAGTCTGAGTATAGCCGCTGAACAGAATGAAAATCATAATAATCCTCCAAAGTTGAAAAGTATTTGAGAGTTTTTAAGATGTTTTCACATCCATTAGCTCATGTAATCTTCTTTACAACCCTGTGAAGTAGGCAGAATGGGATTATTATCCCCATTTTACAAATAAGAAAACTAAGGATCAGAGTCACAAAGTTACTAAGTGGCAGAACTGGCTCTCAAAAAGCCTAGGAGTTCTGACTCCTAGTCTAGTGTTCTACTACTTCATGTTATCTTCTGTGTCACTGGGCAATGGAAAGTAATATGTTGCAGGAAAGAAAGGCAAGAGGAGGCAAATAGACAATGATAATAATAGAGCTAAATAAATATCAAGTTGTAACAAAATATATCAAAATACTTGAACAAAAATTGATACAGGTATCTGGATATCAAAATCTATGTAACATATAAAAGGATTTTAAAGGATTCTAAAATGTTAAGACTGATGTTTATGCAGGAACTCTGATTGAGAAGTATTAGAACTAGTTTTATTACTCAAATCTTAGTCCTGAAATACACTAACCAGGGAGGAAAACCAAATGCAATTATTGGTCTGACTTCTTACTTGATAATATTTTAATATTTCAGTTTTTATTTGTCAATAAAGTTAGAAAATGTTTAGGTTTAGTTTCAGTTCAATTTATCTTACAAGTAATTTTTTTGGGGGAAAAATCCCACCAAACACTGATTTATGGATGGCAGGGGTTTGTTTTAGTTCTGGATTCAGTAAATTAAGATGGTATTTCCAGTTTGGTTCAGTTCCTGTTCTCCCCTATACCCCATGTAATTAACCACCTTCCCTCCCTTCTTGTTAGCTTGGTCTGTGGCCTACTGATAAGCAGGACTTGATGTGACAGCTGAGATGAAGTACATGGGATAATTAGGCAGACAAGAGCACAGGATTCACTGGTTTCTGAGACAGAGACACGTGGAATTCTTTTCCTCGTTGGTTAAAACTGGTTATAATCTAATCCCTGGTTTACCAATTCCCCTTATTTAACAGAAACACAAGAAAAATAGCTTACCTAGATCCAGGATGTCAGCAGCTTCTAGTAAAGAAAAAAATGTTGGAGCATAAGTCATTAAGACAAACATACCAACATGATGGAAGGTGAAATTCTGGGGTAAAATAGGAAATCGAGTATTTGTCTAGTTCAGTTATCTCATCCTAAAAGACACTGAGATTCTTAGTAGTCATTGTGGAAGCACACCACCCAATTTTGCCTATTCCCAAGCCTAAACTTATACAAACTATAGAAAACCCAGAGAGGCTAAGCAACCGTGCCTAAAACTATGAAGCTAATTTGGGATTACCTATACTCAGAATCTAGGTTTCCTATTTCCAGCTAAAACAAAGTATATTGCTTATGACCAATACCTCTGTAAACTGCAATATTTGCTTCTGATATAACAATTGAGTTATTTGTAAACTCAGACCTCTAACAACGAAGGTTTTATGGGAAAAGATGCCGAGTAAAATTTTTCCACACCAAACGGAGTTTTTTCCCCCTTACCTTGATATTGGGATGCAGACTCTGATAGGTGACCATATTTGTGTTTTCTAACATCACTCCAGTCTATCACTGCAGAGGGAGAGAAAAATAGTCATGTGGAAAGAAAGTATAAGATTAAATACTTTTCCAATTTGGCAGTATGTATTAACAGTTTTTAATAAAGTAATCCACTTCCGAGATTCTATGCTAAGGAAAAATACTCCAAAATACAAGAAAAAGGTTTTATGTAAAAAGCCTTGGCATTGTTTACAATAACAAAAAAAGGAACACCTAAATGTTCAAAATAGAAGACTGATTAAGATTTGATAATACAAACACTTGACAAAGTATTTTGAAGCTGTTAAATTTTTAAAAGGCTAAAGAACAAATGGGAAAATGGTTATGTTATGTTATTAGGTAAAATATGGGGATAAAAATTATATTCATGGAATGATCACAATTATTTAAAACACTAAAAACAAACAGCACCCCAGTTATGGGCTCAACTGTATCCTCCAAAACTTCATGCTAAGGTCCCCACTCCGCAGTACCGCAGAATGTAACTGTATTTGTGATGGCAGCGGTGGGCCATCTGGAGCAGCTGCTGTCATCATGCCGGCTGCAGCAGGGAGGCACAGCTGGGAATGCATGCTCCATGGAGCCGGTGGGAGCCTGGGAGCAGGCAGGAGTCCCGCCATCCTGGGTGCAGCTGCAGCCACCCAAACCGAGGCTGCAAACCCAGACCTCCTGCTCCATGGAACAGGCAGGAGCCCTGCCGTGACGGGCACAGCTGCAGCCACCCAAATGTGGCTGCAGACCCAGGTACCCCTGCACTCTTGGGGGTCCAGCCAGGACCCCTCTTCCCTCCCAGGATCAGAAATGCCTGCTCCCCCTGCCTGGCTTCTCCCTGCTGTTGGCACCTGTTCTGATCTTGGAGCAAAGTCAGGGTGGAGTCTGGATGCTATGAATGGCAGCAGGAGGCAGATAGGTTCCTAAGCAGAAAAGGGCGGATCCCTGGTGAGGCCCACCTTCAGGCCAGGGAGAGCCTGAAGGCTGGGGGCTGAACTGCCAGTCCTGCAGACTGGAGTGGGGACTTGTGGTGCCTTTTCCAGGCCTGCCTATGGCCACCCATAGACCAATGGGCACACACTTCCTCCCCTCTGAGGTCCATAAAAGCCCCAGGATCAGCCCCAGAGCAGAGCAGAGGACGAAGATATGACTGAACAATCTGCCTGCAGAAAGAAGCCACCCATTCTAGGGCCTCCTCTTTGCTGAGAGCTGCAGAGATGACGTGACAACCTGCTTGCAGAGAGGAGCCACCCACTCTAGGGCCTCCTCTCTGCCTCTGCAGAGAACTGCAGAAGATGGGATGACCAGCTGCAGAGGAGCCACCCTCTCTGCTGAGAAGTGAGTGAACACTTGTTGGGAAAACCTACCTGCAGAGAGGAGCTATCCTTCCTGCTAGGGGCTGAACACTCACTGGGACGCCCTGGCACTGTGAGTCTTCTCTGAGCTGTTCCATTGCTCAATACAGCACCTCTTCATCTTGCTCACCCTCCACTTGTCTGCGTACCTCATTCTTCCTGGTTGCAGGACAAGAACTCGGGATCTGCTGAACGGCGTGGCTAAAAGAGTTGCTGTAACACCAAAAGGGCTGAAATATGCCCCCTGCTTGCTGCAGTTTGGGCAAAGAGAAGGAGGGAAGAGCTGCAGCCCTTTGGGGAGCCCAGACCTGGGAGCTTCCGGAGTCAGGGCTGTGACTCCCTCTTTCCGGCCCTGTGGTTCCTCCAAGCTTTTGGGGACTACTGCATTCTTTGGTGCCAGCCAGGGAAGCTGCTTGTGGTGTGCCTGGTCCAGCTGCAGCCTCACAGAGAGCTGGCATCCATGCTGCACCTGGAGCTGCCCACTTGCGGCAGGAGCTGGTGTGTCTGACTGCGCAGTAGATGGGCCCCAAGCTCGTTCATACACACTCCTCACCACTCCATGCCTAACTCCAGTCTCTCTTGGAGGCGTGAGATCCAGGCTGATAGCATGAGCAGCCTGCCAGGCCAAGTGAGTGGAACGAGCCCAGTGGGCCCAAGCAAAACTCAGGCAAAGGCACCACTGGCCACAGGTTTCCGGCCAGAAAAGCAACACCCCTAGGATCCCACAATATTTGGAGAAAGGGTCTTCAAAGAGATAATTAAGTTAAAATGAGGTCACTAAGGTGGTCGCTAATTCAGCATGACTGGTGTTATCATAAGAAGAGAAGGTTTGGACACAGGTACAGAGAAAATATCATGTAATCAACAGAGGGAGAAGCCTCAGAAGCTAAGGAGTGAGGCCTCAGAAGAAAGAAATCAACCTTGCCAATCAATGCCTTGATCTTAGACTTCTAGCCTTCAGAATTGTGAGGAAATAAATTTCTGTTGTTTAAGCCACCTAGTCCATGATATTTGTTACAGCAGCCCTGGAAACTTAGACAACTGCGGAAATTATCATTAGAAAAAAACATATAAGTAAACACAGCAAATATAAACAACTGGTTATCTTTGGGTGGTAGTACTGGGTTCCCTGACACTGCACCCACTTTCTACTTTATAATCTTATATATTTTCAAATTTTCCATAAAAAGGATACATTACTCATATAAGGAGAATATATTTTCCTTGGTTGAAAATTTAGATTCATCTACTGACTCTACTACTTTCTCACCATCAATCACCTATCATGTCTTTACTTAATTTCTTGCCCAGCTCAGACTCCATGGTCCCTCATTAACATCATTCTCTGGCAAACACTCTTAATTCCTCCTTCCCATCTCTTTTTTGTCAAACGTACCTACTAAAGGCTCAATCCTAAATCTGGTTAAATCACGTATCAACCTATACTGTGCCTACCCCAGCAGCTCACTAGTGCTGAAGAAAAACATATGCAAGCTAATTGGTCTCATTTTAAACTCATAGCTATAATTCTCAAATGCCACTTTACACCACCCAGAAATCATACCACATTTCTACACTATGTTTACTTTTCCAATTTCTAAAAAAAAAAATTCGTATCTTTCTCTCTCTCCTCAAACTCCAAATATACTCTCCCCAACTTCACTCTTAGGGGATGACTTTAATTCAGATTCATTGAGAAAACAGAAATAAGGGTAAGACCCTTCCACTTATTTCACGACGGTAGAGACTTGATCTTGTTTAGTGGTGAATCCCCAGTAAGTAGTATAGTAACAGGCGCTCATTAAATGTCTGGTGAATAAATTACCTATTCATTCATGATTTTTTCTGACTTCTCTCCTGTTACTGTGGATGAAGTGTCTCTGTTTTTATCAAAAGCCAACCCTCCATTTTAGCTGCAGGTCCCAGAGTCTCTCATCCTCTCAAAAACCTTGCAAGTATCCCCTTTATTTTTTTTGCTTTTATTTGTAATTGGCCAACAATAATTTTACATATTTATGGGGTATAAAGTGATGTTTCAATATACGTACACATTGTGGAATGATCACACCAGAGTATAGCAATTAGTATATCCATTACTTTAAATATTTATAATTTCTTTGTGGTGAGAACATTTAAAGTTCTCTCTTTAGCTATTTCGAAATACATAATACATTATTATTAACTACAGTCAACATGCTCTGCAATAGAACACCAGAACTACTCCTCCTATCTAACTATAAGTTTCTACCTGTTGACCAATGTATCCCTTTTTTCTATACTCACCCCTCCCCTCCCAGCCTCTGGTTATCACCATTCTACTCTCTACTTCTCTATAAGTTAGACTTTGTTTAGATTCTACATGTGAGATTATATGATATTTGTCGTTCTGTAACTGACTTCAACATTACATCCTCTAGGTTCATCCACGTTGTCAAAAATGACAGAATTTCCTCTTTTTTAAGGCAGAATGTATTCCATTGTGTATATATACCACATTTTTAAATCCATTCATATATTGATGGACACTTAAGTTATTCCCATATCTTGGCTACTGTGAATAGTGCTGCAATGAATACGGGCATGCAGATGAAGCTACCCTTCAACATACTGATTTCATTTCCTTTGGGGATATAGCCAGTAGTGGGATTGATGCATCATATGGTAATTCTATTTTCAGTATTTTGAGGAACCTCCATCCTGTTTTTCAAAATGGCTGTACTAATTTGTGATATCCGTAACAGTGTATAAAGGTTCCTTTTTCTTGTAATCCTTGCCAACATTTATCTTTCATCTTTTTGATAAGAGCCAACCTAAAAGGTGTTGGCTATAGGGTATCTCACTGTGGTTTTCATTTGCATTTCTCTGATGATTAGAGATGTTGGACTTTTTTAATATATCTGTGGCCCATTTATATGTTTTCTTTTGAAAAATGTCTATTCAAGTCCTTTGCTTATTTTTAACAGGGCTGTTTTCTTGTTGCTGAGTAGTTTGAGTTCCTAGTATATTTCGGATATTAGTCCCTTCTCCAGTGTATCATTTGCAAATATTTTCTCCCAATCTGTGTGTTGTCTCTTTCCTTCATTGTTTCCTTTTCTATGCAGTAGCTTTTCACTTTAATGCAATTCCATTTGTCTATTTTTGCTTTTATTGCTTATGCTTTTGGGTTCATATCAAAGAAATCTCTGTCCAGACCTCTAGCAGTTTTATAGTTTCAGTTTCATAGTTTCAAGTCTTTATTCCATTTTGAGTTGATTCTCATATGAGGGGTGAAATAAAGATCCACTTTCATTCTTCTATATGTGGATATCCAGTTTTCCCAATACCACCTTTTGAACAGATTGTCCTTTCCTCAATGTGTGTTCCTGTCAAAAAGCAATTGACTGTAGATGCATGGGTTTATTTCTGGGCTCTCTGTCCTATTTCATTGGTAGACTTGTCTGTTTTTATGCCAGCATCATGCTTTTTTGATTGCTATAGCTTTGTAATAAATTTTGCAATACAGTAGTGTGATGTCTCCAGCTTTGCTCTTTTTGGTCAAGATTGTTTGGCTATTTGGGATCCTTTGTGTCTCCCCCACATTAATTTTAGCATTGTTTTTTCTACTTCTGTGAAGAATGACATTAGAATTTTGATGGCAGTTGCATTAGATCTGTAGATTTCTTCTGGTGGTATAAATATTTTCACAATATTAATTCTTTCCATCCATAAACACTGGGTATCTTTCCACTTATTTGTGATGTCCTTAATTTCCTTCATCAGTGTCTTACAGTTCTCAGTGTATAGATCTTTCACTTCCTTGGTTAAATTTTCTTCTAAGTATTTTACTTAGAAGTAAGTGGTATTGTAAATGGGATTGTTTTCTTAATTTCTTTTTCAGAAAGTTCACTGTTAGTGTATAGAAATGCTACTGACTTTTGTAAGTTGATTTTGTATCCTGCAACTTTCCTGGATTTGTCTAATTCAAATGGTGTTTTGGTACAGTCTTTGAGATTTTCAATATGTAAGATCATGTTGTCAGCAAACAGAGACAATTTCATTTCACTCTTTCCTATTTGGATGTCTTTTATTTCTTTTTCTTGCCTAATTGCTCGGGCTAGGACTTCTGGTACTATGTTGAACAGAAGTGGTAAGAGCGGGCATCCTTGTCTTGTTCTAGGTCTTATAGGAAAAGCCTTCAACTTCTTACCACTGAGTACAATGTTAGCTATGAGCTTGTCATATATGGCCTTTATTGTGTTGAGGAACATTCCTTCCATATCTAATATATTGAGAGTTTTCATCATGAAAGGATGTTGAATTTTGTCAAATGCATTTTCTCCATCTATTTAGATGATCATGTGATTTTTGTCCTTTATTCTGTTACATGGTGACTCACATTTATTCATTTCCATCACATCCCAAGGGCAAATCCCACTTAATCATGGTGAATGATCCTTTTAATATACTACGGAATATGGTTTCTTAGTATTTTGTTGAAGATTTTTGCATCCATGTTCATCAGTGAGATTGGTCTGCAGTCTTCTTTTTCTTCTTACCATTCAGATGAAGGGAGATGTAGTCTTCTTCTCTTGTTGTATCTTTGTCTGGCTTTGGTATCAAGGTACTGCTGGCCTCATAAAATAAATTTTGAAGAATTCCCTCCTCTTCAACTTTCTGGAAGAGTTTGAAAAGGACTGGTATTGGTTCTTCTTTAAGTGTCTGGTACAATTTGGCTATGATGCCATTAGGTCCTAGGCTTTATTTTGATTGGAGACTTTTAATTACTGATTGAATCTCATTACTCATAACTGGACTATTCAGATTTCCAACTGCTTTGTGATTCAGTCTTGGTAAGCTACATATTTCTAGCAATGTATTCATTTCTTCTGGTTGTCCAATTTGTTGGCTTATAACTGTTCATAGTAGTCTTTCATGATCCTTTGTATTTCTATGTTGTCAGTTGTAATATCTCCTCTTTCAGTGAGTTTTATACTTTCATGTTTTCACGTTGCTGATTAACGTTCTCTTCCGAATTCCCTTTAGCATTTCTTGTAAGGCTGGTCTAGTGGGGATAAATTCTGTTTTTATTTGAGAAAGTCTTGATCATCCCTTTGTTTTTTGAAAGACAGGATTGCTGGGTATAGTATGCTTTGCTGGCAGTGTTTTGTTTTTTTTTTTTTTTTCCTTTCAGGGTTTTGAATGTATCATCCTACTCTCTTCTGATCTGTAAGGTTTCTGCTGTGAAATCCACTGCTGGCCTTAGGGTGGTTCCCTTACATATGACAATTCACTTTTCCCTTGCTGTTTTCAACTCTCTCTAACTTAGAATTTGATTATAACTTGCTTTGGTGTGGATCTTTTCGGGTTCATCTTATTTGGTGTTCTTTGGGCTTCCTGGATTTGGCTTTCTATCTCCTTCCCCAGGCTTGGGAAGTTTTCTGACATAAGGCTTGGGAAGTTTTCTGACATAATTTCTTTGAATATATTTTATTTCTTCTTTTTCTGACATATCAATAATGCATTTGTTGTCCACTTGATGGTGTCCCACAGGTCTCATAAACTATCTTTAAACTATCCTTTTCATTCTTTTTTCTTTTTGCTCAGATTGGATTTTTTTCAGTGACCTGTCTTTGATTTCATCGATCCTTTCTTCTGCTTCATTGAATCTGCTGTTGAATACCTCCATTGAATTTTTTTAGTTCAGTTACAGTATTTTTCACATCTTTGATGTCTATTTGGTACTATTTTATACTTTCTATCTCTTTGTCAAAGTTCTTAGTTTGTTATTTCATTGTTCTTTTGACTTCAGTGAACATCTTTATAACCATTATCTTAGATTCTCTGTCAGGTAAATCACATATCTCTATTTCACTTGTGGAGATTTGTCTTTTTTTTTTTTTTTTTTTGGGAATAGATTCTCTGTTCTTTGATTTTTGTGTTAGCTTCTATGCATTACATAAGAATATAACCTCTCCCAGACTTGTCAGACTGGCCTCATGTAGGAGAAGGATCTCACCAATCCATCCAGCCAAAAATTTTAAGGTGCTCTCTAATCTCTGTGTTTATTCAGACTGCTGTCTCTTTTTTGATGGTCCCCTCGAGCTTAGGATGTACCACATTCCATCAATACCCCCACAATACCGTAGAGTAGGAGCCAGAATCTCTAGATGTAGCTGGAGATGTTGAGGTGCTGAATGGGTTTTCCATTTCCTTCTATCTTCACAGCTGAGCCTGAGCATTTATGTCCCACTCTCTGTCTGCTCTAAGCTAAGGAGAAGATCTGTGGCAAAAACCTGTACTCAAATTCAGGTTGCACCCTCTGATCCTGAGGAGAAGCTCGTAGAAGTGGTCCTACTGTACGTCCACCTTTTTGTTTGCTGTGGTCTAAGGCTACTCATGAATGCAAAGCTCCACTGACTCCCAAAGCTTGTCCCTTGGGTGGAAGTTATAGAAGTTGTGGCACTTGAGACATGACGAAACTCCTTCCAGGAAGAATGAGTAGCCTTGGATTTATCACTGAGATTAGCTAGAGGGCTACTGTTTGTTTTCCCATCAGCTCCCGAATGTAAGTTCATTAGAAGCCAGGCTGCCAAGTAGCTGCTGGAAGTGTGTGCTATAAGCCCCTTCTGGAGAACAAATGGGACCTACATGTTCCTACTTCCTTTCTGCACTGCTCACTGCTCAGAGGAGGTATAACCTCTGAAGGTATTTGTATACCTATTTAAAGCCACCCCCATTGTTCTGTGATCTAGAAAAACTCATCTATGCCTAGTCCCCTTGGCTCCCAGAGCTAAGATGTTTAGGATATAATCCTTTGGGAGACAGCTGTAAAAGTTGGGACACTCGTTGTGTGGACATACGCCTATCAGGGTGGTGTCAGGTTAATATTTGTCTACCCCTTTAATTCCTCAATGCAAGTTAGTTGGAAGCCAGGCTGGCAAGTAGTCACCAGAAGAGTATGTCATAAATCCCTTCTGGGGAAAAACAGGGGGCTACATTTTAAGCCCCTTCTCTGCACTTCTCCTGGGGAATAAAGTCCAGCGATGTGCTTCTGCACCCGTATAAATCTGCTGCTTTTTTCCTGCAGAGGTCTAGAGATCTGCATAGGCCAATCCCTTCTTCTCCCAGAGCTGAGAGTTTTAGGATGTAGACCCTCGGTGGAAGCTGTGAAAGCTGAGGGACTCAATGTGTGGACAAACTCTTCCCAGGCTGGTGGCAGGTTAATATTTGACTGCCCCTAAACTCCCCCAATGTAAGTTAGTTAGAAGCCAAACAAACAAGAAGCTGCTGGAATAGTGTGTCATAAACTCCTTCTGGGGGCAAACAGGGAGCTTCATTTCTTAAGTCCCTTCTATGTATTGCTCCTGGGGGATGAAAGCTCTGAAGTGCTTAAATGCCCATATCTAACTGCGGCTTTTTTCCTGTGGTCTAGAAAGACTTGCGTATGTCTAATCCCCTCTGCTCCCAGAGTTGGTGAATTAAGAGCCAGACCATGAAGAATCTTAAGTTAGGATGCTATATGTGGGGTTAAAACCCTCCTCTCCATGGGGAGAAGTTGGATGCTGGGGCTTCCCTTCCCAATTTTATGGCACAATGCCCAGGGTGGGGTCTGGCCCTAGCGTGCTTCAGTTTTTCCTACCCATTCGATGAGGATGTTTCCTCAGTTGCCCCATGGGTAGGAATCTTTCAACTAGTCTCTGACTTTCTCTGAGAGAGAACTGATCCATGAATAGATATTTATTTGGTGCATTCATGGGTGGAGGGAGAGTCAGGAGTTTCCTATTCTGCCACATTGCTGACCCTACTATCAAGTACCTCCTTTCTAATAGGTCATTTGCCACCAGCATTCTTATTGCTCTATTATTTCCTATCAATGAAAACCTAAAATAAACAAAACCTCATATCCTTCTCTTAATCCCACACATATCCCTCCTATTATATCCCTCTATTTCTTTGCTCTCCTTCACAGGAAAATTTAAGAGTTATCTGCAGTTATTGCCTCCTCACTACTTCACAGTTATTGCTACCTCACAGTTATTGCCTCCTCACTACCCCATACTATCTCCTCATTCAAATAGGGTGTGTCTGCTCACCACACCATTAAGATTACTTCCAAATTCACATTTCCAGAACTGGATTCTTAGAATCCCACACACATTCACATAAACAACTACCTATAGGCCATCACTACATGGTTATCAATCAGATATTAAAAACTTAACATGACTAAAACAGAAGGCCATCCTCTGTCATCTTGTTACTTTTTGTCTTCCCCAACCCAGTAAATGGCACCTCCATCACTTATTTGCATAGAAATTATGCATAAGTTCAGCAGCATAGACTTCCACTTACCAAGGCCAATCTGGCGATGGCCACTGCTGAGTGCCCAATCTGCCAGTAGCAGAGATCAACATTGAGCCCCTGATATGGCACTATTTCCCAGGGTGATCAGCCAGCTACCCAGTGGCTGGTTGATTACAATGGACTGCTTCCTTCATGGAAGGGACAGCATTTTGTCCAGCTGGAATAGACATTTACTCTGGATATTGATTTGCCTTCCCTGCATGCAATTCTACTGTCAAAACTACCAACTGCAGACTCACAAAATCCCTTATCCACCATTACAGACAGCACTGCTTCTGACCAAGAAGCCACACAAAGAAGTGTGGCAATAAGCTTATGCTCATGGAATTAATGATCTTAACATGCATCATCCTGAAGCAGCTGGCTTGACAGAACTATGGAATGGCCTTGTGGTAAAACCCTGTCTACATTAAAAATTAAAAAAAAAAAAGATGCAGTTACAGTGCCAGCTAGGTGACAGTACTTTTACTGTCATCCAACAGCTGTATAATATACATTATTTTCATAAGCACATGAAGCATTCTCCAAATTAGACCATAAGTAAATCTCACCAAATTTAAGAGAACTGAAATCATATCAAGTATCATTTCAGACCACAATGGAATAAAAATAGAAACCAATAACAAGAGGAACTTTCAAAATTGTAGAAAAAGAAACAAATTAAACATGTTTCTGAATAACCAATGGGTCAATGAAGAAATTAAGGAGAAAATTTTAAAGTTTCTTGAAACAAATGAAAATAGAAACGTAACATACCCAAACCTATGGGATACAGCAAAAGCAATATTAAGAGGAAAGATGGCTGGGCGCGGTGGCTCACGCCTGTAATCCCAGCACTTTGGGAGGGTGAGACAGAAGTATCACTTGAGCCCAGGACTTCAAGACCAACCTGGGCAACATGGCAAGACCCCATCTCTACAAAAAATACAAAAAGTTAGCCAGGATGGAGGCACATGCCTGTGGTCCCAACTACTTGGAGGCTGAGGTGGGAGGATCTTTTGAGAGGTTAAGGCTGCAGTGAGCCATGTTCATACTACTGCACTCCAGCCTGGGCGACAGAGCGAGACTCCATCTCAAAAAAAAAAAAAAAAACGCTGTACCAAAAAATTCTTAGAACTGATAAACAAATTCAGGAAAGCTGCAGGACATAAAATCAACATATAAAAATCAGTAGCACTGAACCAACAATGAACTAGTAAAAAAGAAATCAAGAAAGTAATCTCATTTACAATAGCTATAAAAAAAAACCTACAAATAAATTTATCCAAGGAGGTGAAAGATCTCTACAAGGGAAATTACAGAACATTGATGAAAGAAATGGAAAAGGACACAAAAAAATAGAAATATATCTCATGTTCATGGATTGGAAGGCTTAATATTGTTAAAATGACCATACTACCAAAAGTCATCTATAGATTCAATGCAATCCCTATCAAAATACCAATGACATTCTTCACAAAAATAGAAAAAAAAACCCTAAAATTTGTACGGAACCATTAAAGTCTCT
Organism: Homo sapiens; assembly: GCF_000001405.40. NCBI lineage: Eukaryota > Metazoa > Chordata > Mammalia > Primates > Hominidae > Homo > Homo sapiens. The sequence continues at coordinate 41,172,617 of NC_000001.11, forward strand.
GAATAGCCAAAGCAAACCTGAGCAAAAAAGAACAAAGCTGGAGGCATCACATTACTGGATTTCAAAATATATTACAAAGATAAGGTAAACAAAACACCACAGTACTGGCATAAGAACACACATATATACCAATGGAACCCAGAATAGAGAACCCACAAATAAATCCATGTATTTACAGCCAACTGATTTTTGAGAAAGGCATCAAGAGCATTCACTGGGGAAGGGACAGTCTCCTCAATAAATAGTGCTGGGAAAACTGGATATCCATATGCAGAAAAATAAAACTAGATCCCTACCTCTCATCATGTACAAAAATCAACTAAAAACAGATCAAGACTTAAATGAAGGCCTGAAACTATAAAACTACTAGAAAAAAAATGTAGGAGAAATGCTTCAAGACATTGATCTGCACAAAGATTTTATGGAGAAGACTTCAAAAGCATAGGCAACAAAAGCAAAATTACACAATTAGACATCACGAGATTATATCAAACTAAAAAGCTTCTGCACAGCAAAGGAAACAATCAACAGAGGGAAAAGAGTACAGAATGGGAGAAATATATGTAAGCTATTAATCCAATAAGGGATTAATATCCAGAACATGCAGGGAGCTCAAACAACAGCAAAAAACAAAAAACTCCCCCCCAAAACACAAAACAACAAATAATCTGATTTAAACATAAACAAAATGAGCTGAATAAGTATCTCTCAAAAGAAGACATAGAAATGGCTAACAGGTATATGAAAAATGCTCAACATCACTAATCATCAGGGAAATGCAAATCAAAACCACAATGAAATATCATCTTACCCTAGTTACAGTGGCTACTAGTAAAAAGACAAAAATAAATGCTGACAAAAATGTGGAGAAAGGAGAACTCTTATTCACTGTTGGTGGTATTGTAAATTAGTACAGCTATTATGGAAAACAGGATGAAGGTTCCTCAAAAATCTGAAAAGAATACTACCATATGATCCAGCAATTCCAATACTGGGTATATATCCATAGGAAAGGAAATCAGTATGTCGAAGAGTTATCTGCACTCCCATGTTCATTGCAGCACTATTCATAATAGTCAAGATATGGGATCAACCAAAGTGTCCATCATTAGATAAATAGATAAAGAAAATATGGTATATATAAACAATGGGATACTATTTAGCTATAAAAAGAATGAAATTTTGTAATTTGTGGCAACATGGATTAGCTTGTAGAACATCAGGTTAATGAAATAAGCCAGGCACAGAAAGAAATACCACATGTTTTTGGTCATATGTGGAAGCTAAAAAAGTTGACCTCATAGTAGACAGAATAGTGGTTACTAAAGGGAAGGAAGGGGAGGTAGGGGGGCAAATATAAAAGTACAGCTAAATAAAAGAAATAAGTTATAGTGTTCTATAGCACTATAGAGTGACTATAATTAATGAGAACTTATTATGTATTTTCAAATAGCAAGAAGAGCATATTTCTGAATGCTCCCAACATAAATAAATGATAAATGTTTGAAGGGATTGATATACTAATTACCAATTTGATCATTACATATTGTGTACATGTATTGAAATATCACACTGTACCCAATAAATATGTACAATTATGTTTCAATTAAAAAATAATAACAGACAAAACCAAAAAAGTCTCCAATTTTTTTTTTTTTTTTTTTAAAGACTGCCACCCAGCTACTCTGGGCTCCTTGTGCCTCTGAGTCAACAGGTAAAGAGGGAGTTGTGGTGTTGTTGGCTGAGGTGATTCATCTGGACTATCAAGGAGAAACTGAACTACTACTCCACAATGGAAGAATTGAAGAGTATGTCTACAGTACAGGAGATACCTTAGGGTGTTTCTCAGTATTACTCCACGTTGTGATTAGGGCCAATGGATAACTACAAAAATGCAATCCAGGCAGAACTACAAATGGGCCAAACCTTTGGGTCACCCTGCTGGGTAAAGAATCATGAGGTTCTTGCAGAAGGCAAACAAGAAAAAAAAATTGAATAGATAAGTTATAAATACCAGCAATAACCATGTGACCAGTTACAGAAACAAGAACTGTAATTGTTCTAAGTATTTTCTCCTTATTTCATTATGAATGTTTGTGTGTATATACACACATATTAAGCAAATATCTTTGCTTTCTTTCCTGTCTTATTTTCTTATCATGTAACAAAAGTTGTATTGACTTTATATCAATATTTAAGTATTGTTAATTTTACATCATAATATTTAAGTTACAGGCTATCAGGAGAAGAGTAAACATCACTGAAGAACTTCACTCCCCTGGGGAAGGGGCTAGTGTGTTTTTTGTTGTATGCAGGATAGCTGTTTATGTTAGGTAGAATAATGACCTTGTTACTGTCTTCATTTGGAGATCAAGTATGGCTTAAGGAAATACATACGGATGCCGAGTTGAAAACGAGTACTTGTGATGGTTAACTTTATGTGTCAACTTAACTGGGCTAAGGGACGCCCAAATAGCTGGTAAACATTATTTCTGAGTGTATCTGTGGTGGTATTTATTGAAGAGATTAACATTTGAATCAGTAGACTGAGTAAAGATTGCCCTCACCAATGTGTGTGGGCATTATCCAATCCACTGAGGGTCCAAATAGCACAAAAAGGTGAAGGAAGAGTGAATTATCTCGTTTCTTGAGCTAGGACATCCATCTTCTCCTGCCCTTGGACACTGGAGCTCCTAGTTCTTGAGCCTCCAGTACCCTCTGCCTTCCCCACTGGTTTTCAGGTCTTTGGCATTGAAGGAGGAGTTACACCATCAGCTCCCTGATTCTCAGGTCTTTGGACTTAGACTAAATTATGGCACCAGCTTACAGATAGTATATCATGGGATTTCTCAGCCTCTATAATCCTGTGAGCCAATTTCCACAATAAATCTCTCTCTTTACCTACCTACACAGCTCCCATTGTTTCTGTTTTGGGGGAGAACCCTAATACTAGGTCAGAGTGAGTATTTTAAAACATAAAACAGATAAGGTCATTTCTCTCCTGAAGGACCTCCAATAGCTTCATACTCAATTAAGGGTGCTTTACAAAGCCATATGGGATTGGACTCATGCCACCTCTCTATCTTATGTGTTATGACTTCTCCCTTTTCTATTACATTGCAGCAACATTGGCCAGTGTCCCACTCCAAGTGTTTGCCTTCTCTCCTGGTTTTTACATCCCCTGTCTTTCTAGTAGCCTGCTATGCTTGTTTTCCTCTGAATCATCAGTAAAGATTAAAAACTAGATTAGGCTTTAAAATTACTGACAAATATATTAGGGGATCATGATTAATTTTATGTTTAAAAATTTTCATAATTAGAAAACATATATTCTTAAAAATTAAATATACAATATATATTCCATTTATATACTAGTTTTTAGTATTCTATTGCTTAAGTAAAGGTGAGCTACCAGTATACACAAAATTGGTTCAAGGAAGCCACAACAAATAGAAACCAGGCTGAAAGATCAACAGTAAAACAATATTCAAAAGCAACCAATGCAATTTAGAAAAATTAGTCTAGCCTGGGCAACAGAGCAAGACTTGTCTCAAAAAAAAAACCAAAAAAAACAAAAAAAAAACAAAAAAAAAAAAGGAAAGAAAGAGGAGAAAAGAGGAAGTATTCCAGTAAAGAAAACAAAATCCGGGGGGTGGCACCAAGATGGCCGAATAGGAACAGCTCCAGTCTACAGCTCCCAGCATGAGCGACACAGAAGACCGGTGATTTCTGCATTTCCAACTGAGGTACCGGGTTCATCTCACAGGGGAGTGTCGGACAGTGGGTGCAAGACAGTGGGTGCAGCGCACTGAGCATGAGCCGAAGCAGGGCGAGGCATCGCCTCACCTGGGAAGTGCAAGGGGTCAGGGAATTCCCTTTCCTAGTCAAAGAAAGGGGTGACAGACGGCACCTGGAAAATCGGGTCACTCCCATCCTAATACTGCGCTTTTCCAATGGTCTTAGCAAACGGCACACCAGGAGATTATATCCCGCGCCTGGCTCGGAGGGTCCTATGCCCACGGAGCCTCGCTCATTGCTAGCACAGCAGTCTGAGATCAAACTGCAAGGTGGCAGCGAGGCTGGGGGAGGGGCGCCCGCCATTGCTGAGGCTTGAGTAAGTAAAAAAAGTGGCCAGGAAGCTCGAACTGGGTGGAGCCTACCGCAGCTCAAGGAGGCCTGCCTGCCTCTGTAGACTCCACCTCTCAGGGCAGGGCATAGCCAAACAAAAGGCAGCAGAATCCTCTGCAGACTTAAATGTCCGTCTGACAGCTTTGAAGAGAGTAGTGGTTCTCCCAGCTCACAGATGGAAATCTGAGAATGGACAGACTGCCTCCTCAAGTGGGTCCCTGACCCCCAAGTAGCCTAACTGGGAGGCACCCCCCAGTAGGGGCAGACTGACACCTCACACGGCCCTCTGAGACAAAACTTCCAGAGGAACGATCAGGCAGCAACATTTGCTGTTCACCAATATCCGCTGTTCTGCAGCCTCCGCTGCTGATACCCAGGCAAACAGGGTCTGGAGTGGACCTCCAGCAAACTCCGATAGACCTGCAGCTGAGGGTCCTGACTGTTAGAAGGAAAACTAACAAACAGAAAGGACATCCACACCAAAACCCCATCTGTACGTCACCATCATCAAAGACTAAAGGTAGATAAAACCACAAAGATGGGGAAAAAACAGAGCAGAAAAACTGGAAACTCTAAAAATCAGAGCGCCTCTCCTCCTCCAAAGGAACACAGCTCCCCACCAGCAATGGAACAAAGCTGGACAGAGAATGACTTTGATGAGTTGAGAGAAGAAGGCTTCAGACGATCAAACGACTCCGAGCTAAAGGAGGAAGTTCGAACCCATGGCAAAGAAGCTAAAAACCTTGAAAAAAATTAGATGAATGGCTAACTAGAATTACCAATGCAGAGAAGTCCTTAAAGGACCTGATGGAGCTGAAAACCATGGCATGAGAACTACGTGACGAATGCACAAGCCTCAGTAGCCGATTTGATCAACTGGAAGAAAGGGTACCAGTGATGGAAGATCAAATGAATGAAATGAAGTGAGAAGAGAAGTTTAGAGAAAAAAGAATAAAAAGAAACGAACACAGCCTCCAAGAAATATGGGACTATGTGAAAAGACCAAATCTACGTCTGATTGGTGTACCTAAAAGTGATGGGGAGAATGGAACCAAGTTGGAAAACACTCTTCAGGATATTATCCAGGAGAACTTCCCCAATTAGCAAGGCAGGCCAACATTCAAATTCAGGAAATACAGAGAATGCCACAAACATACTCCTCGAGAAGAGCAACTCCAAGACACATAATTGTCAGATTCACCAAAGTTGAAATGAAGGAAAAATTGTTAATGGCAGCCAGAGAGAAAGGTTGGGTTACCCACAAAGGGAAGCCCATCAGACTAACAGCTGTTCTCTCGGCAGAAACTCCACAAGCCAGAAGAGAGCAGGGACCAATATTCAACATTCTTAAAGAAAAGAATTTTCAACGCAGAATTTCATATCCAGCCAAACTAAGCTTCATAAGTGAAGGAGAAATAAAATCCTTTACAGACAAGCAAATGCTGAGAGATTTTGTCACCACCAGGACTGCCCTAAAAGAGCTCCTGAAGGAAGCACTAAACACGGAAAGGAACAACTGGTACCAGCCACTGCAAAAACATGCCAAACTGTAAAGACCATCGAGGCTAGGAAGAAACTGCATCAACTAACGAGCAAAATAACCAGCTAACATCATAATGACAGGATCAAATTCACACATAACAATATTAACCTTAAATGTAAATGGGCTAAATGCTCCAAGTAAAAGACACAGACTGGCAAATTGGATAGTCAAGACCCATCAGTGTGCTGTATTCAGGAGACCCATCTCACATGCAGAGACACACATAGGCTCAAAATAAAGGGATGGAGGAAGATCTACTGAGCAAATGAAAAACAAAAAAAGGCAGTGGTTGCAATCCTAGTCTCTGATAAAACAGACTTTAAACCAACAAAGATCAAAAGAGACAAAGAAGGCCATTACATAATAGTAAAGGGTTCAATTCAACAAGAAGAGCTAACTATCCTAAACATATATGCACCCAATACAGGAGCACCCAGATTCATAAAGCAAGTCCTTAGAGACCTACAAAGAGACTTAGACTCCCACACAATAATAATGGGAGACTTTAACACCCCACTGTCAACATTAGACAGATCAACAAGACAGAAAGTTAACAAGGATATCCAGGAATTGAGCTCAGCTCTGCACCAAGCAGACCTAACAGACATCTGCAGAACTCCCCACCCCAAATCAACAGAATATACGTTCTTCTCAGCACCACACCACACTTATTCCAAAATTGACCACATAGTTAGAAGTAAAGCACTCCTCAGCAAATGTAAAAGATCAGAAATTATAACAAACTGTCTCTCAGACCACAGTGCAATCAAACAAGAACTCAGGATTAAGAAACTCACTCAAAACCGCTCAACTACATGGAAACTGAACAACCTGCTCCTGAATGACTACTGGGTACATAACGAAATGAAGGCAGAAATAAAGATGTTCTTTGAAACCAACGAGAACAAAGACACAACATACCAGAATCTCTGGGACACATTCAAAGCAGTGTGTAGAGGGAAATTTACAGCACTAAATGCTCACAAGAGAAAGCAGGAAAGATCCAAAATTAAAAGAACTAGAGAAAGCAAGAGCAAACACATTCAAAAGTTAGCAGAAGGCAAGAAATAACTAACATCAGAGCAGAACTGAAGGAAATAGAGACACAAAAAACCCTTCCAAAAAATCAATGAATCCAGGAGCTGGTTTTTTGAAAAGATCAACAAAATTGACAGACCGCTAGCAAGACTAATAAGAAAAGAGAGAAGAATCAAATAGATGCAATAAAAAATGATAAAGGGGATATCACCACCAATCCTGCAGAAACACAAACTACCATCAGAGAATACTATAAACACCTCTACGCAAATAAACTAGGATATCTAGAAGAAATGGATAAATTCCTCGACACATACACCCTCCCAAGACTAAACCAGGAAGAAGTTGAATCTCTGAATAGACCAATAACAGGCTCTGAAATTGAGGCGATAATTAATAGCTTACCAACGAAAAAAAGTCCTGGACCAGATGGATTCACAGCCGAATTCTACCAGATGTACAAGGAGGACCTGGTACCATTCCTTCTGAAACTATTCCAATCAACAGAAAAAGAAGGAATCCTCCCTAACTCATTTTATGAGGCCAGCATCATCCTGATACCAAAGTCTGGCAGAGACACAACAAAAAAAGAGAATTTTAGACCAATATCCTTGATGAACATTGATGCAAAAATCCTCAATAAAACACTGGCAAACCGAATCCAGCAGCACATCAAAAAGCTTATCCACCATGATCAAGTGGGCTTCATCCCTGGGATGCAAGGCTGGTTCAACATATGCAAATCAATAAATGTAATCCAGCATATAAACAGAACCAACGACAAAAACCATATGATTATCTCAATAGATGCAGAAAAGGCCTTTGACAAAATTCAACAACACTTCATGCTAAAAACTCTCAATAAATTAGGTATTGATGGGACATATCTCAAAATAGTAAGAGCTATCTATGACAAACCCACAGCCAATATCATACTGAATGGGCCAACACTGGAAGCATTCCCTTTGAAAACTGGCACAAGACAGGGATGCCCTCTCTTACCACTCCTATTCAACATAGTGTTGGAAGTTCTGGCCAGGGCAATCAGACAGGAGAAGGAAATAAAGGGTATTCAATTAGGAAAAGAGGAAGTCAAATTGTCCCTGTTTGCAGAGGACATGATTGTATATCTAGAAAACCCCATCGTTAAGCTGATAGGCAACTTCAGCAAAGTCTCAGGATAGAAAATCGATGTGCAAAAATCAAAAGCATTCTTATACACCAATAACAGACAAACAGAGAGCCAAATCATGAGTGAACTCCCATTCACAATTGCTTCAAAGAGAATAAAATACCTAGGAATCCAACTTACAAGGGACGTGAAGGAGCTCTTTAAGGAGAACTACAAACCACTGCTCAAGGAAATAAAAGAGGACACAAACAAATGGAAGAACATTCCATGCTCATGGGTAGGAAGAATCAATATCATGAAAATGGCCATACTGCCCAAGGTAATTTATAGATTCAATGCCATCCCCAACAAGCTACCAATGACTTTCTCCACAGAATTGGAAAAAACTACTTTAAAGTTCACATGGAACCAAAAAAGAGCCCACATTGCCAAGTCAATCCTAAGCCAAAAGAACAAAGCTAGAGGCATCACGCTACCTGACTTCAAACTATACTACAAGGCTACAGTAACCAAAACAGCATGGTAGTGATACCAAAACAGAGGTATAGACCAATGGAACAGAATAGAGCCCTCAGAAATAACGCCGCATATCTACAACCATCTGATCTTTGGCAAATCTGACAAAAATAAGAAATGGGGAAACGATTCCCTATTTAATAAATGGTGCTGGGAAAACTGGCTAGCCATATGTAGAAAGCTGAAACTGGATCCCTTCCTTACACCTTATACAAAAATTAATTCAAGATGGATTAAAGACTTAAATGTTAGACCTAAACCCATAAAAACCCTAGAAGAAAACCTAGGCAATACCATTCGGGACACAGGCATGGGCTAGGACTTCATGTCTAAAACACCAAAAGCAATGGCAACAAAAGCCAAAATTGACAAATGGGATCTAATTAAACTAAAGAGCTTCTGCACAGCAAAAGAAACTACCATCAGAGTGAACAGGCAACCTACAGAATGGGAGAAAATTTTTGCAATCTACTCATCTCACAAAGGGTTAGTATCCAGAATCAACAATGAACTCAAACAAATTTACAAGAAAAAAACACACAACCCCATCAAAAAGTGGGCCAAGGATATGAACAGACACTTCTCAAAAGAAGACATTTATGCAGCCAACAGACACATGAAGAAATGCTCATCATCACTGGCCATCAGAAAAATGCAAATCAAAACCACAATGAGATACCATCTCACACCAGTTAGAATAGCAATCATTAAAAAGTCAGGAAACAACAGGTGCTGGAGCGGATGTGGAGAAATAGGAACACTTTTACACTGTTGGTGGGACTGTAAACTAGTTCAACCCTTGTGGAAGTCAGTGTGGCGATTCCTCAGGGATCTAGAACTAGAAATACCATTTGACCCAGCAATCCCATTACTGGGCATATACCCAAAGGATTATAAATCATGCTGCTATAAAGACACATGCACACGTATGTTTATTGCGGCACTATTCACAATAGCAAAGACTTGGAACCAACCCAAATGTCCATCAATGATAGACTGGATTAAGAAAATGTGGCACATATACACCATGGAATACTATGCAGTCATAAAAAATGATGAGTTCATGTCCTTTGTAGGGACATGGATGAAGCTGGAAACCATCATCCTCAACAAACTATCGCAAGGACAAAAAACCAAACACCGCATGTTCTCACTCATAGGTGGGAATTGAACAATGAGAACACATGGACACAGGAAGGGGAACATCACACACCGGGGCCTGTTGTGGGATGCGGGGAGAGGGGAGGGATAGCATTAGGAGATATACCTAATGTTGAATGACGAGTTAATGGGTGCAGCACACCAACATGGCACATGTATACATATGTAACTAACCTGCACGTTGTGCACATACACCCTAAAACTTAAAGTATAATAATAAAAAAGAAAACAAAATCCATACTCAATTATGCAGCAAAATGAACAAAATAACAGTTAAGGGCAGAAAGGCATCAAATAGTTCAAAAAGTTCGGTGGCCCATGCCTGTTATCCCAGTACTTTGGGAGGCCAAGGCAGGAAGATTCATTGAGCCCAGGAGTTCGAGAACAGTCTCAGCAACACAGTGAGACCTCGTCTCTACAAAAAAATTAAAAAATTAGCTAGGTGTGGAACCTGTGATTTCAGCTACTCAAGGGGCTGCGATGGGAGGATTGCTTGAGCCCAGGAAGTCCAAGCTGCAGTGAGCCAGGATTACGTCATTGCACTCCAGCCTGGGGAACAGAGCAAGACTCTGTCTTAAAAACAAAAAAAGACAAAAACAAAAAAAACAATGAAAAAGGAACTTCTAGGAAGAAATAGACTCTTGGTACAAACTACTGAAACATGGAAAGCAGCACTAAAGAAAAAGAAACAAATGCATTACAAAATGTGTAATTTTTAAGTACTGCCATAAACTACTCAGTGAATCAGGTAACTGTCCCTGAATCAGGCAACTGTCCCAAAATAAAGAGAATACAGCATCTGATAGAATTCTACACATTAAAAAAGGAGCTAGTCACCTATCATTTTTTCAAAGTGTTCTAAGAATAATGGCCATGTTTCAGAGTATATTATAATACATAGGTACTATTTAATAATCAGTTTATATCTTTCTTCTCTGGCAGTCCCTATTCCAGTTAACATAACAAATCAGAAACCTGTAATCCCTCTTGTCCTCCAAATCCAACTGGTTATCCAATTCCGTCAGTTGTATCTCTAAAATAACCATCTCTCTTTAATCTCCCCTGCCCCATTCAGAGTTTAGGATTTCATTATCTCTCACGTTGACCAATAAAAACAGTTATTTAATTCCTTTGTTCTCACTGCCTTCCAATCATACATCAGCATTATTTTTCTAAAATACAAATAAGATAAAACATGTCACTACCCCATTTAAAACTCTTCAAGGATCAATCCCTAAACTGTATCCAAACATATACTCTTTCCAAGCTCATACAACTGTAAACTGCATCCAAACTCATACTCTTTCATACCTCTGGACCTTCCCCTTTTCTCTATTTGGGAAATTCCTATTTATTCCTCACAGTCCAGGACAAATATTATTTTGTAACAGCTTTCTGGTGACAGCCCTAAGCAAAGTAGTAGTGCCACCTCCTACATTTATGCCTGTCAGTGTCAGAGCTAAATAATCTTAAGCCAATCAGTATTCCTAGAGTTTGGCACACAGCAAGCAGTCAAAAGAAAAAAAAAAGTTGTCTTTTTACTAAATGCAGAAAGTTATGCAATGAGAGAAAAATTACCCATATTAAAAAGTCAGTATTTCAATGCACATTCATCAAAACAACTGTGACATAGAGAATGATACCTAGAAGTCACATGGTAAGATATCAATTATTCATATTAATAAACAATAACTGAAAACAGATCATTTAAAACTGCAGATAATATGTCATTTATATTTAGTTTTAGAATGTATTATTTTTTCTACTACAGATTTACCAGTTCAGTCATGCTTTACCTAAGCTAACATTAAAAATGAACTTACCATTTTTAATGGGTACAGTTTCAGTTCTGCAAGATGAAAAAAGTTCTAGAGATTGATGGTGGTGATGGGTGCACAACAATGTGAATGTCTTTAGTGTCACTGAACTGTACACTAAAATATTATTAAAATGGTAAATTCTGTGTTATGTATACTTCTTGAAATTAATTAATTTTAAAAAATAAACTTGCATTCCTGGGATGTCAGGGTCAGGGGAGGCTCAGAGGTTGCTGCACTGATTCCATTTCAGATTCAACTAATACTTACCATTACTATATATACCAGGCCGAGTGCCAGGCATTTTCATATATTCCATCTCAGGTATTATTAATAACTTTTTACAAATGAAGAATGTAGGGCTCAATAAGTTAAACTATGCCATACAGGCAAAGAACTGATCAGGAAACAGCAATGAAAGATATGTAATAGTCCACAAAGGGAGTAAATCTGACAATTAAAAAACTGAATTGAAATAATGCTCTAAATCCTGCTTATGTTTAGATTCATTCATTCAACAAATATTTATTACCACTGTTTGTCAGTCATTATTCTAGGCACTGGAGATATATCACTAAACAAATCAGATAAAAGACCCCTGTTCTAGCTTACATGCTACTGGAATGCTCAGCAGGGATTTCACAAAATGTAGTCTTTTGATTGGAGGCATTCGACAAAGCATTCACTACAGGGAAGCAGATGTCAGAGAGAGACTTTCTGGCAATGAGAATTGTCCTGTGGAGGATTGGTTATACACTAAAATGTACAAGCAGAAAGGCTGAATGACCACTTTTCACCAAAGATGCTGAAACTTTTCCAAGCTGAGAGAAAATTCACAGGTTGTAAAGGGAGATAACTAGATAAACTTCTAAGACCCTATTCAGCCTTGAAATTCTTTCACTAAGCATCAAACAATATTATGGGAGCTGAGATATTATAGTAGCAACTATCTATATCTTATGTGTGTATTTGTGTTTGATCACATGTATATCTTAATTATGAACTATTTGTCAGTAAAGATTATGTCTTATTCTCCTTACTATCTCACATATCTAGGTCAATACAATGAATCAATGAATGCAATATTATGGGTTTAAAGAGAGTAGCTTCCTCTTAAATCTTGTTCAATTTGACATTTAAATTCCATTTCCAACTTACTATTTTCAAAATAACACTCTTAAAATCTTTGATATTTCCATACTGAAACTGCATTTATTCATGCTTCAAACGAAAAATTCATTGACTACCTAAGTTCCAGCCCTGTGCTAGGTAATAAGGATTAAAAAAAACAACAAGGCACCCTCTCTTAGTCTAGAAGACAGAGAGTTACATAAGTGTGATAAAGTGTTATAACCTCCCTAGTAGCTGGAACTACAGGCTCACACCACCACGACTGGCTACTCTTCCGTATTCTTTGTAGAGATGGGGTTTTGCCATGTTGCCCAGGCTGGTCTCCAATTCCTGGGCTCAAGCAATTGGCCCACTTTAGCCTCCCCAAATGCCGGGATTACAGGTGTGAGCTCCCATGCCCCTTCTTCTTTTTACCTTTCTAAATGTGGCTACTACAAAACTTTAAACTACATAAGTGGCTTGCATTGTATTTCTGCTGGACACAGTGGACAAATTCATTAAATAATAGTTTCCTTTCTCAATAATTATTTCTCATGTAGCCAAATTGTTACAGATTTTTTTTTTTTTTTTGAGATGGAGTTTTGCTCTTGTTGCCCAGGCTGGAGTGCAATGGTGAGATCTCGGCTTACAGCAACCTCCGCCTCCCGGGTTCAAGCAATTCTCCTGTCTCAGCCTCCCAAGTAGCTGGGATTACAGGCATGCGCCACCATGCCCACCAGTTTTGTATTTTTAGTAGAAATGGGGTTTCTCCATGTTGGTCTCGAACTCCTGACTTCAGGTGATCCGCCCACCTTGGCTTCCCAGAGTGTTGGAATTACAGGCATGAGCCACCGAGAAATATTTTTAAGTATTTAAAAAGCAAAACTTCAGACCTCCTCTCCCAATCTGGAAAATTCATGCCAATGACAAAAATGACATCATGGCTATAAAGAAAAGGATAACGAGTAGTCTAATTATTCGTGAGGAATTCCTTAAAGCCAGTCCTTGCTAGGTCTCTTAATCCCTCTTACCTCCACGATAGGGTAAAAAGATACTTACCATTAGGCTGCATAGTCAATGGACTAAAAACCGGTCTAGGGGTTAAGAAGTTTGGGATTTATCCCTGGATCCACCAATACCTTGCTCTGACTTCTGACAAGTCAGTTTCTTTGTATGCTAATTTCTCCATCTGTAAAAAAGGTAGGTGGGGAGGAAGGAGAAGAACATTTATTACCTGTAAAGTACTGAGATCTCTAATTATTAACAATTAGGCTACATTATAAGAAAAGTAGGAAATTTAGATACAGATTTTTTGCTATTAGAATATCTTGGAGTTGCAAAGTACCTTACAGCAAGTACCACAGGTTGAATTTAATTAAGCCTCTATATTCACAGAAATAAAGAATACAGATATTTGCTACATTTGGTCCCATTCAAATACTAAATTTAGTTTCCAGCTAACCAGGTTAAGCCAGAATATCAAAAGACACTAAAAACCCATTAACATGGTGTTATGGGCTGAACTGTGTCTCCCCCAAATTCATACGTTAAAGCCCTAACCCCCAATGTGACTACATTTGGAGACAGGGCATTTAAGGAGGTAATTAAGGTTAAATAAAGTCATACAGGTGAGACCCTAATCTGATATAATTGGTTTCTTTAAAACAAAAGGATGAGACATGAGAGATATCTCTTTCTCTCACATAGAGAAAAATGCTACATGAGGACTCAGAGAGAAGGTGTCATCTATAAGCTAAGGAGAAAGACCTCATCTCTAGCCTCTGCCGCTAGCATCCTGACACTGAACTTCCAGCCCCCAGAACTTTGAGGATATAAATTTCTATTGTTTAAGCCACTCAGTCTGTGGTATTCTGTTATGGCACCCCAAGCACATGATCACAGGACAAATGGGACTGTAGCAATTCTTTGGGAGTACCTCAGTTCCCCTAAAGAACTTTCACTCTTTTATTACAGTCGGAGTGGGAGTAAAGTAGAACAAAAACAAAGTAAAAACAAAACAAAAAATGCTGAATTTGACGTTAAAATTTTACCCTGATCTGAATCTCCTCTATTTTGCCTTAATGTTTATTTTCCCTTTAAGACGTTAGGCAGGTAACATGGCCAGACACGGTGGCTCACGTCTGTAGTCCCAGCACTTTGAAAGGCTGAGGCTGACGGATGCTTGAGGTCAGGAGTTCGAGACCAGCCTGGCCAACATGGCGAAACCCCATCTCTACTAAAAATACAAAAATTAGCCAAGCATGGTGGCACATGCTTGTAATCCCGGCTACTCGAGAGGCTGAGGCATCAGAATCACTTGAACCCAGGAGGCGGAGGTTGCAGTGAGCTGAGATCATGCCACTGCACTCCAACCTAGGCGACAGAGTGAGACTTGGTCAAAAAAAAAAAAAAAAACCCCAAAAAACAAAAAGACTTCAGGCTGTAACTTAACTGAATCTCAGTTTTCTTATTAGTAAAATGGGAATAATAATCCCAATGCTACTTGCTTCACTGGGCTGCTGTAAATAACAAATGAAAAAATGGCTTTGAAAGTGCTTAATGGCTGGGTGTGGTGGCTCACACCTGTAAAGAGGTTAAGGCAGGAGGACCACCTGTAATCCCAGTATTTTAGGAGGCTGAAGTAGGGGGGAATCGCCTGAACTCAAGAGTTCGAGACCAGCCTGGACAACACAGTGAGACCCCCATCTCTAGGAGTTTGAGACTCAGAAACATGGTGAAACCCCATCTCTACAAAAAAAAAAAAAATATAAAAATTAGCCAGGTGTGGTGGTGTGTGCACCTATAGTTCCAGCTACTTGGGAGGTTAAGGCAGGAGGATCACCTGAGCTCAGGAGGTCAAGGCTGCAGTGAGCTATGGTCATACCACTGCACTCCAGCCTGGGCAACAGAAACACTGTCTCAAAATAAATAAATAAATAAAAATAAACAAAATAAAATTTATGGTAGTATAATCTTCTTGGAGGATGTGAAAGTTCTTGTATTTATTCCAAAAGATAGTAATGGCACTAAGGGGCTGGAATAAGAACAGTAACGTGAATCCTCAAAATGCATGTTCAGAGCCCTGAAACATTAAGAGATTAGTCTTAGGAACACCCTAGAAAATATATCCTCTTCAATTTCTAAGAAAAGAGCACAAGAGCATAGACTACGAATATCCAAAGCAGTGCCTCCAGAGTAGCTGGGATTATAGGCATGTGCCGCCATGCTTGGCTAATTTTTGTATTTTTAGTAGAGATGGGGTTTCACCATGTTGGCCAGGCTGGTCTCGAACTCCTGACCTCAAGAATCTGCCAGCCTCAGCCTCTCAAAATTTAATGCAATGATGGAAATGTTCAATATTCCTGTTGTCCAATGGGTAGCCACTAGCCACATGTGGCTATTTAGGACTTGAAATGTAGCTAGTGCAAACTGAGTGCATTTTTAATTGTATTTAATTTTTATTAAATTTACATTTAATTAGACATACATGGTTGTGGCTACTCATTGCATAGTGCAGATCTGGAGAATGTAATGACTCCGTATTTCTGGAAGTCGTTGAAAGAAGTATAATAGGTAGTAGAAGAATCTGTAAGGCTATGGTAGTATCCTTTCAAAATGTAATAAAACAATCACAACAGGCCACCCCTTGAAGCAAGGAAAAGTAGAATTCTTCATATATTAAGATACAATTAAAAACTTAGTTACAAATTATCACCTGTATAGTAATAAGTCAAATTATTAATATATAATTATCATTTTAAGTGTTTACTACATGCCAGATATTGTGTTAAGTATTTCAAAGAACAGGAAGAGAAGAATACTTCCCCTAGAAATGGAAACTGGAAAACAGAAAAAAGATGCATCAAACATACTTCTGAAAATTCAATAAGAAAAGACAGAACTCTCAGTTTTAGATAAATCATAATACTATGCCAATATGCAGAGAAATCAAAATGGAAAAGCTGTGAGCAGAACATCTACTCACTGTGGTGATGGAAGGACAAGCTACAGGGAGGCAGGAGACAGAGGATTCATCTGTGATGTGCCACTGATCAGCCACTCTCTCATTAACAAGTTTTTTTTGTTGTTGTTGTTACTTTGTTTTGAGACGGAGTTTCACTCTGGTTGCTCAGGCTGGAGTGCAGTGGCATGATGTTGGCTCACTGCAACCTCTGCCTCGCGGGTTCCAGCGATTCTCCTGCCTCAGCCTCCTGAGTAGCTGGGATGAGAGGTGCCTGTCACCAAGCCTGGCTAATTTTTTGTATTTTTAGTAGAGACAGGGTTTCATCATGTTGGCCAGGTTGGTCTTGAACTCCTGACCTCAGGTGATCCACCCGCCTCGGCCTCCCAAAGTGATGGGATTACAAGGCACGAGCCACTGCGCCCAGCCGAGTATTTCCAGCACATCTCAGCTGATTCTCTGTCTCCAGCTCTCCTTCATTTACTTTTACTTTATTAGGAGATAACTATGATGAGATGCAATATTCTTCTGGAATGATCCACCAGAAGAAGGGGGAGGAAGGAAACTGGCCAATCTCTTTCTCAAAGAAAGCAATAAATCCTATCTCCTCCATGTAGCAGAGGTGAACAAAGAAGATGGAGCATATCTCTTTGGTGTCCCCCTGCTCCACTTGCTTTGTAGCAACTATACATCTTTGTGTATGCACAGAAAAGAACCCATGAGAACACCAGTATTTCCTTTAACAAGTAATGCAGCTAGCAATAAGTGGCTAATGAAAATGCCATGACTTCCTTTGTCCTACAGGCAGTCCTAGTATTCTTTAACTATGTATAATGTTTACCCTTTCCAGAAACTTGCAGAGGTGTGAGGCAGAGCGTAAGAGAAGCTAATGCTTTTTGGAATGCTTCTGGCTCATGCTTCTTGAACAGAGAAGAAGTTCAGTGGTTCCTATAGTGCCACTTCATAGTTCCTAGCAGACATATATGGATCTGATGTCATTAAATAAGCAATGCATCAGCATCATCATTATTCCAGTCAATATTTGGAATAAAGACGATGACAGTCCTGGATGCTCCATTCTTGCCAGTCCAAACATATCAGAAGTAGGATTTTATGTTTCATTCTAGGTCCTATATTTTGAATGAGATACAAATGCACAATCTCATTTAAAGTAAAGCAACAAGAAGAGTGAGAATTTAAGAAACTAGGGAAGGTTAACTAGAAGGAAAGACTCAGGGGAAACATGAGAGCTGTTTGCAAATATCTGGAGGGATTTCATGTAGGAGAGAGATGAGATTTGCTCTACTTCTTCAATATTACCCCAAGGGAGAGAATTAGAACCAGTGGGTGGAAGCTATAGGTAGATAGACTTCAGCATATTATTAGGAAGAACTTTCTGCCAGTCAGAGCTCTGTATCCAAAAGTGGGATAAGCTCTCTGGGAAGGAGAGGCATGAATTTGCCATCACTAAGGATGTGAAAGCAGAGGTAAAATAACCTATTGGTGAAGATACTAAATCATTAGGAGGAAGAGGGAGGCTGGACTGGGTAACCTTTAAAGTTCCTTCCAAATCTGAGACTTCAAATCTGAGTCCTGGTTTTTATAAACAACACTGTGCAAGTTTAGGTTTTGTAGCATGGACAGTGTGTGTGTGCATGTATGTATGTGTGTATACAAATATATACAATACCAACTTTCTTTCTGAAGCCTTACAGAAGTGTGATATGGGGACAGAAGACATAACAACAGCATCATCACCACCATCATCTTTTTTCTCTTCTGCGTCTCCATCTACCATTTACTGGCACTGTGGTAGGCACTTTACATACCTTACATACCTAAGGTATCTTTTAAGTTAGTTAGTTTTTAAGAGACAGGGTCTCACCCTGTTGCTCAGGCTGGAGTACAGTGGCATGATCATAGTTCACTGCAGCCTCAAACTCCTGGACTCACGCAATCCTCCCACCTCAGCCTTCTGAGTGGCTAGGATTACTGGTGTGCATCAATGCGCCTGGCTAACTTTTTTATTTTTTGTAGAGGCGAGGTCTCACTATGTTATCCAGGCTGGTCTTGAACTCCTGGCCTCAAGCAATCCTCCTGTCTTGGCCTCCCAAAGTTCTGGGATTACAGGTGTGAGTTACCATGCCTGGTCCCCTTTTAAGTTCTATCATATTGCAGGTTTATGGGCAAGGCCCAGCTCAATTATTTCCACTGTAGCTACTACAACATAACTTGGCTGAAATCTCTTCCTTCTTTGAAATAATGAACAATGTGTGTCTGCTTTATTTTACACAGTAAATATACTACTGACAAGTTAAGTGTAAATGAAATTTTTTATTAAAATTAAGTATATTTGAACATATCAAAATGGCTAGTTAAAAGTAATCTTTATAAAAATAAGTCCAAGGTTCACTGCAAAGTAATCTGCTCTATAAATTTAGATTTCATATATTGGATTTTCTCCTATACCATTTTATCCTCTATTCAAGCCAACCATGTCAAAGTCACATTGTGGTCTTTTCCTTTGTGCTTACCACTCTGCTGGTATAAACATAGAACTACAGATTTGGAAGAAATGTTGAAAGTCATTTAGTTTAATGTCTCCTCCTCCTTCCATCTCCAATCCTACCATCTCTAGCCAATGTTTGCATTTGGTATACTTCTATTGGCAAAATTTTCATAGTGCATATGTATTACTTTAACATGCATACAATATATATGTATTTTTTTAAAAAAATTGTCCAAAGGGGTAAATATTTACCATAGCAATCATACAGGGTTGGACAGGAACCAGTCCTCTTAGGGAGACAGAATGAGAGAGAATGGTGTGTGCTATGACTTGACACCTCCACCAATTATAATACACTTGGGATACTAAGGTGTGTATATTTTTGTGGGAAGGTTGAATGCCCCTTACCTCCTTGAAAGTCACTGCTAATCTATATCTCAATTGGATATACCAGCTCTTCAAGTATTTTAGGACAGCTTTCATGTGTGCAAGGAAAAGTTAATTGCTTTCTGGTCTCATCAAGGTTAAACGCAATGACTGACTATATAATGTATCTTACTGTATGACTATATAACATGTCTTAAGTATCTGCTTCCTTGCCCTGCCCATTCTGCCTAATCCATAGTATACTCTTCTAATTGGAAACCCTGCCTTCCATCATTACTCTTTTATTGTCTGTTCATTTTCTCTTTACCATGTTGGGATAGTACATTTCCCAATTACTTGGACTAAGTACCTTACTCCAAGCTTAAAAGTATTTTTACCAAATATCTCCAGATTTCCCCTTCTCTATTATGAAGACTCTGCAGACTGACAGCCTGGGTTCAGACTTGGTTCTATCACTTACCAGTTGTATTAACTTGACCAAGTTAACTTAGCCTCCTGTGCCTGAGTTTCCTCCGCAGCAAAATAAAGACAATAATAGCAATTATCTCATTTAGTTGTTGAGAGGATTAAATAGGAGACACACACACACACACACACACACACACACCACTTAGAACAGTACCTGGCACATAGTAAACACTCAGTCAATGTTAATTTATGTTGCTGCTTCCTTTTCCTTCATCATCATCCTTTGCTACTATTTAGGAAACTATTTTGCTGCAGGCCCGGAGTGTTTACTTCAAAATTTCTTTCCATTAGATTTGTGTTCCCTCTTTCTCAATCCAAACATTCTTGACATTTAATCTCTTCAGCATAGGTCTCTCTGACAAACTGAATTGGAGTGGAGCTTTCTTACCTAGCATACCTACTACTATGGCTTGTTTTCATTGCATTATGATGCACACTTATGCTTCACCAATTCACATTCCTCTTCTTTTCATATCCAAAGCCCACTCCTAGAGCAGGGGTTGGCAAACTTTTTCTGTAAAGGGCCAGATGGCAAATATTTTCAGTTTTACAGGACATATGGTCTCTGTTGCAACTGCTCAACTCTGTTATCATAGCATTAAGGCAGACATATAATACACTAACAAATGAACATGGCTATGTTCCAGTAAAACTTTATTTACAAAAAACTGGTGGCAGATAGATTTGGCCTGTGGGCCATAGATTGCCAACTACTAACCTAGAGGAATCCTTCCCTAAATAACTCAACCTGGCTCTGATCATTCCATTATTTTACCTCAAGCATACACTATATCGTTTTACATATATCTATGTGTTTTTAGGTATTTTTGTGTGGTCAGTCTCCCACTTAGAATACTGTACATACAGATCCTTATAAGGAAAGAACTGTAGCTCTTATTTTATTCATTAAACAAAATACATCTGAGCTGAGTAACAAAATCTAAGCCTAGTAGTAACATGTTAAAGACACAAAGACAAATAAGTGTAAGTCCCTGTTCATGCTCACAAAGAACTCACAGATTAGTAGGAAAGATAGCAATTCAAATATACAATCATCGTGTGATTTTTGCTATACAGAGATTTGCTATAAAAAGTGCTCTGGGAAAACAGAAGGGAATGATTAACTTTGCCAGGGGTTGGGGGGGGGTTGAGGAAAGCTTCATGGAGGAGATGAAGTTGAGCTAGGATTATCCGAAGAAAGACAAATAGGCATTTCAGGCATTCTTCCTAATTATGTGGAATTGAACATAGAAATGGAAAGGGACAATGTGTTTGGACAATGCTAGCCATTTATTACAGATGAAAAGGGACAAAGTAAGCTACAGGGACAGATGACAGAAACTGAATGAGCTGAGGCTAGAAAAGTAGAAATGAGGCACCTTGTAAAGAATTTTGCTTGCTATACTAAGCCAATGGTATATTATATATTGAGGACTCTGGTATCATCCCAAGATTATATGTTAGCTATTGAAGGTCAAGATCTGAATTATTTATGATACTTAACATCCATAAAGGGGTTTTAACACTTTTTCATAGACTTTTATATACATTATTTCCAATGTTCATACAGCTTGCATACTACATGTCTACTAAATTCTGATACTAATTACGAACTTACAATGTAGTGGAAAGGTTAAGACTTAGAGGCAAAAGATCTGGGCTTTATCTTACAGCTATTAGTTACAGGATTTTGAATAAGTCTCTTAGCCCATTATTGTTTCTATAAAACAGGATTAATAACAGTACTCTACACATACTTTTAAGTAGTGTAGTTTGCACATTATAAAGGCACACATAATTTGTAAAAACTGCAGAATAAAATGTCAAGAAAGGGGAAGTTTTTTCATTTGCTCTGTTTTTTGTGACACATATATTCATACACAGCCTAATAGAGGATAACTCTCTATTTCTACTATGTATAAATACAGGTTCTGACCTTTTCAAGGATCTGATTTTTGCATGGTTCAGCTATATCAAATAGGAAATCATTCTTCCTTAGTACGATGTAGAAATCTAAAAGCGAAAGATAGAAAAAAATAGAAATATGAACTACTGT
Organism: Homo sapiens; assembly: GCF_000001405.40. Lineage (NCBI taxonomy): Eukaryota > Metazoa > Chordata > Mammalia > Primates > Hominidae > Homo > Homo sapiens. The sequence continues at coordinate 41,194,443 of NC_000001.11, forward strand.
AGATCAAAGAAGATATGCAGTGAAATTAGATTTCATCAGAGGAAGCCAGAAGGCTGGTTATCCAGACAGGGCTTCTCAAGGGCAGCAATTTGGTTAAGTTTCCAATTTCCAGGATACTTTCCTCAGCTTTATGAGTTCAGAACCCTGATTCTGTTAAAAATGGAGCAGACTCTTTTGGATAGAGCTATAGGTCATTACACAATAATAGGTAAACTAGAATGTTAATTTATTAATTTACTGTGAGAAATATAACCGCCTAAAATATTTACTGGTACATGACCAGGGCCATTTGACTTTAAAGGTGCATCTACACAGGAACCAAATGAGAATCAGATTTCTTGGGCAGTGTGGAACCAGAGTAAGAAATTGTTTGTCTAACTCAGAAGTTTGCAAACCTTTTCTATGAAGAGCCAGATAGGCTGGGCATGGTGGCTCATGCCTATAATCCCAGCACTTTGGGAGGCCGAGGTGGGTGGATCGGGAGTTCAAGTCCAGCCTGAGCAACCTGGAGAAACCCCATCTCTACTAAAAATACAAAATTAGCTGCGCTTGGTGGCACATGCCTGTAATCCCACCTACCGGGCAGGCTGAGGCAGGAGAATTGCTTGAACCTGGGAGGTGGAGGTTGTGGTGAGCTAAGATCATACCATTGCACTCTAGCCCAGGCAACAAGATTGAAACTCTCTCTCAAAAAAAAAAAAAAAAAAAAAAAAAAAAGGCCAGATAATAAATATTTGCAGCTTACCAGGCCGTGTGGCCTCTATTGAAACATGAAACTAGCCATAGATAATACCGATCATACAGAAATGAATGGGCATGGCTGTGTTCCAATAAAACTTTAATTTCAAAAACAGCCCTTAAGAATGCAAAAGTCCTCAACAAAATACTAGCAAACAAAATTTAGTAGCATAGTAAGAGCACACACAATTACCAAGTGAGGTTTATTCCCAGAATATAAGGATGGTTCAACATATGAAAATCAATTAACATAATATACCATAAATAGAATGAAGTAAAAAAAAAAGGCACATGGTAATGTCAATGTAGAGAAAGCATTTGACAAAATTTAATGTGCTTTATAATGAAAATACACAATAAACTAAGAATAGAAGGGAACTTCTTCAACATAATAAAGGCCATATATAAAAAACTCACAGCTAATATTATACTCAATGGTGAAAGACTGAAAGCTTTTCCCCTAAGATTAGGAATAGGACAAAGATAGCCACTTTCACCATTTCTATTAAACATAGTACTGGAAGTTCTAGCTAAAGTAATTAGGCAAGAAAAAGGAATTAAAGGCATTCAGATTTGAAAGGAAGAAGTAAAATGATCTCTGTTTGCAGATGATATACTCTTATATGTAGGAAATTCTACAGATCCCACAAAAAAGCTATTAGAGCTAATAAATGAATTCAGCAAAGTTGCGGGATACAAAGTCACACACAAAGTTTAGTTGCATTTCTATATGCTAGCTATGAACAGTGTGCAAAGAAAATTAAGAAAATAATTCCATTTAAATAGTATCAAAAAGAATAAAATATTTAGGAATAAATTTAACTAACACGGCTAAAGACTTGTACACTGAAAACTACAAAATATTGCAGAAAGAAATTAAAGAAGATGTAAGTAAATGAAAAGATACTCTGTTCTGTGTTCATGGACTGAAAGACTAATATTGTTAAGATGGCAATACTATCCAAAGCAATCTACAGATTCAACGCAATCCCTATCAAAATCCAAACGGCATTTTTGCACAAATAGAAAAAGTTGTCCTAAAATTCACAAAGAATCTTAAAGGATTCCAAATAGCTCAAACAATCTTGAAAAAAAGAACAAAGTTAGAAAACTTACACTTTCTAATTCCAGAATGTACTACAAAGCTACAGTAATCAAAATAGTACAGTATTGGCATAAGGATAGATAAGCAGACCAATGTAATAGAACAGAGAGCTCAAAAATAGTTAATTTTCAATAAAAGTCCCAAGACCATTTAATGGGAAAAGGACACTCTTCAACAAACAGGTCTGGGAAAACTGAATATCCAGATGCAGGAGAATGAAGTTGAATACTTACCTTATACCATATACAAAAAAATTAACTCAAAATTTATCAATGACCTAAATAAATGTAAGAGCTAAAACTATAAAACTCTTAGAAGAAAACATAGGGGAAAATCTTTAACATTTTAGATTTGGCAATGACTATAGGATATGACAGATAAAACACAGGCAACAAAACAGAAAACAGATAAACTGGACTTCACCAAAATGAAAAACTGTTGTGCATCAAAAGATCCTATCATCAGAGTGAAAAGACAGTCCACAGAATCGGAGACAATACTTGCAAATCATGTTTGTAGTCTGTCGATATCCAAAATATACACGGAACCCCTATAATTCAACAACAAGAAGAACTAAAAACCTAAACAACCCAATTCAAAAATGGGCAAAAGACAATTCTCCAAAGAAGATATACAGATGGCCAATAACCACATGAAAAGATGCTCAGCATCAATAATCACTAAAGAAATGCAAAAAATACCTACAATGATATACTACTTCACACTTATTAGTATGGCTGTTATGAAAAAAGAAAAATAACAAATGCTGGTGAGGATATGGGAAAATTGCAACCATCATGCATTGCTGGTGGGAATGTAAAATGGTATAGCTGCTGTGGAAAATGGTTGGCAGTTCTTCAAAAAGTCAAATGTGGAATTATCATATGATCCAGCAATTCTACCCCTAGTTATATACCTAAAAGAACTGAAAGCAGGGATTCAAACACACCTGTACACCAATGTTCATAGCAGCATGATTCACAATAGCCAAAAGTGGAAAACAATCTAAGTGTCCATCAACAGATGACTGGATTAACAAAACATGGTATACACATACAATGGAAAACTCAGCCATAAAAAGGAATGCAATTCTGATAAATGCTACAACATGGATGAACCTTCAAGGCACTGTGCTAAGTGAAACTGGCCAGACACAAAAGGACAACTACTGTACGATTCTACTTACAGGACGAACCTATAATAGGTAAATTTATAGAGATGGAAAGTTAAATAAGGGTTACCAGGGAACTGGTGGAGAGAGGAGAGTTATATTTAATGCGTACAGAATTTCTATTTGGGATGATTAAAAAAAATTCTAGGGATGGATAATGGTGCAGGCTACACACACTATAAATGTACTTAATGTCTTAAGATGGTAAACTTTAAGTTTATGTATATTTTGCCACAATTAAAAAAAAACAGGCAACAGGTGGATGTGCATCAGTGTTTGAAAGCCTCATTCAACTGTCTTGCAAAAGGAACACAAAGAGCTTCATGGGGACTTTCAAGAAATCCAATCTTGAGCCACAGAATTCCTTTTCCTGGGTAGTCCTAGATGTAGTCCTCTATCAACTTTCTTTATGACTTCCTGTTTAACATGTTTCCAAACTGTTCATCTTCTAATAAACATATTCCTTTTCTGGATAATGTTACTATCTATACATAGCATGCAGTACAGATGGGCTTTGGGCTTGAATACTAACTTTGTCACTAGCTATGTAAACTTGGACAGGTTACTAAGTGTCTCTGGACCTCAATTTCTACATCTTTAAAATGGAAGTAATAGTGCCTACCCCAAGGTTAGGAAACGTTCAATGTCATGATCTATTTTCATGAATTAATGTAAGTAAGTGTCTGATATATAGAGGGTGCTGCCTCAGCCCCCCAACACTTTGTCATATTACTGATCGCTGATGAAGTCACAGTCCATTCTTTGTCTCTTGGCTCCAACTGAATCCATATGATCATCACCACAGTTCTCTGGGGTTTAGAGGGGCTTGCTAGCATCTCCATCAGAGACTTTCTCTCAAAGCCAATATCCAAAAGACAAAAAGTAAGTGTGGACAAACTCATTTTCTATCTACCCCCACAAAGCAGAAGCCTGTCTTTATAGCAGGAGTCCACCCTCTGTGAGGGCAGAGATTGTCATAGGCTTATTTTATATCCTACACATTGTCTAGCAGTGCTTAGCAGAAGAAGTAACTTCCTCAGTTTTTAAAATTTGAATTTTCAAGAATTGTTTTTTATAACAGGAGCTTTCATAAATTTTCTAGTATATAAGTCTACTTCTACCCTTGTAGTACAAAAATAGTTAAGATAAAAACAATAAGCATGGTTCTCTTTTAGCAACAAGAACCCAAGGAAAAACTGTAAGGTGCTACAGGGTGTGACAGTGACCATTTCAAAGCCCACCACACTATAATTGGATTGCATTAAAAGTGCAAGAAATAACAGAATATGTCCAATATTTCACCGTTAAAAAGTAAATGATAGAGTCTGTCTGATATTCAACAAGATCGTATTACACAAATCAGGGAAATCTTCATGTGAAAAGCAAAATATCACCAAATCATCTAAAGATCAGAGAATGGTATATACTCCTAGATGACAGTGACATTCAATTTCACCTTGCCTGACTGACCTAAACTCCTCCAACTACACCAATTGGGATTATCATCAGTATATATTTATTAAACACGCCAAGGTATAAAACTGGAATTAGGAAAAAGGAACTATTACAGAACAAAGAAATGGAAAGATTACAAGGAAAAGAGGCTAGGATCATTCTGTTAAAATAAATTTTCATGTTGTTAACCTAAAGAACCATCATAGCAGAAGAGCATAAACTATGTGTTAGGCACTTTAAAAATAACTTATTATTAAACTATAACATTATTATCCAAAAGTGCATAAATCATAAGTATACAAGCTTAGTGAATTTTTATAATGTACCTCCAAACCAAGAAAGAGCACATTACTAGCACCCCAATAAATATCCCCTGTGCCCTCCCCTCCCAGTTACTGCTCCACCTAAGAGTAGCCATTGTCTTGACTTCTATCACCGTAGGTTAGTTTTGCCTGTTTTGAATGTTATATAAATGAAATCATATCATATGTACTCTTTTATGTCCACTTCCTTCCACTCAACATTTTGTTTTGTGAGAGTCATCCACTGTGCTCCTGGTAGGTGTTTTTATTACTTAACTTAAAGCACCCAACAATTCTGGCATTACTGTTCCCATTTAGATTTTTTTTAAGCTGAACTTTGGAAGTTAAGGTTAAGGCACCCATGGTCACTCAACTTCTAAATGCAAAAGCTAATATTAAAGGTTGTCTGATTTCAGAAAACCAAGTATCACATGTACTTGTTTATAAGTGGGAGCTAAATATCAGGTACACATGGATATAAAAGTAAGAATAATACACACTAGGGACTCCACAATAGGGGGTGGGGGTGGGAGGATGCTGAAAACTTCCTATTGGGTACTATGTTCACTATCTGGGTGATGAACTCAATGGAAGCCCAAACCTCAGCATCATGCAATATACCCTTGTAACAAACCTGCACGTGTACCCCCTGAATCTAAATTAAAATTCAAATCAAAGAAAGATTGATTTCAAAGTCCATCCTCTTTTCGGTTTCCTTATGCCTGCCTAGTATAGTTTAAAACAAGAAGAAGACCATCCCTAGTTTACTTATCATAGACCATATACAGTGTGTATGTACAGAGGCTTGGCAAACAGGCAAATCTTAAACAAATGTAAAAAAGTGTTATTAATGCAAGGAAGGAACTAATTGGCACTGGCTTTCAGATCTTTTTTGATTGTAATCCACAGACTTAAATCTAGGTGTTTTTTACAACTGTATACATTCCTGGAAACCTCACAATTCTATAAAAATAATGCTTGTGGCCGGGTGCAGTGGCTCATGCCTGTAATCCCAGCACTTTGGGAGGCTGAGGCGGGTGGATCACAAGGTCAGGAGATCGAGACCATCCTGGTTAACATGGTGAAACCCCGTCTCTACTAAAAATACAAAAAAACATTAGCTGGGTGTGGTGGTAGGCACCTGTAGTCCCAGCTACGCAGGAGGCTGAGGCAGGAGAATGGCGTGAACCCAGGAGGCGGAGCTTGCAGTGAGCTGAGACTGCGCCACTGCACTCCAGCCTGAGCGAGAGCAAAACTCGTCTCAAAAAAATATATAAATAAATGTAATAATAATAATAATAATATAATAATAATAATAATAATAATGCTTGTGAGGAAAACAGAGTTAGGAATAGATACTAAAAACCCATGGAACTTTGTATCCTTTACACACGCACACATAAACATACTAAATTAGTCTCATTAAACTAAATTAAAGGGAAGAAGGGGTATGATCCATTTTAAAATAATTTCCAACTAAAATAATTTTTAAAAATAAAACTTTAATCTATAATGGAACAATCCTGTAGCTCTCCAGAACATTACGCTTCTTAGAATGGCTTTTTCTCTAAGGTTTTCTGGAGTGAAGATTTGAATGCATGTCATCATCTATAAACAGGAGTCACCTAATAAAAGCTTTTCATGATAACAAAATGAACAGCTGAGGTCTCACTCATATGGCTTTGCGGACAGATAAGAGATTACTAACCTTTACCATTTTTTTTTTATCAGTTCACACACTGCCTAAGCAGACCGTTGAAAGATGTCAATGTTACAAGGGACCAGAGATCTCAAGATCAACTTTAACCTCTTACAGTCTAATAGGTTAGAATCCTATATAGAAAACTATCTCCTTGGACAAAGAGCCCTGACAATAGATTAGATCCTCAACTACTTGGGCCATGAAGATGGGTAAATAAAGTAATTTGAACTTGACAGAACAGCATCCATAAACCATTCTGTAAATCCTCTCTAAAGTCTCAGATTCTTATCTTTTAAAAACTGAGGGAGTTATAAATCCATGGCATTATCTAGGGTCTTGTACGAATCCTACAGAATTACAAACTTGAGGGTAAACATGGTTTCTCTGTATCAAGAAACTGAGATGAAAGATCTAGATTTAGCCTGGTTCATTCTACTACTGAGAAGTCACTTCCTCAGGGCTGCCAATTCCTCAACAGAAAACAGAAGGTTAGAACTCAAGTGTTCTCTTAGTGCCTTCCCAGGTGGGTCCTACATTTACTGCAAACTAGCTGCATGCCTGTTTCCTCATCATTCACCTCTACAAGTATCTGATTTTATGGCTTCACAGAAAATTGAAATAAGGAACCTTATCAAGTGATATTAGTTGTCTTCCAATGAGCAACTCAAGCAATTGCCTTGACACTCATTTCTGGTTGGGAAACTCTGAGACTACCTCTTCTCTCACCAACAAGGGGCTTCCAGTGAAATGTGTATTCTGTGACTCCGAAATGGTAAAGAACTCAGGAAGGGGCTCTCTTCTCTAGCGAAGTGACTTAAGAGGGCAAGAAATAATCTTTGAAAGGTAATAGGTATTTGGCTAAGGGATATCATTGATTTTTTTAAAAAAAATTAATTTAAGGCAATGTAAAAAGAATATAGAACAAGCAATCTAAACAGCTCAGGCAGAATAGTGCTCAGTATTTACTAGGAACCTTCTTCATGCCAACTCCTGAGAATAATGCCTCTTTAAATAACTCAGGAAATCTTTGTATGCAAGCACAGAACTAGCAGGAACCAAGAGGCGTGAGAAAAATAACACATGTCCAGTTTCACTTCAGAGACCAAAGTTTATGGTTATTTAGCTTTTTGAGTTTTTTTATTTTTGAGACAGAGTCACTCTTGTTGGCCAGGCTGGAGTGCAGTGGTGCGATCTTGGCTCACTGCAAGATCCTGGGTTCAAGTGATTCTCCTGTCTTAGCCTCCCGAGTAGCTGGGATTACAGGTGCCCACGACCACGCCCGGCTAATTTTCGTATTTTTAGTAGAGACGGGGTTTCACCATGTTGGCCAGGCTGGTCTCAAACTCCTGACCTTGTGATCTGCCTGCCTTGGCCTCCCAAAGTGCTGGGATTACAGGCATGAGCCAACGTGCCCAGCCTTTTTTTTTTTTCCCTCCCAGAAATTTACCTTTTAGAACACAAGATGCCTTCCTCAACTTCCTCAGCTTTTGACCTAGTAATTCATCCCTTACTTTCATAAAATCTACTTTAATTCTTTCTCACTTTAAGCCTCTGGAGTCCATTGGACCAGGATTCGTGGTAGACTTTACTGTACTTTTATATGGTAGTACCATACTATTTAATAGTGTAGAGAACTCCAAAAATTTATTTCATCGAAATCATTAATGGGTGTCTAACCTTGTTAAATTTAGTGCAATTCATAACTTTTTGCACCCAGACACTCCTGAAGAATACAAACTCTTATCAGTGAGGGCAGACTCACTAAGAGCACTGATTTTCAGCAAGGGAATAGGAGGTAGGAGTAATATGATGGGGAGGGAGGCTCCACTGGATGAAGGTGTTTCAGAATCTCTAGAGGTATTTGTGTAATTAGAAAAAGCACCTCTCCTAGTCTATATGCCTCTCCTACTACCCTTCCCCTGACCCAGGGTCTAGAACAGTGCTATCCAACAGAAATATAAGCATAATGTTCAGTATTTATTAAATAAAATGCATTATTAAAATTATTTTCACTTGTTTCTTTTAACTTTTAAAAATATGATTACTAGAAAAATATAAAATTACATAGGTGGCTTTTACATTTTTCTAGTAGTCATATTTTTAAAAGTTTTAAAAAAAGAAACAAGTGAAAAATGATTTTAATAATGCATTTTATTTAACCCAGTATATCATATTATTTTGGCAAGTAATCATAAAAATCATTAATGAAAATACATTATTTGTATAGTGTCTTTAAAATCTGGTATACATTTACACTTATAGCTTACCTCAATTCAGATGCTAAATTTTCATCACAAATACTTGATCCGTATTTCAATTTTGTAAATTTACACTTGAAAAAGAAAATTCACATAGAAAATTCACATATCCAAATTGTTTCAAACATACTTAAAATTTTTCTAATACCTGAATTGAGATCCGTTTTTAATTTTAAATTTACTTAAAATAAAATAAAATAAAAAATTCATTACATCCAGTCATATTAACCACATGGCTATCAAAAACACAGTTCTAAAGGAAATATAAAATTAAACATCTATTAAGTACTTATTATGTGCCAAGCACTGCTCTAAGCACATTCCATGTATTATGTTGTGTTGGGAACAAGCCCCCCAAAATCTGGTCATAAACTGGTCCCAAAACTGGCCATAAACAAAATCTCTGCAGCACTGTGACTTGTTCATGATGGCCATAACGCCCACGCAGGAAGGTTGTGGGTTTACTGGAATGAAGGCAAGGAACACCTGGCCCACCCAGGGCAGAAAACCACTTAAAGGCATTCTTAAGCCACAAACAATAGCATGAGCGATCTGTGCCTTAAGGACATGCTCCTGCTGCAGTTAACTAGCCCAACCTATTCCTTTATTTTGGCCCATCCCTTCGTTTCCCATAAGGGATACTTTTAGTTAATCGAATATCTATAGAAACAATGCTAATGACTGGCTTGCTGTTAATAAATACGTGGGTAAATCTCTGTTCGGGGCTCTCAGCTCTGAAGGCTGTGAGACCCCTGATTTCCCACTTCACACCTCTATATTTCTGTGTGTCTTTAATTCCTCTAGCGCCGCTGGGTTAGGGTCTCCCCGACCGAGCTGGTCTCAGCAATGTTGTTCAATTTTCACTAGTCTATAAGGCAGGCACTATTATTATCTGCAGGCACTATTATTATCTTCATTTTAATGATGAGAAACCAGTGCAGAGAGATATCTTATAATTTGCCCAAGGTTACACAGTTGGTACATGGTGGAGCTGGGAATCAAAACAATGGAATTTGGCCAAATTTCTTGTCTCTTAGGCTTAGGATTTTTCAAGGAAAACTGGGCTATTTAGTACGCCTTAGCAGCAAATGCAATCTTTTTCCTGTGTTTGAATTACAGGTTCTCAGTATTGACCTATTTTCTTCCCTATATGATCCTGTCCTGACTATATGTTAAGGTAAGTTAGATCATATCACTCTCCAGCTTAAAATCTCCCAAAGCCTCCCCATAGCACTTCAAATCAAATCCAAGTACCTTATCCTGGCCCACATAGTCCTGCATGATCTGACCCCTACTTACCTCTTCTACTTCATCTCCTATGGCTCTCACCTTTTGCTTTGCTCCAGCTATACTGGTCTTCTCAGCTCCTGTTGGAGGCCAAGTTCCTTATGACCTTGGGGCCTTTACACTCCCTGGAATGTTCCACCTCAATATTCACATGTCTGGCTTTTCATCATTCAGGTCTTAGCTTAAATGTCACCTCCTCAGAGAATCCTTCCCTGATCACTCAAACTAAAGTAGTCACCTAGACCCTTTCTATCATACCACTCTTAATTCTCCACATAGCAGTTAGCACCATTTAATATTTTCCATATCTATTTATTTGTCTCTCTCACTGGGGTGTTTATGTTATTCATTCAGCATTATATCCCAGCACCTGGAATAGTGCCTGGTGTAAGAGGAGATACTCAATAGGTATTTATTAATGAAATGGGTATATGCTAATTTAATAGTAAGGAAAAAAGGCACAAAACTAAAAAATTATATGACCAGAATAGTGGCTACTTACTGAATTGAAAATACATTATACTTGGATGGCTTATAATTACAACCCACAAATTGATTTCTGAGAGAAAAACAGTTAAGGAAAATCTCTTAAAATGAAACAAAAATGACTGAACTGCAGGATGGCTGAATAGGAACAGCTCCAGTCTGCAGCTCCCAGCATGATCGATGCAGAATACGGGTGATTTCTGCATTTCCAACTGAGGTATCTGGTTCATCTCATTGGGACTGGTTGGACAGTGGATACAGCCCACGGAGGGCAAGCCGAAGCATGACGGGGCATCACCTCACCTGTGAAGCACAAGGGTTGGGGGATTTCCCTTTCCTAGCCAAGGGAGGCCGTGACAGACTGCACCTGGAAAATCAGTACACCTCTGCCCAAATACTGTGCTTTTCCCATGGTCTTAGCAACTGGCAGACCAGGAGATTCTCTCCTGTGCCTGGCTCGGCAGGTCCCATGCCCATGGAGCCTTGCTCACTGCTAGCGCAGCAGTCTGAGACTGACCTCAATCAATTCGGGGCTCTCAGCTCTGAAGGCTGTGAGACCCCTGATTTCCCACTGCATCCTCGCGGGGGGGAGGGGCATCTGCCATTGCTGAGGCTTGAGTAGGTAAACAAAGTGGCCAGGAAGCTCGAACTGGGCAGAGCCCACTACAGCTCAACAAGGCCTACTGCCTCCATAGACTTCACCTCTGTGGGCAGGGCATAGCTGAACAAAAGGCAGCAGACAACTTCTGCAGATTTAAACATCCCTGTCTGATAGCTTGAAGAGAGGAGTGGTTCTCCCAACACTGGGAGGTACCTCCCAGTAGGGGCCGACTGACACCTCATACAGGCAGGGGCCCCTCTAGGACGAAGCTTCCAGAGAAAGGATCAGGCAGCAATATTTGCTGTTCTGCAATATTAGCTGTTCTGCAGCCTCCGCTGGTGATACCCAAGCAAACAAGGTCTGGAGTGGACCTCCAGCAAACTCCAACAGACCTGCAGCTGAGGGACCTGTTAGAAGGAAAACTAACAAACAGAAAGGAATAGCATCAACATCAACAAAAAGGACATCCATACCAAAATCCCATCTGTAGGTCACCAACATCAAAGACCAAAGTTAGATAAAACCACAAAGATGGTGAGAAACCAGAGCAGAAAAGCTGAAAATTCTAAAAACCAGAGCGCCTCTTCTCCTCCAAAGGATCGCAGCTCCTCACCAGCAACAGAATAAAGCTGGATGGAGAATGACTTTGACAAGTTGACAGAAGAAGGCTTCAGAAGGTCAGTTAATAACAAACTTTTCTGAGCTAAAGGAGGATGCTCAAACCCATCACAAGGAAGCTAAAAACCTTGAAAAAAGATTAGATGAATGGCTAACTAGAATAAACAGTGTAGAGAAGACCTTAAACGACCTGATGGAGCTGAAAACCATGGCACGAGAACTTCATGACACATGCACAAGCTTCAGTAGCCGATTTGACCAAGTGGAAGAAAGGATATCAGTGATTGAAGATCAAATTAATGAAATAAAGCAAAAAGACAAGATTAGAGAAAAAAGAGTAAAAAGAAATGAACAAAACCTCCAATAAATATGGGACTATGTGAAAAGAATCTGCATTTGACTGGTGTACCTGAAAGTTACAGGGAGAATGGAACCAAGTTGGAAAACACTCTTCAGGATATTATCCAGGAGAACTTCTCCAACCTAGCAAGGCAGGCCAACATTCAAATTCAGGAAATACAGAGAACACCACAAAGATACTCCTTGAGAAGAGCAACCCCAAGACACATAATTGTCAAATTTACCAAGGGTGAAATCAAGGAAAAAATGTTAAGGATAGCCAGAGAGAAAGGTCGGGTTACCCACAAAAGGAAGCCCATCAGACACAGTGCCTCTCTCAGCAAAAACCCTATACGCCAGAAGCGAGTGGGGGCCAATATTCAACATTCTTAAAGAAAAGAATTTTCAACGCAGAATTTCATATCCCGCCAAACTAAGCTTCATAAGTGAAGGAGAAATAAAATCCTTTACAGACAAGCAAATGCTCAGAGATTTTGTCACCACCAGGCCTGCCTTACAAGAGTTCCTGAAGAAAGCACTAAACATTGAAAGAAACAATCAGTACCAGCTACTGCAAAAACATGCCAAATTGTAAAGACCATCGATGTTATGAAGAAACTGCATCAATTAATGGGCAAATAACCAGCTATCATCATAATGACAGGATCAAATTCACACATAACAGTATTAACCTTAAATGTAAATGGGCTAAATGCCCCAATTAAAAGACACAGACTGGCAAATTGGATAAAGAGTCAAGACCCATCAGTGTGCTGTATTCAGGAGACCCATCTCACGTGCAGAGACACACATGGGCTCAAAATAAAGGGATGGAGGAAGATCTACCAAGCAAATGGAAAGTGAAAAAAAAGCAGGGGTTGCAATCCTAGTCTCTGATAAAACAGATTTTAAACCAGCAAAGATCAAAAGAGACAAAGAAGGCCATTACATAATGGTAAAGGGATCAATTCAACAAGAAGAGCTAACTATCCTAAATATATATGTATCCAATACAGGAGCACCCAGATTCATAAAGCAAGTCCTTAGAGACCTGCAAAGAGACTTAGACTCCCATACAATAATAATGGGAGACTTTAATACCCCATTGTCAATATTAGACAGATCAACAAGACAGGTTAACAAGGATATCCAGGACTTGAACTCAGCTCTGCACCAAGCAGACCTAATAGACATCTACAGAACTCTCCACTCCAAATCAACAGAATATACATTCTTCTCAGCACCACATTGCACTTATTATAAAAGTGACCACAGGTGCTGGAGAGGATGTGGAGAAATAGGAACACTTTTACACTGTTGGTGGGACTGTAAACTAGTTCAACCATTGTGGAAGTCAGTGTGGCGATTCCTCAGGGATCTAGAACTAGAAATACCATTTGACCCAGCCATCCCATTACTGGGTATATACCCAAAGGACTATAAATCATGCTGCTATAAAGACACATGCACACGTATGTTTATTGCGGCACTATTCACAATAGCAAAGACTTGGAACCAACCCAAATGTCCAACAATGATAGACTGGATTAAGAAAATGTGGCACATATACACCATGGAATACTATGCAGCCATAAAAAATGATGAGTTCATATCCTTTGTAGGGACATGGATGAAACTGGAAACCATCATTCTCAGTAAACTATCGCAAGAACAAAAAACCAAACACCGCATATTCTCACTCATAGGTGGGAATTGAACAATGAGATCACATGGACACAGGAAGGGGAATATCACACTCTGGGGACTGTGGTGGGGTCGGGGGAGGGGGGAGGGATAGCATTGGGAGATATACCTAATGCTAGATGACACATTAGTGGGTGCAGCGCACCAGCATGGCACATGTATACATATGTAACTAACCTGCACAATGTGCACATGTACCCTAAAACTTAGAGTATAAGAAAAAAATTAAAAAAAAAAAATAAAAAATAAAAGTGACCACATATTTGGAAGTAAAGCACTCCTCAGCAAATGTAAAAGAACAGAAATCACAACAAACTGTCTCTCAGACCACAGTGTAATCAAATTAGAACTCAGTATTAAGAAACTCACTCAAAACCACACAACTACATGGAAACGGAACAACCTGCTCCTGAATGACTACTGGGTAAATAATGAAATGAAGGCAGAAATAAAGATGTTCTTTGAAACCAATGAGAACAAAGAAACAACATACCAGAATCTCAGGGACACATTTAAAGCAGTGTGTTGAGGGAAATTTATAGCACCAAATACCCACAAGAGAAAGCAGGAATGATCTAAAATCAACATACTAGCATCACAATTAAAAGAACTAGAGAGGCAAGAGCAAACACATTCAAAAGCTAGCGGAAGGCAAGAAATAAATAAGATCAGAGCAGAACTGAAGGAGAGAGAAACATAAAAAACCCTTCAAAAAAATCAATAAATCCAGGAACTGGTTTTTTGAAAAGATCAACAAAATTGTTAGACCACTAGCAAGACTAGTAAAGAAGAAAAGAGAGAAGAATCAAATAGATGCAATAAAAAATGATAAAGGGGATATCACCACCAATCCCACAGAAATACAAACTACCAAAATGCCTCTACGCAAATAAACTAGAAAATCTAGAAGAAATGGATAAATTCCTGGACACATACACCCTCCCAAGACTAAACCAGGAAGAAGTTGAATCTCTGAATAGACCAATAACAGGATCTGAAATTGAGGCAATAATTAATAGCCTACCAACCAAAAAAAGTCCAGGACTAGATGGATTCACAGTTGAACTCTACCAGAGGTACAAAGAGGAGCTGGTACCATTCCTTCTGAAACTATTCCAAGCAATAAAAAAAGAGGGAATCCTCTCTAACTCATTTTATGAGGCCAGCATCATCCTGATACCAAAGCCTGGCAGAGACACAACAAAAAAAGAAAATTTTAGACCAATATCCCCGATGAACATCGATGCAAAAACCATCAATAAAATACTGGCAAACCGAACTCAGCAGCACATCGAAAAGCTTATCCACCACAATCAAGTCGGCTTCATCCCTGGGATGCAAGGCTGGTTCAACATATGCAAATCAATAAACGTAATTCATCGCATAAACAGAACCATCGACAAAAACCACATGATTATCTCAATAGATGCAGAAAAGGCCTTTGACAAAATTCAACAGCACTTCGTGCTAAAAACTCTCAATAAACTAGGTATTGATGGGACATATCTCAAAATAATAAGAGCTATTTATGACAAACCCACAGCCAATATCATACTGAATGGGCCAACACTGGAAGCATTCCCTTTGAAAACTGGCACAAGCATGCCCTCTCTCACCACTCCTATTCAACATAGTGTTGGAAGTTCTGGCCAGGGTAATCAGGCAAGAGAAAGAAATAAAGGGTATTCAATTAGGAAAAGAGGAAGTCAAATTGTCCCTGTTTGCAGATGACATGATTGCATATTTAGAAAACCCCATCGTCTCAGCCCAAAGTCTCCTTAAGTTGATAAGCAACTTCAGCAAAGTCTCAGGATACAAAATCAATGTGCAAAAATCACAAGCATTCCTATATATCAATAACAGACAGAGACCCAAATCATGAGTGAACTCCCATTCACAATTGCTACAAAGAGAATAAAATACCTAGGAATCCAACTTACAAGGGATGTGAAGGACCTCTTCAAGGAGAACTACAAACCACTGCTCAATGAAATAAAACAGGACACAAACAAATGGAAGAACATTCCATGCTCATGGATAGGAAGAATCAATATCGTGAAAATGGCACATTGCCCAAGGTACTTTACAGATTCAACGCCATCCCCATCAAGCTACCAATGACTTTCTTTGCAAAATTGGAAAAAAACTACTTTAAAGTTCGTATGGAACCAAAAAAGAGCCCACATAGACAAGACAATCCTAAGCAAAAAGAACAAAGCTGGAGGCATCACACTACCTGACTTCAAACTACATTACAAGACTACGTAACCAAAACAGCATGGTACTGGTACCAAAACAGATGTATAGACCAATGGAACAGAACAGAGGCCTCAGAAATAAAACCACACATCTACAACCATCTGATCTTTTGCAAACCTGACAAAAACAAGAAATAGGGGAAGGATTCCCTATTTAATAAATGGTGCTGGGGAAACTGGCTAGCCATATGCAGAAAGCTGAAACTGGATCCCTTCTTTACACCTTATACAAAAATTAATTCAAGATGAATTAAAGACTTAAATGTTAGACCTAAAACCATAAAAACCCTAGAAGAAAACCTAGGCAATACCATTCAGGATATAGGCATGGGCAAAGACTTCATGACTTTTTTTTTTTTTTAAGATGGAGTCTTGCTCTGTCACTCAGGCTGGAGTGCAATGGCATGATCTCGACTCACTGCAACCTCCGCCTCCCTGGCTCAAGCGATTCTCCTGCCTCAGCCTCCCCAGTAGTTGGGATTACAGGCACACACCACCATGCCCAGCTAATGTTTGTATTTTTCATAGAGACAAGCTTTCACCGTGTTGGCCAGGATGGTCTCAATCTCCTGACCTCGTGATCCACCTGCCTCGGCCTCCCAAAGTGCAGGGATTACAGGCGTGAGCTACTGTGCCTGGCCAAAGACTTCATGAGTAAAACACCAAAAGCAATGGAAACAAAAGCCAAAATAGACAAATGGGACCTAATTAAACTAAAGAGCTTCTGCACAGCAA
This sequence comes from Homo sapiens, assembly GCF_000001405.40. Taxonomy (NCBI): domain Eukaryota; kingdom Metazoa; phylum Chordata; class Mammalia; order Primates; family Hominidae; genus Homo; species Homo sapiens. The sequence goes on from NC_000001.11 coordinate 41,211,202, forward strand.
AAGAAACTATCATCAGAGTGAACAAGCAATCTACAGAATGGGAGAAAATTTCTGCAATCCGTCCATCTGACAAAGGGCTAATATACAGAATCTATGAAGAACTTAAACAAATTTACAAGAAAAAAACAAACAACCCCATCAAAAAGTGGGCAAAGGATATGAATACAGACACTTCTCAAAAGAAGACATTTATGCAGCCAACAGACACATGAAAAAATGCTCATCATCACTGGTCATCACAGAAATGCAAATCAAAACCACAATGAGATACCATCTCACGCCAGTTAGAATGGCGATTAAAAAGACAGGAAACAACAGATGCTGAAGAGGATGTGGAGATATAGGAACACCTTTACACTGTTGGTGGGAGTGTAAATTAGTTCAACCACTGTGGAAGACAGTGTGGTGATTCCTCAGGGATCTAGAAGTAGAAATACCATTTGACCCAGCGATCCCATTACTGGGTATATACCCAAAGGATTATAAATCATGCTACTATAAAGACACATGCACACATATGTTTACTGTGGCACTATTCACAATAGCAAAGACTTGTAACCAACCCAAATGTCCATTAATGACAGACTGGATTAAGAAAATGTGGCCCATATACACCATGGAATACAATGCAGCCATAAAAAAGGGTGAGTTCATGTCCTTTGCAGGGACATGAATGAAGCTGGAAACCATAATTCTTAGCAAACTATCACAAGGACAGAAAACCAAACACCACATGTTCTCACTCATAGGTGGGAACTGAACAATGAGAACACTTGGATACAGGGCGGGGAACATGACACACCAGGGCCTGTTGCGGGGTAGGGAGCTGGGGGAGGGATAGCATTAGGAGAAATACCTAATGTAAATGAGTTGATGGGTGCAGCAAACCAACATGGCACATGTATACCTATGTAACAAACCTGCTTGTTGTGCACATGTACCCTAGAACTTAAAGTATAAATAAATAAATACGAAACAAAACAAGTCGGGCACTTTAGTATTTGTAAGTCACTCTCAAATTCAACAGGATCATTACATAAAGGTAATGAGTGGATGGAAGGAGTTGGGAGACACAATCATGAATATAATTTTAGCTTTTCATTCCCTAGGAAGCAGACTCAGAAAAATAAGAATAAAAAATTTAGCTTTTCAAAGATTTTTCTGAATACAGTTCTTACAGCTTAAGGAAATCCATGTAATAAAAAGACATGTTCTATCTAATTAAAACTCATTTAAAAGATATGCATTGTGATGACAAAAGATTTTACAAATATGAGTACATACTTTACAGTACCAGAAAATAGGAAAGAGTGACATCAAAGAACCAGAAACAAAAATTTCTGTAACATATAATGGAGAACATCAATCAAAGCTGAGAGGCTCTAACCAAACATAGGCAAAAGACTGTATTTAATCCTTAGCCATACTAAATAGTCCAGTTTTCCTGAAAAACAAACCAACCACCCCAAGCTCAGAAACAAGAAACGGTCATGATAGAAAATATTGAGATACATGAGATTTTAAGACCATGCTGGCAACCCACTCTGTACACACAGAGCTTTTTAGCTGCAGTGTTTGCCACTAGGCACAAAATATGCAGCATCATTTTTTTAAATTAATTTTTAAAAATACATACTTTATTCCAGCTTGGGCAACAAAGTGAGACTCTGTCTGGAGGGAAAAAAAAAGATACATATTTTAACAGGAGAAAAAGACAAGGACTAATATAAAGAACCTACTATAAATTTGACATTAAAAAAGATTAACTAAAGGTATTCTCTGGAAAATGCAATGGATGATCTGTATGCCAGTAAATGAATCCATGCTACAAATAAGAGTGTAGGAACACGAATAGTACAGATAGATCCAAATAATAAATAACTTGGTAAATAAAATTCATCAGAGGTAAAAAGCAATGTAAGTTGTTAAAGTACAATTTAATTACAAATATTTGAAACATACTTGCATTCCCAGCCTCCAAATTAGTTACAAACCTTTTACAGAAAAGTCCCAAAGAATCAATAGAGAAATTTGAATACAGCTGGTGGGTAAAGGGAAGACACATAGATATGTGATATTTACAAGTATTGGTAAAATTTAGCTTGTGGCTATAATGTTTTTCATTATAAACCCTTTCACTTTTGTTGTATGTTTGTGATGGGCTTCAGGACATGGTAATCCCCAAATATTTTAAGCTGAAGGAATGTGGGAAAACAACAGAAGCAGGAAGGTAACCTTCACCTTCCTCCATCTCCTCCTCTGTAGCAGGACATAAAACCTTCCCAGGTTTTATGGGTTTTCTGAACTCTTCCAGAAGCAAGTCATAAGACCCTCATGTGACAGGTTCCTAGAGGAAAGGAGCCAAAGACACAGAGAGACCAAGAAGAATCTGAACAAACAAGTCTAAATTACCCCCCATTTATTACCATTAGATCATACCCGCTTTGTCCAATTCTATTGCTCCCCAATTATCTACTTCATTATCACATCTAGCATAAAAATATACAAGTTTAACTGTTTCTTCAGGTTTTCATTTCTTTATGAAGCCCTCTGTGTCACATAAAACTTAAGAAAACACTGATTATGCTTTTCTCTTGTTAATATGTCTTTTGCTATAAGGACTTTAGCCATGAACCTAGGACAGGTGAGGAAAAGACATTTTCCTCCCCTATAATTGCTTACATTTTTTTTTAAAAAAAACCTTTAAATTATTTCAGTGAAGCTGCTGTCTCAAAGCTCAATACTGGGCAATAGTGAAAAGGTAAGTAGGTGACAGCAAAGAGACTACAGAAAAACCCAACATGTATTGTTAGCATTGTTTTACATATAAAGACCATCTCATCACAATAAATCTAAGAGCTAGATGGTACTATCTCAATTACACACACATGTGCACATGCATGCACACATACATGCACACACCTGAGGCTCAGAGACTAACTTAACCAAGTTACTTGGGTATCAGTGAACATTAAGCCTGAGATAAAAATCTGTGTACAGGTTTTTAAATTGACCTGAAATCTAAAAACATTTATCATTTATTTTCTACAGATATCCAAGAAAGTGACTCTATCTCTGCTTTACTTGGGGTGGCGCTTTAAATAATGAGAGCAATGTGAAATATACTTTGCAAAATATAACAATATACAATAATTATACAAAATATAAATAACTTAAGTGTCAAAGTCCTTTATAATTTTCAACATTATCTGACTCATATTTTGTCTTACTTGAATTAGTTATTTGTATACACCTTTTACATTTCAAGTAATTCACTTGAAATTAGGATCTAGATCTGATTCATTTCTACATTCTTTGAAACAGGGCCTTGAATAGTAGTTATTTAATAAACATTTACCTAAGGAAAGAATGTGATCCTCACAATAAATATGCAAGATGGCTAGGACAACTGTTCACATTATTCTTATTAAATAGTTGCAGGATGGAGGCAGAACATATTCTGATGCTATTTCTCAGCTAAATAGCTCATTTGTTGAAACAGGGCTCCAATCTTTTCCCATTATACCCTGACTCAAAAAAAAAGACACTAACCCTGATTCTCCAATTGAGGGTCTGACAGGGTGTCCAAAGGAAAAAGCTTTAGTTATATTATTTTTTGAGTGTTTGGGAAATCCTGAAATATGGATCTTAATGTAAATATAAAGTGTTTGAAAATGTCTCAACTTCTGCTTCATTGCAACAGAATGGTAGAAGGAAAATGAAAGCGCTTCTTCAAAATGCTAAACGTAGTTATGTTACCTAAAACTCGAGAAAAACAGAATTTGAAATATAACAGCTAGCATTTATACTCAGCACTTTGGAACAACTCCATGTGTATGTTATTTTTTGTGATTTTTCATAATATCCAGTGAGAGATTACTATTATTTCCATTTCATTAATGAAGAGGCTTCAGAGACAGTTAAGTGTTAAAGTTAGTAGGTGGCTGAATTGGGATTTGAAACAACCTAAGTCATGCTTTTTGCAGTCTACTATGCTGTTCCTTACAGAGAATTAGTAAATAGCTTTCTAATTGGTCTCTCTCCACTTCCATTCCATCCTATAAAAGACAACCAGAATAATTCTTCTGAAATAAAAATTTGATCATGTGGCTTCTCTGCTTAAAATCTTTCAATGGATCCATGTACCCTACAAGATAAAATCCACCAGAACCCTTGGCACAGTATACATAACACTTCAAAACCTAAATCCTTTAAGATTTGGCCCCTTATTATGTCTCCATCCTCATCTACTTCTTCTCTTTACATTATTTTATTTTATTTTTCAGGATCTAGGGCTGACAATCTTCTCTTTACCTTCTTTCCCTAAGTTATTCCAAATGATTTGCAGTCCCTCCTCTTATCTGCAATGAGGCCCCTTTTCCTACTATGCACCCAACTCATCAACCTATAACCCATCCTTCAAATTTTAACTCAGAAATCAATGAGTCCCCTTTCTCAGCTTTCCTAGCTCCTTTCTCTAGATAATCATTTCCTCTTGTATGCTACATTTATATCTGACCCATACTTATGGCATTTAAATACCATATTAAAATTATTTGTTTACCCACCTTTTCTCTCTATTTGATAGTGAAGCCCTAAGGGATGTCTCATTCATGTTTACAACCCTGGGATCCAATATACTGCCTGACAGTAGCAGGCATCAGATCCATGTTTGCTGAGCTGAATTTAAATATACTCAGAAAGTACACAAATGTTAACATAGGATTTGGATATTACAAAATATAAATGTTTCAAAGGGGAAAAAAGCCTAAAACCCTTTCACTGAATTGTGTATCACAATGGCAGTTGCCCTGAAGGTCCCTGTTAGCATTCTGTGCCCCAGGTGGGTCTCCAGAAGGTTCATTACTTTCATATTACCACTGTGGCAATTTATTAATGAGCTCAGTAAAAGCAAGACAAATTGAAATGACAGCCCTGGCAACTAACATCTCTTATTTATCGCTAGAGCTAGTCTCTCACTAGCAGTGCCATGGATAAGCCTTCTTCAGTGCAAAACAATTTTTATGGAGCATCTTCTAAGAGATCTGCAAACACTGTGATCGGCACTAAAGAAAATCCAAATAAGTATAACTCCTCATTAAGGTAGGCAAAAGTTGTGTTCTTGAAAAATAACTCAATTGAAAAACAGCTATCTGTTAAAAGTTACAGTCAAGGATTCATTATATGATTCATCAATTATGGGTCAGCTGCCTATCTAACTGAAGTACCACCAGGACTCTTCTACCTTCACCATGATGAAGGCAGGCATTACAAGAATTTGCATGAGGAGGAAACCAAGAGCCACAACTAGGCATTCTGGCAGAAGAAGTCTGTAAAAGTAAAGCCTCCATCCCTGCAAAGGTTTGAAGGCTGAAGGCTTCCTGGCACCAGAGCATCCCTACTTAAGGCTGATCTCTTGAGATAAAGCCAAATCATAAGCTGTTAACATAGCAAAAGTAAACTTTACAGTACAACTAGACACAAATATGCTCTAAATGAGAGAAAGACAAATGGCAGGAAAATCTGAGGATGGAGGAAGATACTTTGTACTCACTGTTTTGCACCGATGACTATAGTACCTCCAGGAAACATCTCTATTTCAGTTTCCCAGGGCTGCTGTAACAAAGTACTCTAAACTGAGTATCTTAAAACAACAGAAATTTATTCTCTCATAGTTGTGGAGGCCAGAAGTCCAAAATCAAGGTGTTGGTAGAGTCATGCTCTCTCTGAAGATCCTTCCCTGTCTCTTCTATCTTCTAGTAGCTGCCAGGAAACTAATACAGATTTTGGTACCAAGAGTGGTGCACTACTCTAACAAATACTTAAAAATAAATAAGTGGCTTTGGAATGGGGTAACGGGTAGGGACTGAAAGAATTTTGAGATGCTTGATAGAAAAAGTCTAAATTTCCTTGAAGAGATAGTTGGTAGAAATATGAGCACTAAAGATGCTTCTGGTAGAGCCTTCAAAGGAAATGATCAATATGTTATTGGACACCTGGGGAAAGGCAATCCTTGTTATGTAGCAGCAGAAAACTTGTCCGAATTATGTTGAGCCACTAGGTGAAAAGTAGAACTTACAAGTGATAAACTTGGACATTTAGCTGAGGCGATTTCTAAGCAAAGTGTGGAAGTATGGCCTGGGTTCTCCTTGGTGCTTACAGTAAAATGTGAGAGGAAAGAAATAAATTGAGGAATGAACTATTAATATTAAGCAAAAAAGGAACAGCACTTGGTAATTTAGAAAATTCTCTGCCTATCCAGATAGTGTGCTCTGGAAACAGGGCCAGGGCAAGGGTATAGCATTTGCATGTGATTCACAAACCCAGTCAATCATCTCTGCAAAAGCCAGGAATAGAGATACAGTTATGTAGCAAAGATATGTGGAGAACATTCTTGTTAGATGGATTGGACCTGCATTGCACAGGAGACTGACAAGGTTTTTGAGAATTTCATACCAGCAAAAGTACTACCAGCCATAACTGAAATGGACAGAGATGGAATGATATGCAGGACGACTGGCTCTGAGGGCAAAGCCACAGATGGAGAGGTCTGGGCCAATGAGACATTCTCAGGCTAAAGTGGTAGGGCCACCCCAGCAGTCCAGAGGACAGAGAATCAAGCCAGAGAGAATTATTCTCAGGCTCTGAAATCTAATGCAGTTTTCCCTGCTGGGTTGTGAACTTACTTTAGACCAGTGACTCCTTTATTCTTTCCATTTTCTCCCTTTCATAATGGCAATGTCTTTCCTATGCCTATCTTACCATTGTATCTTGGAAGCAAATAGCAACTTGTTTTCTAGGCTTCAAAGCAGATGGGAATAAATTTTGTTTCAGGAAGGACTATACCCAGAGGCTCACTCATATCTGATTTAGATTATATAAAAAATGAAATTAGGAACTTTTTGAGTTGATTATATTTAGATGGGATTTTGGACTTAGAGTTGATGCTGGAAGGAGTTGAAACTTTTGGAGATGTTGGGATGGGGTGGATATATTTTGCACATGAGAAGAACATAAATTTTAGGGGGCCAGAATTGTGAACTGTGTTAAATTGTGTCCCTAAAATTGTGTACCCCTGGTACCTGTGAATTGCCCTTACTTGGAAATAGGGTCTTTGCAGATATAAACAAGTTAAGATGACGTCATTAGGGTAGGCCATGATCCAATGTGATGGTGTCCTTAAGAGTTAAAGACCATATGAAAACAGAGATACACAGGGAGAACACAATATGACATCAAAGCCAGAGACTGGAGTAATACAACTGCAAGCCCAGGAACACCAAGGACTGAGCTAGGAAAAGGCAAGAAAAGATTCTACCCAGAGTCTCTGAGGGAGCATGGCCTAGTTAATACCTTAATATTAGACTTCTAGCCTCCAGACTGAGAGAATAAATTTCTGTTGTTCTAAGCCAACTAATTTGTGGTACTTTGTTACAGCAACCCTAGGAAACTAAAACACCTCTTAATACTACCTAATATCTATTTAAGACTTAGTACATACCAGGCATGGTATTAAGTGCTTTACACTGGTGACCACATTTAAACCTCATCACAACCCCATGAGGAAAAGAAATAACTTTCTGTTAAACCACTCTTAACCACTACACTAAACTTTCTCTTATGTACCATGTGTTATATAATTTGTCTGGTCTTTGTCCCAGGTTCCTGGCACAGAGCTTCTAAAACCCCTGGAATTTTCCAAGTGATATAAATATCTTTGTTATTCATAAGCCCCTGGGATCATACCTTAGTTTCTGATAGTCAGATGGTTCAATATGTGGGCTAGTGACCAGAAGAACAAACCATATGATTAGAGGGCTGGGGCTTTGAACCAGCCCAACCTCTGGGGCAGGGAAGGGGCCTGAACATTGAGTTATCAATTATGTCTATATAATGAAACCCTAATAAAAACTCTTGACACTGAAGCTCAATGCTGCTTCCTAATTTGTGAACACACTGACATGCTAGAAGGGTGATGTGCCCCAATTCCATGGAAGGAGGGCACAGAAGTTCTGCAATTGAGATTCTCCCAGGCCTCATCCTAAGTGTCTCTTCATCTGGCTGTCCCTGATTTATCTTTTATAATAAGCCTGTAATAATAAGAACAGCACTTTCCTAAGTTCTGTGAGTTGTTCCAGTGAATTGTCAAACCTGAAAGGGATCATGGGAACCCCTCAGATTTGTAGCCAGCTGGTCAGAAGTATGGGTGGCCTGGGGATCTGACCTGAGACTGGCATCTGAAATGGGGCAAGTCTTGTTGGGGGCCATGCTCTCATAAACTTGTAGAGTCTGACTCTAACACTGGGTGGTTGGTGTCAGAACTGAATTGAAATACGTCAGATGTCATCAGAATAGTTGGGGTTAAAACAGAATACCATAATTGAAGTCCTATGGTAGCTCAGTATACTCAATAGTAACCAGTGTTTACTATCAAATAGAAAAACGTGGCCGGGCACGGTGGCTCATGCCTGTAATCCCGGCACTTTGGGAGGCCAAGGTGGGCGGATCACTTGAGGTCAGGAGTTTGAGATCAGCCTGGCCAACACGGCGAAACCGTCCCTACTAAAAATATGAACAAACTTACCCGGGTATGGTGGCAGGTGCCTGTAATCCCAGCTACTCGGGAGACTGAGGCAGGAGAATCTCTTGAACCTGGGAGGCAGAGGTTGCAGTGAGCTGAGACTGTGCCATTGCATTCCAGCCTGGGCAACAGAGCAAGACTCCGTCTCACAAAAAAAAAAAAAAAGTACTATACAAGATACAAGTCACTTGGTCTTTCAGATCTTTGACTTTCATATAACCACTCTTTCATACATTATATATTAATCAACATAAACTTCTTCTCATCTGTAGAATTGGGCTTTTCATTATTTCTCTTAAAAATAATAATTTTGAGCTGATGAATGGTGACAAGTCTATTAGAAAAAAGAGGTAAGGTACTTGCCAGGTATTTGGGGATTGGGACTTATTTGCTCACGCAAGGCAAGGACACAATCCCCAGTCGGAGGACCCATGGCCTGCTTTAATCACTCCTCACTGACCCATTATAGCAAGCACCAACTGCATTGTGGGCAGGCAGCAGTTGAAGGAGTTTTACCAGAGTTTATGTACATGTGTTTAGAGGAAGTACATCCAATTCCTTGACTCATGAAATAATAGTTAATTTTCCCAAATAATGTTATGTGAACTAAGCCCTATAAATGACTGAAATACATTTTACAGCCAACATATTTAGTGCAAAACCAATTCAAACAGAAAGTGATTTTCATGATGGTGATTTTTTAATGTCTCATCTCTAACTAGACTCTAAGCTCCTTGAAAGCAGGAACTATGCTTATAGCTATCTCTATCTCAAAAACCAACTCACCTGGATAGGAAACGAGGGGCAGATTCAGAGCACACAATTTGTTTAGCTTTGTTAACACATGTTACGGTGACTTCTACATGCTAGGCCAATGCTAGAAATACAGAAATGAAAGACGTGGTCCTTGTTTTTGACAAAAGCGCATAATCTAAAGGAGTCTGAAAATAAAGTTCATATCTTTTTAATGGAACATATCTTGTGCTATGTTTTTGAAATCTGAACAAGGTAAACTGGTGTATAAGAGGAGAAGAAAACCATGAAGCATACTCAGTCCTTTTCCAATGCCATCTTGACACAGGTTGGAACCAGGACTAATACCATCAACTTTTGGTGTAATGGAAAGCAGAAATCTTAGAGAGAACACAGATTATATCCTTTATCCTGGATTAATTACTTAATCTCTTTAGTCTCATCTTTTTTAATTGTCAAATGAGGATGAATAAAGTCATTTATTGGCATAGATTGAAAAGATTAAACAAATAGCATGCCTGGCCAAAAGAACAATACTAAATGGTAACCATTATCACTATTATTACCACCATCATCATCAATACCGTATTTCAAATTTCAAGAGTGCATGCAGTCACAAAATGACGAATGTTATATAATTCCTCTTATATGAGGTTCCTAGTGTAGTCAAATTCAGAGATACAAAGTAAGAGTAGTGGTTGCAGGGGCTGGAGGAAGTGGAAAATGAGGAGTTATTGTTTAGTGGGTACAGTTTTAATTGGGGAAGATGAAAGCATCCTGGAAGTGGATGGTGGTGATGGTTGCATAACAATGTGAATGTACTTAATGCCACAGAACTGTACATTTAAAAATGGTTAAAATAGGCCCAGCACTTTGGGTGGCTGAGGTAAGAAGATCACTTTGGCCCAGGAGTTCAAGACTAGCCTAGGCAACATAGCAAGATACCATTTCTACAAAAACAAAAAAAAAAGAGGATGAAATAATAAATTTTGTTATATATATATAACACACAGACACAAAATTCAATAGGGCATGGCCAAACGCTCATAGCAAAAAAAAAAAAGGCTAGGGCCCAGGCGCGGTGGCTCATGCCTATAATCCCAGCACTTTGGGAAGCCAAGCTGGGCGGACCACTTGAGGCCAGGAGTTCAAGACCAGCCTGGCCAACATGGCGAAACCCTATCTCTACTAAAAATACAAAAAAAAATTAGCCAGGTGTGGTGGCAGGCACCTGTAGTCCCAGCTATTCAGGAGGCTGAGGCAGAAGAATTGCTTAAACCCGGGAGGCAGAGGTTGCTGTGAGCCAACACTGCACCACTGAACTCTCCAGCCTGGGTGACAGAGCAAGACTCCGTCTCAAAAAAAAAAAAAAAAAAAAAAAAAAAAAGCTAGGAAACAAAGGACTGGAGATTGACATCATTAAGCAATCAAGCAATCAGTGATAAGTCTTGAGAGAGCAGAACCATCTACAAATGATATGAACAGATAAATAATCTTAAACTGGCAGCATTAAGTCAAAGAGATATACCTATATCTGGTTTTAGGAAACATTATTTGCATAATTCTAACATACTTTATGTGGAATACAGAGAAGGAATAAGACAAGCAGAAAGTGAGGGAAGGGAAGGAAGGGAAAGAAGAAAAGGAAACAAGGGAAGGGAAGAAGAAGAAAGAGAAAGCATGAAGGAATTAAACAAAGAAAGGAAAGGAGAAAAAGAAATACTGCAAATATGAAACAACTGCTTTAAGTGACTTGGTGCTTTGCCATAAAAATAGACAATAAAAGTGATAAAGTGATGTTGGTGAAGATAGGCAAAGAAATACTCTTTTGCAAAAGTTAAACAAAATCAAACACTGGATTTCCTCAAAATCTTTAGATTTTATAGTTATATACTTACAGCTATATAAGCACCTTTACCTTCATATAGGAAAAAAACCCTTGAAACAATTACTATACTAACTCTTTATAACATGAGGCTTCCTAGGAATGCACCTTCTATAATACAGCAAAAGAGACTGTACCGAGACATATCACAGTGCTAAGGGGAAGATGGCATTATGCCAAGGAACTCTACAGAAGTACTGCTTAGAAAATCCAGACACCTGGCACCCTAAAGCCTTTTTTCACTTGGGTATTACGGTCCACCAACAACTAGGTTGGTGGGTTTGGAGGCAGATTTTCATTTCTGGAAAGGGGTAATTCAAACACTCAAGAAGAGTCCTAGGCAGGTAATCTAAACAGAAAGTGAGAATGGAAACTGACATTGCATAATGGGACTGTATGATGCAGTCATTTTTCAAAGGATACTTCTGTTGAGATGAAGAATCCCTGATTTCTGATGATAGGGTAATAGGGAAAACTGGAGAAGATCCTAGCCCACATGAAATCATCTCTTTCATGAAGTGTATACATTTATATTATTGTACTATTTTGTATTATAATTTATTTGTCTGATTCCTCTACTAGATTATGAGCCTTGTGGGGTGAGGTTGCTTCATGTTTATTTCTTTATCCCCTAATCTGAATTTTCTGAGAATTAGTCCTAAATCCCTGTCGGATAAAATTGTGGGAGGTTTTGAAATGGGCAAGAGAGATTACTGCATATTCTATCAATGGAATCTGGAGCCTTCCAGGATTACCTGATTGTATAGAGATGTGTTACTTGGTCTCTCTTTAATTAGGCTATTTCACAGCTTTGTCAAGAAAGATGTCAGCTTGTTGAAAACTCACAGTAATGCAAATAATTCCTGTCCACTGAAATGCAAACTGTGCCCAGGTAATGCAATTGATAACTGTCCTATGGGTATTGACGAGTTTTGTCACCATTTGTGAATTAAGTTCAGCATTCCCTGACAATAAATATGTGGTACTTTGGGTCCTCTCTGAGCCATCTTTGTACTATCTTTCTGTTTCCCACATGGATTAATGAGTTAAAATTTTGTTCATTCTATATTTGTGTGAGAGTCGTAATTTTATCTTTTTTTTTTTAAGGAAAATTATCCCTCAATCATCCCTAACAAGTTTTAAATTTCATTTAGGGCAGGGACTGTATCTTTCAATGTATCGTAAAAATACAACTAGATTTGGAAAAGGCCTAGGTTTAATCGTTGCTCAGTAAGTACTGATTGTATATGATGCAAGCTAATTTCCAGCGCCATCTTTAATTCTCAGTGGTTCATATATCATATATTAGATGGGATTAATTCCTGCCTTGCCAACTTTCAAAGACCTGTTGTGAGAATCAGATAATAACCTGCAAACATTTGGGTAATCTATAAAGCTCCCTGCTCTGTCATTTGCAAGGCTATCAAAGTGGTTTTCCTACAACACTCAAGGGATAGTCTTTGTTTTCTGCTCAAAACCCTTCACTGACTCCTCTTGCCCACAGAATGACATTTAAACTCCCCAGGATGGTACAAAAATCATCCTCGGATGATCCAGCCCTTGCCTACCCTCTAGCCTCACCTTTAGTCAGCTCTTCTTAACCTTAATACACAGCAGTAATAAACGATTTATACAGTTCCAAACACTACATATGCTGACTCCTTCCATCTGGATCGCCCCCTCTTTCACCTCCTCAGTCTACCTAAAAAACGTCTACTCATCCTTTAAAACCTAATTTGCATAGAATAGAAGCTTTCCTCATACTCTCAGACAAAATCATTATCTCTTCCATGAAGTGTATACATTTATATTATTGTGCTATACTGTATTATAATTTATTTGTGTCTGATTCCTCTACTAGATTATGAGCCTTAAAGGGTAATGCTGCTTCATGTTTATTTCTTTATCCCCTGTATCTAACACATGGTGAGTGCTAAATACTGAATAGTTGAAATGAAATGTAAGGGATTAGTGATTATTGTATCTCCATTTTCCCTATAGCAACTAGCATAGAGTTAAGCATACACTAGTGTTTAGTAAATAATCTCCAATTACTATCATTTCTTATAATTATTACTATTAAACCCTAATTCAGGGTGGAGGCTAGAAAAGGGTGTGATGCTAAGGCAAAGGTAAATTGACTGATAATCAAACACTCAGGTCAATCTACTAGACACTTTTTTATAAATAACTTAATTCTCACAACAAACCCAATGATACAGGCATTAATATTCTCATTTTATAGGTGAATAAACTGAGGTACAAATAATTTAACTGGTGTAAAGTCATAGAGCTGATAGTAAATAGCACAAGTTCTGTTGTAGGGTTTACCCGCATTTGTTGTTTCTGGGGTTTACCTGCACTTTCATACCCTCCACTTCATTTGGCCCTCACAATTCTGCAGGGTACATAGGACAAATGTCAGTTGTTCCTTTATTACAAGTGAAGAAAAAAAGATTTAGAGACTTTATATGACTTATAAAGGTCACACAGCTAGTAATCACTGGATTTAGGATTAGAATATCTTGGTCAAATGACCCTAAATCTTATACTTTTTCCAGAGGGCAAACAGCTTCTCTTGGCAATAAGAGATTACTTAAAGGTCACTCATAAAACTGAAAGAGCAGACAAATTCAATTAAAATAAAACAAAACAAGGGTGCTATTTAAAGGATCAGATTCCAAACTTTTCAATCAAAACAATTTCATTAATAATTAATATAATTTCAAAATAACTTTTAACTTTCTCTCTGCACCTCCCAACACACACAGAGCTTTAATGCAAGTTCACACGAGAACCTGGGTAGGAGGTTCATTACTTGCATTTTCTAAGACACATATTTCAACTCTTAGTATATATGTCATACTCAATATCCAGGGATAGGTCCCCAAAGTGGGGAGAAGTGAGCAAGGAGGCAGTCATATAGTTTGCCTGAAACCAAATAAAATGCTTCTATTTTTATATCTGAGATATGTACAAATATTGATGACTTTCCCAATTTATCCAATCAACATTTATTGAGTATGTGTCAGTCCCCGGGCTAGGGAATATAAAGATAGACAGGACTAGAACCATGTTATGTGAGAAAGACAAGCAAATCCATTAACGATTAACAGAATGTAGTATGTAGTTACCATAGGTATGTTAAAAGTAGTGACCAATTCCATCCAAAGGAATTGAAGAGGCTTCACATAGGAGGTGACTTTTCAATCAGAACTTGGAGAATGCATCGTATCCCAGAGAGGAAAGTTTAGTTAATTCTAAGCAAAGGAAAGTGGAAAAGTAATAAGTAGTGAAAGGGCTTGTATGATGGCCTATAGAAAATGACAGGTGGTTTAAGAATAGGATCTATGGCAAGAAGCAGTGACTGAACTAGCAAACTGGGCTGCAATCAGATGAAGAATAATTTTAAATGCCATTCTAAAACACCAGGCAGACTAGCGCTTTTTAAGCCTTTTTTGGTCAAAGAACCATCTTCAAACAAATTGTTAGGTAAAACATAACAATAATAAAGACACAGCTTATCTGGTGAAAGGGGAGCAAGGAGGCAGAGTCCACCCTGCCTCACCTTGAACCTCCTGGTATCCCTGCACAGAAACCTTAAGTGGTGCTACTATTCAATGTGTGGTCTTCATAAGCAAAATGTTTGTTACCTGTTTGCAAAAAGTACAGAATTTACAGTAAATACTTGGAAATTTCCTACAGCAATTTAACAGAATAATTTTATGTCATTAAATCTTATAAGATTTTGAGGTTTATACTTCATCTTTACAAAAATTTCATCTTTCTAGTAATTCATTTTTATTACACTTACAAAATTATTAGTCTGAGACAAACAGAAAATAAAACTACCCTTTCACCACATATCATTTAAGGGATGATAAATGCCCTAGAATTTCCACAAATGATGAGATTTGTAACTTAGAAAAATAACTCTAGTGGCATTTTAGAGGGAAAAGACCAACTAGCAAATATAAAGCATAAGCAATATGAAAAAAATAGAAAATTTCAGATGACATAAGGATTACTTTTGTAAATGTTTAGCATCCGGCAAACAATGAATAAAGACTTTTAAGTTCACAGAAAAAGGCGAAAGTAGTCAAGAAAGGCTTAGATATGGAAGTAGATTTTTAGAAAGACATTAAGCCATCAAGGTCCAGACCTAAATTCATTTAGTCAACAAATATTAATATTATTTATTATATATGTTACATTATTTACTGAAATACCTACTTAAATACTAGGTGCTCAGGATACAATATTGAACAGAAGACATGGTCCCTGCTATTCTGACATATATTAATCAACCAAAAAATACAAATATGGCTTCATTTAAAAAACTATTATAAGTACTACAAAGCAAAGTCACAAGGTACTATGAAATGTGCAACATGGAGATTATTTTGAATAGATTCTGGGAGATCAAGGAAGGATTCCCTAAGGAAGTTATGTCTCCGTTGAAATCTAAACAATGAATAGACAAGGAAGGGGAGAGAGCATTCTAGGCAGAGGGAACAATCATAAGAAAAAACCCTGAGGTGGGATGGGCCATGACTAGCCCACAGAAGAAAGGGTGGTGCATAGAAAGCAGATAGTTCTGCATCCCCATCCCCCACCAACACTCTCACCACGGATCATGTTAGCTCTGCTGATTTAAAATCCTTCAGTGGCTTTCCATTGCACTGATATACAAATGACATTTTCCCTTGTGGTCTACATGACATGGAGCCTACCTTCTGAGCCTCATATGGTGCCATAATCCCCTAGCTAAGTTCCAGTCACATTGGCTCCCTTTCTGAGTCTTGAATATATGACAGTCTTTCCTGTCTCTGAGACTTAGCACATGCTGTTTGCTCTGCCTGGGAGTGTCTTCCTCTGACTTTTGGTTTATTCTTTCTCAGCTAAAAAATCACCTCCTCGTAGAGCACTAAACAACTGCCCTTCCATAGTCACTCTGTTTAAATTTAATGTAAAAATTATATTATTGAGCCTTTAATTTTAAAAGAAAGGAAATTCTGACACACGCTATAACACAGACGAACCTTGAAGACATGCTGAGTGATATAAGCCAGTGACAAGAGGGAAAACATTGTATGATTCTACTCATATGAAGTGCATGGAGTATTACAGTCAAATTCATAGAGACATAAAGTAAAATGGTAGTTGCCAGGAACTGGAGGGAGGGAGGAATGTATGCCATGGGTGCAACTAGCTGGGGCCTATGTCACAAGTGGTAAAGAAATTTACCAAGACAGTTATAGGTAAAGAAAGGCAGATTTGGCTGGGCGCAGTGGCTCACGTCTGTAATCCTAGCACTTTGGGAAGCCGAGGCGGGCAGATCATGAGGTCAGGTCAAGACCAGTCTGGCCAACATAGTGAAACCCCGTCTCTACTAAAAATACAAAAAATTCGCCAGGCATGGTGGTGTGCACCTGTAATCCCAGCTACTTGGGAGGCTGAGGGAGGAGAATCATGTGAACCCTGGAGGTGGAGGTTGCAGTGAGCTGGTGAGCTGAGATTGCACCATTGCACTCCTGCCTGGTCGACAGTGCAAGACTCTGTCTCAAAAACAAAACAAAAACAAAACAAAAGGAGGCAGATTTATTAGAGAAAGTATGAAAATATGTTGCAAAGGTGCAATAGGCAGCACAGCAGAGAAAGGGCTGTCTACAAAGAGGCAAGGACTGGAGGGAAGTTTTACAGGGTCATGCTGGAGGGGGCTATGAGGACAAGGTAGTTGTGCCAGTGGTTGTTTGTAATTAGCCGTCTCTCAGAACAATTGTTCATTGTTCTCCCCTACCTGTGGCTCCTTCCTCTTTGCTGCTTACTTATTGGGACTCCACAATGGGATGTATAATTATTGTTTAATGGATAGAGTTTCAGTTTAACAAAATGAAACAAGTTCTGGAGATGGATGGTGATGAGGGTTGCGCAGCAATGTGACTATACTTAGTACTGTTAAAAATAGTTGAAATGGCAAATTTTATGTTACATATATTTTACCACAATTAAAAAATAATTAAAGAAAACATTCTATAAGCTACATTAAGACCAGCAGGAAGCATATAAACAATGTAAGGAGCCAAGCACAGTGGCTCACGCCTGTAATCCCAGCAGTTTGGGAGGCTGAGGTGGGAGCATCACTTAAGCCTAGGAGTTCAAGACCAGCCCTGGCAACATGGTGAGACCCCATTTCTACAAAATAAAAAAAAAAATTAGCTGGGTGTGATGGTGCGCACCTGTGGTTCCAGGTACTTAGGAGGCTGCAGTGAGCCGTGATCACATCACTGCACTCAACCTGGGTGACAGAGCAAGATCCTGACTTGGGGAAAAAAAAAAAGAAAGGAATGTAGAGAGAATAGTATAATTATCAGACTTAAAATTTTAAATATTTAACCCTGAAAGCAACGTGGAAGATGATTAAAGGGGACCCAGAGCAGTTGTAGGCAAAGTGTTCAGATGCAACTGCAGTAATTCAGAAGAGAGATGACAGAAGCTTGGACCAGGTTGGTGGCAGTTAAGATTCATTCATTCGGAGGCCAAGGTGGGTGGATCACCTGAGGTCAGGAGTTCGAAACCAGCCTGACCAACACGGTGAAACCGTATCTCTACTAAAAAGACAAAAACTAGCCAGGCATGATGGCACATGCCTGTAATCCCAGCTACTTGGGAGGCTGAGGCAGGAGAATCGCTTAAACCCAGGGGGTGGAGGTTGCAGTGAGCCAAGATTGTGCCATTGCACTCCAGCCTAGGCAACAAGAGCAAAACTCCAACCCCCTACCAAAAAAAAAAAAGATTCATTAATTCATTTAACTTTTTAATGAATGCATTATATGCCATGCACTGTGATAGGAGTCACATATAAGAATAAGATTGGCAATGCGGCACTATTCACAATAGCAAAGACTTGGAACCAACCCAAATGTCCATCAATGATAGACTAGATTAAGAAAATGTGGCACATATACACCATGGAATACTATGTAGCCATGAAAAAGGATGAGTTCATGCCCTTTGTAGGGACATGGATGAAGCTGGAAACCATCATTCTGAGCAAACTATCACAAGGACAGAAAACCAAACACTGCATGTTCTCACTCACAGGTGGGAAGTGAACAATGAGAACACTTGGACACAGGGAGGGGAACAGCACACACCAGGGCCTGTCGGAGGGTAGAGGGCTGGGGGAGGGATAGCATTAGGAGAAATACCTAATGTAAATGACAAGTTAATAGGTGCAGCAAACCAACATGGCACATGTATACCTATGTAACAAACCTGCACATTGTGCACATGTACCCTAGAAATTAAAGTATAATTAAAAAAAAAATAAGATTGGCAAGACCCCTGCCCTCATGTCCTCATGGAACTTAACAAGTAAGCAAATAAATAATTACATGTTGTGATTAAGTGCTATAACAGAATTAACAGAGTGACTGTGGAAGGGCAGTCAGTATGGCCTCTATGAGGAGGTAATGTTTAAGAATGAATCAAGAGTCAGGGGAAGACTCTCCCAGGCAGATGAAACAGTATGTGCCAAGTCTGAGAGACAGGAAAGAGCTTCACATCTTCAAGAAATGAAATGGGAGCCAATGTAACTAGAACTTAGCTAGGGGATGGTGGCACTATGTGAGGCTAAGAAGGTAGTCTCCATATCATGTAGACCACAAGGGAAAATATCATTTGTATATCCAATGCAATGGAAAGCCACTGAAGGATTTTAGGCAGAGATATGATCTGATCTGTGGTGACCGCATTGGTGGAGGATAGGGTACAAAAGTAGACACACGAAAGCCATATAGGGGGTTGATATAATGGTCCAAAAGAAGAACTATGGTGGCTTAGACTAGAATGAAGGAAGTGGTGAGGGAGGGGTAGAAAGATTCTTTAGATATTTAGGATGTAGTCCTAAGGGGTATCAGCAATGAACTAAAAATGGAGAAAAGATAATTTAACAAATGATTCCCAGCCAGGCACCATCCCAGCACTTCAGGAGGCTGAGGCGGGAGGATCACTGGAGCCCAGGAGTTCAAGACTAGCTTGGGCAAGATGGCAAGACTTTATCCCTATAAAATAAAAATTTAAAAATTAGCTGGGTTCCATAGCACACGCCTGAGGTCTTACCTACTCAGAAGGCTGAGGGAAGAGGATCCCCTGAGCCCAGGAATTCAAGGCAGCAGTGAGCTATGATCGCATCACTGCACTCCAGCCTGAGCAACAAAGCAAGACCCTATGTCTTAAAAAAAAAAAAAAAATTAAAGAAATGATTCTCAGATTTTAGGCCTGAACAAATAGATGAATTAGGGGGCTGTTCACTGAAACTGGCAACAATGAGTAAGTATCAGACTTACTTAGAGAGCTTTTAGAAAATATTAATTCCTATGTTCTATCCCCTTAGAGATCCCAATTCAATATAATTTTTTTGGCACATGGTACTTTTAATTTTAAAAATTTCTCCAGGCGATTCTGATATTCAACAAGGTTTGGGACTTGCTGCTACAAACGAAGTTAACCAGAGTAGATTATTATTGCTTGCAAATTAAAGAACCCCATATGATTAGAAATTGGTTTGTGGGAGTGGCACAAATGATAGTCCCTAAAACACAGAATTGACTGGATCAAAGTTGAGAACAGAACAGTAGAATTCTATATACCATGTTAAGAGGTTGGCCGTCTTTATAATATGCTATGAGACAGCTGATCAAACTGTGGTCTATTTTGTACTGGGATTCACTATTACTAGGACTTGGCATGTTTTTGACACTATATACATAAGAAACTGAGGCAGAAAAAGTTCATATGACATCCACCTAGTATACATTCTGGCACATGCATCTATCAACAAACTGCAGTTTGTCAGTCATTATCAAATGAGTCAACTAAATTAGGCACATCATTTTATGAAGAAATATGTTTTAATTAAATCTCAAAGAAATAACATCTAAAATTAGAATAATTTTATTATAACTTTTTAAAAATAAACTTTTTCTATTAGAACAGTTTTAGATTTACAGAAAAACTGCAGATAGCTCCCATATACCCTGTACTATTTCCCCTACTACTAACATTTTACATTAGTATGGCATATTTGTTACAATTCATGAACCAATATTGATACCTTATTAACTAAAGTCCACACTTTATTCAGACTTCCCTAATTTTTACCTGAGATTACTTTTCTATGACAGGACCCCATCCAGTATACCATGCTACATTATATTTAGTCATTATGTCTTCTTAGCCTCTTCTTGGCTGACACTTTCTCAAACGTTCCTTGTTTGATGACTTTAACAGTTTTGTGGAGTATTAGAAATTTTATAGGCCAGGTGTGGTGGCTCACGCCTGTAATCCCAGCACTTTGGGAGGCAGAGGCGGGCAGATCACGAGGTCAGGAGTTCGAGAACAGCCCGGCCAACATAGCGAAACTCGGTCTCTATTAAAAATACAAAAAATTAGCCGGGTGTGGTGGTAGGCACCTGTAATCCTAGCTACTCAGGAGGCTGAGGCAGGAGAATCGCTTGAACCCAGGGAGGTGGAGGTTACAGCGAGCCAAGATCTCACACACCGCACACCAGCCAGGGTGACAGTGCAAGACTGTCTCAAAAAAAAAAAAAAAAGAAATTTTATAAAATGTACCTCAGTTGGGATTATCTGATGTTTTCTCATGATTAGACTCAGGTTATGGCTTTTGGGGAGGAAGAGATCTTAGGTAAAGTTATTATATCTGTCACCTAAATAGTAAAACCCACTGAGGGAAGAAACCCTATCTTATTCTCACCTTTTTATCCTTAGTATGTAGCTGGTAAAGGTTGAAAAACTGCAAACCAAAGGTTGAAGGGGTACAGAAATGTTATAATTTATTAAAATATGAGCACTGATCCTAACGAGGAATCTAGTCATATATCTGCTCAAATTAAAAAATAAATATGACTTTGATTTGCTAAACCATTTCATTCTTCTAACCAGGGATCTTTTGTTTGCCGACATTGTTTGGTGAGATAGAAGATATATTCAGACTAAAAATATATGTGTCAATTCCTGCAAGTAAACTTTGCCTCCTGTACTGATAAAGTCTCAGAATTACATAACACTGCTGTGGGGCACATATATGGTGAAATGAAAAGAGGACTGGGGTTGAAGTCAGGCTGGTCTGGGCTTGAAACCAAGTCCTATTACTTATAAACTGCATAATCTTGGCCAGCTATCTCTGAGTCTCAGTTTCTTTATGTATAAAATAGAGGTGATACTACCTATATGCAGGTGGGTAAAAATAACGTGTTTATACGTTTCAACATATTTGACAGATACTCAAAAAAGGTTATTCCCTTTTTTAGTACAGTACATTATATAGAGTAGGTCTGCTTTAAATACATTTTGGAATAAGGCAACATATGTATAAACAAACAAACACAGAAGATGCTGATTGTTACTTTCACAAATTGGATAAATGAATTCTGAAACAATTTCACATGCCTTTTGCTTTTTCGAGCACCTAATACATGTCTGCTATGTGGCAGCCCCTCAAATGTTTGATGATTCTTCCATCAGATATCCAGGACCAAGAGTCAAGAGAACCAGATTCCAGTTTTTGACCCTCGACAAACAAGTCCCTTCTTTAGGCCTCAGTTTCTTTACTGAATAAATGACCTAATAGTTACAGAACTTGAGAGTGAGAAGAGATCTTAGAAATCATTCACGGCAACTCCTTGCCTAAATCACAGAACCACTGAGTGGCAAACTGGGACTTGAATCAGGACTCTTAATCCCTATATATAAGCCATATATATATAAGCCATATATATATAAGCCATATAACTCTTTCCACATACCATGCAGCTTATAAGGTCTCTTTCACCTTCTTGTCTATGAAATATTTGGGATTGAACTACTACTGTTCTTTAGAATATCATCCCATTCTGAAAAATCCACTAAACTAGCAAGCTAAGTTTTATCTTTATCAAAACCAGAAAGTACAGAAGAATAAACAAAATTGTCACTATCAATCATAGTTACCTAAGAGTAACTATGACTATAGATAGCAGAAGATCAAAAGTCTTTCGATCATGTTAATATATCAAGTACTTAAATATGGAGATGATCTATTTTTAATAGTCCCTGATTATATCTTCTTCATAATTAAATGAAATTATAATCACTGGCCCACAGAACTGATAGACTGAATCACTAGTATTCTGAGATATCCATATCTCTATCATCCCGGTATTCCTTACTGTAACTTACAGCAAAATGATTTTTAAAAAAATATCCAATGATCTTCTCTTTTTAGGATTCCCATTTCATGTCTTTAGGGCCTTTCACACTGCTGACTATTCCTTTCTTTTTGAAACTTACCGTTGTTCTCTTGGCATCCAAACATCACTTTCTCCTGATTATGCTTATGGTATAGTGATTCAGAATATAACTTACTGCACAAGAGCACAGACTGTAGATCCAGACTGCCAGAGTCCAAATCCAGGCTCTACCACTTGCTATCCCTGTGATCTTTCACAGGTTACTTAACTTTGTGCTTGTTTAGTAAGTACTATAAAGGTATGTGTTGTTATTGTTCCTTAGTCTCTTCCTCTGCTGTGTTTCTTTAACCTCCACATATTCCACCTGGCAGATTCCACCCACTGAAAGGGGTCTTTACCTCTTCCTATCTGGAAGGGCTTCTTTCATCTCCTCACCCTCTATCTGGTGAATTCCTTCTCAATCTTTAAGATTCAGTTTAGGGCCAGGCATGATGGCTCACGCCTGTAATTTCAGCACTTTGGAAGGCCGAGGTGGGAGGATTACTTCAGACTAGGAGTTTGACAACAGCCTGACAACATAGCAAGACCCCTGTTTTTTTTCTTTCTGCTCTTTAAAATAATTCCACATACAATCATTCCCAATTTTGACAAGTTTTAAAAATTATCTGGGCATGAGCACACACCTGTAATCCTAGCTACTTGGAAGGTTGAGGCAGGAGGATTACTTTAGCTATGATCACAATACTGCACTCCAGGCTGGGCAACGGAGCAACTCTGCCTCTTTTTTTTTTTTTTTTTTTTTTTTTTTTTTTTGAGACACAGTCTGGCTCTGTCATCCAGGCTGGAGTGCAGTGGCACAATCTCGGCTCACTGCAAGCTCCGCCTCCCGCCTCCCACGTTCAAGCCATTCTCCTGCCTCAGACTCCGGAGTTGCTGGGACTACAGGCACCCGCCACCACACCTGGCTAATTTTTTGTATTTTTAGTAGAGACGGGGTTTCACCGTGTTAACCAGGATGGTCTCGATCTCCTGACCTCATGATCAGCCCACCTCGGCCTCCCAAAATGCTGGGATTACAGGCATGAGCCACCGCGCCCGGCAAAACTCTGTCTCTTAAAAAAACTTAAACAATAAAAAAGATTCAGTTCAAAAGTCATTCTCTCTCTCTGGAACCTTTCCAAATGTCACTTCCCTCCTTCTGCCTTGGCCATCAGTTGTTCCTGCCCTAGTGTTCCCATAGTACTTTGAATATGTTTCCACCACGCCAAGCTTATTTTTGTATTTTTTGCAGATACAGGGTTTCACCAAGTTGCCCAGGCTGGTCTCAAACTCCTGGGCTCAAGAGATTTGACCACCTTGGCTTCCCAAAGTGCTGGACTTACAGGTGTGAGTTACCATGCCCAATGCATTTTGAATATATTTCAACCAGAACATTAGTTACATTAGATTGAATAGGCCACTTGAATCTGCCTATATTAAATCATTTCAGACCTACAAAAACAGAAATTTTATGGTTCACTCTAATATTAGTGGTGAGTAAAAAATTTTATGATTCACCCTAATATTAGTATTTCTTTATACTTCTGCTGTCCCCTCCCTCCCTGTATTATGCTCATAACAAGAGTGGAATGCTATTTATTCTTTAAAAATATACATATATTTGGGAGGCCGAGGCAGATCACATAGTCAGGAGTTTGAAACCAGCCTGACCAACATGGTGAAACCCCGTCTCTACTAAAAATACAAAATTTAGCCAGGCGTGGTGGTGCATGTCTGTAATCCCAGCTACTCAGAAGGCTGAGGCAGGAGAATCGCTTGAACCCAGGAAGTGCAGGTTGCAGTGAGCCGAGATCGCACCACTGCACTCCAGCCTGGGAGTCAGAATGAGACTCCGTCTAAAAAAAAAAAAAAAAAAAAAAAAAAAGAAAAGTTCAGATATATAAAAGGCATAAAGAATAATTAATAGATACCTATATATCCACAACTCAGTTGAAAAATATTTACTTATTCAATTTAAGCTCTGTGTGTGCCCTTCTTTGCATTATTCTTGGTCTTTTCTCCCCAGCTTACCCTTTGGAGATACCTACTATCCTTAATTTGGTATTTATAATTATCATGTATTTCTTTATTACATAAGTATGCCTCCCTAAATAATACGTGCATGTCAAGCTTTATATAAATGTGTTCTGCAATTCACCTTTTTCATTCAACCTGTTATTTGTGAGATTTGCTCATGTTACTATATAGATCTAGATCACTCATTTCACTATTGTATGGAATTCTATTAAGTAAATATACCACAATATTTTCATTCTTTTACTGACAGGCATTTAGACTAGTTCAAATTTTTTGCTGTAGCAGTGTTGCATGAATATTTTTGAACATCCCTTTATGCATACATTGGAGAGTTTCCAAAGGGTATATACCTAGGAGTGGAATTGCTAGATTGTAGTTTATGTGTATTTTCATCTTAATAGATATTGTATAAGAATATATTATATCAGAAACCAAGGGTGTGTATAGCCAAAGAGCACAGGGGTTTTAAGAAGATGAAGAAGTAATGGTCCAGATATAGTGGAGAATAAAAAAATACAGTTATCTTCACCTCTCTTCTTTGGGATGGGAGGGGTGCAGGAGAATGTGCTGCATCCATTTAAAAGAGCTACAGAGGAAGTAGTATGTTCTCCATGACTCAGGAGATAGCCTGGCTTCCACTTAAGGCCAGGACACACAAAAAGACATCCAATAAAATGGTTAACAATGTAGGAAACAGGAGTTTGAGAGAGCAAGTGGAAGGAGCAAAAAAGCAGGGCTGGAAGAGAGTAAAAGGAAGCCAGGTCAAAATAAGAATAACAGTATGGAAGACAGACCGTTTGATTCTGGGACAAAGATAACAGGTGATAAGTCTTGCTGGGTTTATCTGGCGATAAGGTTATCAAAAGGTTTCAGGGCCCCCCTCTGCCCTTTGGATACCAAATTCCAGGGATGATCGGATCCCTACATAAAATCATATTTGCATATGATCTACACACATCCTCCTATGTATTTTAACATCTCTAGATTATAAAACCTAACACAATACAAGTGCTATGTAAATAGTTGTTATACTATTGTTTAGGGAATAATGACAAGAAAAAAGTCTGTACATGTTCAGTACAGATGCAACCATCCTTTTTCCATATTTTCAATCCATAATTGGTTGAATACACAGATGCAGAACCCATGGATACAGAAGGCCAAATGTAATTAGTTCTAGCAGTTTACGGTGGCTAGAGAGTTAACACTAAGGTCTTGGAATGCTGTGGTTAAATTCCCTCATTCACAGATGGGGAGAGAAAGACCCAACATTTGAGTGCCTGATATGTGACCAACATTATCTAAAGTACTTTGCACTTTATCTTAGTTAAACCTTACAGCTACATCTTCCTTCATTTTATAAATGACAAAGTAAAAGTGATCTGCCAGGGGTTGTGCGGTTAATTTTTAGTGACATTGAGGAACTCAGGTTTCCTTTAAAATCCTAATCAGTATGGCGGAATAAAAAAGACAGAATTTGAAATTAGAGCTTCTTCGGTCACTTTCTACCAGTGAGATCTTGTATGTTTCTTAACCTCACGAAGCCTATCAATCAAATAAGATTACTGCAAAGATTAACCTACAACTACAAAACAAATCTTAGATTTTTTTAACCTAAAATTGGCCTACACAGGAACTTCTTTTCAAGTGTGGAATTTCTTATTTCGTTTATTGCAAACAAAAATTTGAAGTTTCTGAATTGATGCCTATACATTTTACAGATAGTAAACTGAGGTAGAGAAAGAAGACATCCAATGTGTGGCTCCCTAATGTATCCAGAATCAACTCCAAACTGCATCACAGTTTCGGATCTTTAATACCAATGCCCCAGCCCATCTCTCTAGCCATATTTCCTACTATTAGCTTTTACAAATACAATACTCAAACCTGTGGTAGCTATTTTTAACAAAGATACCATACCCTATGCTTTCCCTATTTTATATATCTACCTAAATTATTTACTCTATTGAAATTTGTTCATGGCCCAAGTAAAATTCATTTTGAAATGAAGCCCAACCTTGTTTCCAAATGCTTAGAAATGACAGCTCCCTCCTCTGAACTGCTTTACCACTTTGCTACTACCTCCCTTAGAGTACTCACTATGTTCTATTTTATAACTTAGGTAAGCATGTAAAAGGTTCATTTCAGCTAGCAGAGCATAAGCCCCTTAAATGAAGGAAGAAAGGAACTAATATTTACTTTGTATCTATGAATCACCAATCGCTTGTGATTTTATGTGGTATGTGTGTATATATTTTTTCATGTAATATTTGTGATATCCTATGAAGTATAAATTTTTTACAGATAAGGACACTGAAGCTCACAGAGGCTAAATAATTTGTTTACAGTCATAAAGCTAGTAAGTGACAGAGTCTAGATCTGAATTTTGGTGTTTCTAACTCCAAAGCCTAGGCTCTTTCCACTATACTCTGTCTAGAAAACCATGGGTATATCCTCACTGCTTTATCTGATTGTTCCCTACCCACCCACTAATGATCATCAGAGGAAAAAACCTCCACTGCCCTTTGTCATTAAGTATTAGCAGAAAGGATTCAATATGAGGTATGTGCCCTCCCACTTTCCAAGACTAAGAACAGACTCTTCAGAGCAAACAGAATGATTAATATGAGTCCTGAATAAAGATAGAGATCAGAACTCTGCTTCCAGGAAGGAAAAGTAAAAAAACTATTACCTTCTCACTCTTGTGTTTAAAAACCCCTCCTCCTTCAAGGTTTGCACCATCTGGCTATATAACTCTCTACCCCACCTCCTCATCTGTCATCTACCACCCTCCTGATTAATCCCCTATCTTTACTGCACCTGGGTCACATCTTTCTCTCTTCCCCACATCCCATCATCCTCAATCACTTCACTCTCTACACAGATGACTCATTCAATACACTAGCCTCCAAATTCCTTGTCATACTCAGCTTTACTGACCTTCGCCTCTGCTGTATTTTAGCTACCCATACACAGAGACCTCGCTGTCACCTAGAACAGTCCCAATATCAGACAACTTAACTCCGATATTCCACTTTCTGACCACACCTCTTTTTTTTCTCAGCTTACTTCCACTATATTTGCTCACTGATCTAACTCAAGAAATTGAAAATCTTCAAGTCCAGAATTGAACTCATCATCGTTTCCTGTCTCAGTTAAAATTACCAACATATCCTCCTTAGTCATCCAAGGCAAAAACCTGAGCATCACACGGGACTCCTCACCCTCTCACCTGCACATACAATCAATCATTAAAGCCTTATACATTTTCTCAGATTCATTTCTTTCTCTTCATCCCTATGACCACATTTTAAAAATGTTACTTCAACCATGTCTGATAGACACCTTCCAGTGATTAAATAAAAATAAAAAAAAAACACCTACTGAATTGATTTTAGGATACTTATGCATACAAGGTCCACCACGACATGGCCTCTGACTGTATTTCCAGCCTTACAACTCATCACTTATTGTTATATTCCTAGCAGTCCCAAACTGTTTGTGGTTCTCTACGCAAGCCATTCCTTTTCTCACATTGATGCCTTTGCTCAAGCTGTTTTCTCTGTTTGAAGGACGCTTTCTGCTCATGTTTGCCTCACTTACTCCTACCTACCATTTAAGATTTGGGTCAGATATCATCTCTTCCCAAAGCCTTCCTTTAACTCCTAGGCTAGTCTAAGTGCCCTCACCTTTGGGCAACCTTTACTCTCACCTTGTATATCTCAGCTATGCGTAGTTCTCATCTTTTATTCTGAGATAATCTATTTAAGCATCTAATTTACCAGCTCCACAAGATTGGAAATCTTTGTAAACCCAGCTGAGCACAGTACATAGCATAGTGCTTGACCCATAGTAGGTACATAAGTGTACAGTGAAGGTTAGAACATACCAATTTTCTTTTCTTTTTTAAAAGATGGGGTCTCATTCTGTCACTTGCTATGGCGTGATCATGGCTCACTGAAGCCTCAAACTCCTTGACTCAAACGGTCCTCCTGCCTCAGCCTCCTGAGTAGCTGAGACTACAGACATACACCATCATGCCCAGCTATATTTTTATTTTTATTTTTTGTAGAGACAGGGTCTTGCTACGTAGCCCAGGCTGGTCCAGAACTCCTGGCCTCAAAGAGTTGCCTGCCTCAGCTTCCCAAAGTGCTGGGATTATAGGCATGAGCCCCTGCATCCAGCCCTAAGTTTAAATTTTCAGTGGGATATTCACATCAATTCTTTCTCATAGTTAAGTATCCTCTACCTTTCACTCCAAGTCCTTTGCAAGGAAGGAATCAGGGCCTTTCCTCTGGATCTGTATAGTTCCATTGAGAATGGTGCTATGCAAATGTTTACCCAACTTACATAAAAGGGAACAACATTTGCACAAACATACCTAAAATCAAAACTTGACATATGTGCTACAAAGTTCAAAACTATTGACCAATTTAAAAAATGAAGGCTTAAGAACAAAAATAAAGAACCAATTCTGACTGCTGGTATGTGCTTGTCTAAGTTGTAAAAACACTGAAACTTTGCTTAGTACTTAAACAGGATCCCAGATGTAAGAGCCTGGCCTTTTATCTACAAGGCCATCTCATCTCTACTGGGCTTAAAACATTACTAACCTGCAGAGTTGCTTAGGCAAGAGTTTAGGAGGTTGGTAAGTAAGCAACAAAAAGTGTTCTCTTTCATAGTAATTTTGGGCCTCCTGCTGGCAGTTAGAACTAGAGCAAAGAGTTCAATGTAATAAAGCATTTCCCTCTGCAACCAAATATTAAAATTGCAGTTTGGCACTAAACTAGGTCTCAATCCTTTTCAGAGTTTAAAAAAAAAAAAAGAGCTATTCTATTTGCCTGGCACATTACACTTCAACAAAACATTTTGATGTACATTAGTTAGCAACATTTGATAAAGTGTTTATAGACATTTTTTAAAAGGAAGGAAACCCCCAAATTTCCACAAAATAAGATGTCTTTTAGTTTGTTTGAACAAACACTACTAAATGTTTTCTTTTTTTTTTTTTTTTAAGTTCAAAATACAGTACAGAAATGAGGAAGGGAATCTAGAGTACTTTTGATTTAAGCAGGTCAATCCTTGGGGCTGTTTCTTAGAGAAACTTACTACGTTTTGTCTCCAGGATCACTTTTAAGAAACTCTCCTTTAAGGGGATGGGGGAAACTAAAGCTCATCCAGAGGACAGTTTAGAGAACCACAGCAGATGAGAGACAACTGAAGAAAGTGGAAGTGAAGACTCAGGGGACATGATTACTATCTTCAGATATCTTAACAGCTTCCCATAAGGGAAAAGAACTAGGAAGGATGGGAGCCAGCTGTTTCTTTCAACTTATAACCAAATGTGTCCAGGAACAGAATGGGTTTCCTTTAAAGAGATTCGCTTCGGATCACTGGAAGAGGTTCCAAACGGGCTCGTCAAATTATCGGGGGGATTTGGGGATTTTCAAAGTCACTTTGGCATGGGATGGGAGAAAGCGCCCCTAGATGACTTTTAAATTCTCTTCCAGTCAGGAGATATTCCGGGGTTCACCCATCGGCTGGATACCACTTTCGATGCTCTCGGGCTGGCACACAACTGTGCCCACGTGTCTGGCCCCCAGGGCCGCTGTGGCTCACTTCGGTGCGGGGCCGCTCTCCCTGCCCGTTTCCGGCGGGGCACTGGGGCAGGCGGCACACGTGAGTCGGCCAGCCGGGGCCCAGCCCCCAGGACGCTGCTGACAGCTCCGGGCCCTAGGCGCCCCAGCTCTCGGTGGGGGCCACGCCGCCCCGTCGACCTCTGTCTCTGCCTTCCCCGAACCGGGACCCGGCCAGCCAGAATCACAGGCATTCCCACCTCTGGCGCCGGAGGGGACCGACTGACCCGCGCAGACGGGGTCGCGCCGCCGCCCGGCCCTCGGCCCCCAGCCAGCCTGCCCCGGCCCACCCGGCCCCGCCGGCCAGACACGGCGACCTATACGGACCGCCCCCACGCCGACCCTCCAAAGGGCCCCCGGCCTTGGGTTTCCCGTGCCGGGGCCCCCGGGCAGTCCTGGCGGCGTCAGGGCCGCGACCGGACCGTGGGCCCCGCCCGCCCGACCGCAGATGCAGAGCCGGCCTCCGGGCTCGGGGCCGGGCTGACACGGCCGAGAAAGGGCCCAGCCCCGCGCGGACCACAGACTGGCAGGCCGGCCAGACAGACGGACAGGCTGACCCCGGCCCGGGGGAGCAGGCGCAGCGGCTGCGCAGGTCCCGCCACCGCCTTCTGGCCCCAGGCGGCCCCTCAGGGCACGAGCTCTTAGGCGGGCGGAGGCGGCCGCGAGGCGCTTACCTGAGGGCGCGGCGGGGGCGCGGGGCGGCTCACTCTCTTCCCGCCGCCATGTTTCCGCTGCGCAGGGAGGGAGCGGAGACGCGGGAAGGGGGCGGGCGGGCGGCTCGGGAGAGCGGCGGGCGGGCGGCGGGGGGCTCCACCGAGCTGGCGGTGGCGGCTGAGGCGGGGGGCGGGGCGGGGGCTCCCCCGGCCCCTCCCCCGCGCCTCCCGCTGCGAGGTGGCGCGCGCCTCGGCCGTTGGGCTCGCGCGGGGGGCGGGGCGGCGCGCTGGAGGAGGGAGGGCGCGCGGGAACCCGGCCCGGCCGTACCCCGCCGGCCTGCCGACCCGGGTCCGGGGGCCCAGTTGGCGCCCGGACCAGCTCTCCGGTCTGCGTCCTGTAGATGGGAAAACTGAGGCCTGAGAGGGCGCGAGGGCGGGGACGAGGCCGAGGACTCGGGTTCGAATCTCGAGGACGCCAGTAGCCCGCTCTGAGGCCGCGTGGGGCTGGTGGAGGAGCCACCGGTCGGGCCCCCAAGACCGGCTGACGTGGGCCTCGCCTCGGGCGACTCCCGCCGGGCTAGTGGCTGGCCGTGTGGTGACCTTGGGCGAGTTACTTCGCACAGCCACCCAGGGGCCTCTTCTCCAACACGATAGCACTGCACCCGGAGGGTAGGTGAGAGATGAGTTGGTGCTTGGATGCCCTAGGGAGTGTCAGCGTCCTCGGTCCTCCCTGTGGTGATCCCTTCAACGAGTACGCACTGAGCCCGTGATGGGCCAGGTACAATGCACAGGCTCATTCTTCCAGGCCCACCAGCCATGTTGGCTACACAATTCTATTTTTGTTTTGTTAGAGATGGAGCCTCACTTTGTCCCCAAGGTCGGAGTGCAGTGGCGCCATCATAGCTCACTGTAACCTCAAATTACTGGGCTCAAGTGATCCTCCTGCGTCAGCCTCCCAAAGCGCTGGGACTACAGGCGTGAGCCACTGCGCCTGGCACACAATTGGTTTAACCACCACATCATTTTAGCAGCTTAGGAAACTGACGTCTTGACTTCTGTTTTGGCTGCTTGAAAATACAGTGCAATATAAATCCCGAGACCTCTGCTGAGCTGGATGTGGAGTGGGTGTGGGCATCATTTAGAACATGGCAATCCTCAGGTCACACAGGAATGTCTTGTTAATGATCCTTCTGTGAACAATGTTCCTTGGAGGGAAGTCCACTTAAGCAAGGCTGGAGCAGCAGATGGGGCAGCTGAGCCTGGATTACTTGCCTTGCCTCTAGAATAGGTCTTAGAGCTTTGGACTGAAGGGGGGCCGCCTCCTTGTATCCTGGTATTGGTGTCAGTATCCGTCTGCCCATTCTTGAGAAATGGAAATGGTCAGAATCTATCCAGGTTCTGATCTGCATCCCTGTTGTCTAATTTAAACTTTCATTCCATGGCGTTTTGGGGAGTACCTGTCTCATGAAGAGCCCTGAGGTTACAAGGATAATTAGAGCCTAAATCTAAGGAGCCCATATTTGGGGAAACTATTATGTCAATAGCTAATGAGAGCACAGTGTTGTAAGTGCTCATATTAGTTTTCTATTCCTGCATAACAAATTGGCACAAATTTTGCAGCTTAAAGCAACACCCATTGATTTACTCACAGTTGTGTAGGTCGGAAAACTGGCATGGTGTGGCTGGGTTTTCTGCTCGTGGTGTCATAGGCTGAAATCAAGATGTCTAGCACCTCCACGAGGGAAAGGTCTGCCCCAGGCTCCTTCGGGCTGTTGGCAGAATTCATGTCCCTGTAGGACTAGGATCCCACAGCTACACTGTTTTGCCAGCTCTCTGTTGGGGACCACTCTCAGGTCCTTGCCACGTGATCCCTTTTATCTCATCAACAGAGAACCTTTCTCATGTCACTCCCTCTCATTCTTTAAATATCTCTGATTTCCCTTCTTCAACCAGTCAGAGAACACTATGAGCTTTTAAAAGACTTGTAATTAGGTCAGACCCACCTAGATAATCTTCCTACTTTAAGATCACCTGTGCCACATCACATACCCTAATCACAGGAGTAAAATTCATCATAGCCACTGTCCCAGGGACTATGCAGAAGGTGTACATGAAGGTTAATCTAGGAAGCTACCTTAGAATTCTGCCTACTACGTCCAGTGAGAAATGTTCTCTTGAACATTTTCTCTATGAATTCCCCTAGCAGTTTGTTCTGTAACTCTGTCCATGGCACCATATATGTTGCCATTATTGGAGTATATTTCTAAACCTCTTTTCTAGGCTGAAAGCGTCTTGAGATCAGGAACCTTATTCACACCTGTAGCCTTAGATAAGGCTTGGCATGAGGGAGATATTCCCACATCTGCTAAAAATAAATAAATATTATGCATATTGTCCTTTGGATTCCTGCTTTTTTTTTTTTTTGAGATGGAGTCTCGCTCTGTCATCCAGTTTGGAGTGCAGTGGCATGATCTCGGCTCACTGCAAGCTCCATCTTCCGGGTTCACGCCATTCTCCTGCCTCAGCCTCCTGAGTAGGTGGGACTACAGGCGCCTGCCACCACGCCCAGCTAATTTTTTGTATTTTTAGTAGAGACAGCGTTTCACCATGTTAGCCAGGATGGTCTCAATCTCCTGACCTTGTGATCCGCCCTCCTTGGCCTCCCAAAGTGCTGGGATTACAGGCGTGAGCCACCACACCCAGCCTCCTGCTTCTTTTTTAGATCCAGCTCAGAACTTCTCTGACACTTCTCAGGAAGAACTCATTTCTCCCTCCTCTCCACTGTCACTTGGTAAAAATCTCTGTGTGAAATGTTTCCCATTGTAGTATTTTAAGTCAGACTGTAGTTTCCTTGAATATAGTACTTTGCTTTTATTCCACTTAATATTCCAGGGCACAGCATAATGTATTAACAGTTCTGTGCTGTTCAATTAAACAACTAATTACACATGGGTGTTATTAGTTGCTTAATGTTTGGATTTTAATAAGGGGGGTTAAAAACCAAGAGGCAACTGGAGAGTGGAATTGGGCTATGACAGACCCTGTGACCTTTGGGTTACAGGTGTGGGGAAGCCAAGAAATACAGAGGCAATGGAGAGGGAAGAAATAGGCAAGTTAATCAGGATGTAATTTTTTTTTAAAGGAGGTATGCTAGGAAACCCCAGGTCTGCTCTTTTCTACATTACATTACAGCAAAAAGGAGTGATTATTCTGGCACTGACAGAACTGACAAAAACAGTAGTTTTTGTTTTGTTTTTTGTTTTTGTTTTTTTTCATGTTGTTGATGACCCAGTAGAAGAGTTGGTAAAGGAAATGGGAAAGATGGTTTCTGATGCTTAAAGAAAGTATGTGTGTTGCGGGGTGTGGGGGGGATGCATTGAAATACATAAGAGCCTTCACCACATTAAGTCCTACACATCAATTAAGACTACCTTCCCCAGGAACTTCCTCTGATACCTTCTCTTCCATCCTCACCCCAGGATAAATTAAATGCCCCTCCTTTCGCTCTCCTTGTAGCCTGGCACCTTCATTCATCATTGCATTTACTAGGATCTGTGCATATCATTTTCATTTATGCTTATCTTTCACCTGACTGTAAGCTCCACAGATTGGAACTCTGTCTTTGTTCTTCATTACATCCACAGCACCTCGCACCATACCTGGAACACATTTGGTGATCAGTCTATATTTATAGAATGAATGTGCACAGTAGGACCCTTTCAGACCCAAGCCACAGACCAAAGAGGCAACCTCCTTATTATCTGCCTTGTGACCACAGGGCCCCACTGGCTGTTCAGATTCAGACATGTGCTGAGCCCAAACCTTGTTGTTTATCTAAGACGCTTCTGCTCTTTCTCCTCTTGTAAAATACAAAGTAAAAATAGTTCCAGGAAGCTGTGTGGTTAAGACATTCCAGTCTCTGAGCTCCTAGATAAAGGCTGTTATTGTTAGGAAGGTGGTCATTAATCCAACCTGCCTTTTCTGTATGCTTTGGTTTCACACCCTTCTAAAGGTACTGATTCTTTGTCCTCAGTTTCCCTTAAGCCTGTCACTAGCCGGTAACTGGAAAAAATAATAACTTTACAGCAGTTGATGTACGAATGATCTAAAGGTATCAGTTGATCACAAGTTTGCTTTATGCTCTGGAATTGTGACTTTAACTTATTCTCAAAGTGCCTTACCAGATGGCTTATATCCTCATCTATAAAATGGAAGAAATGACACCTACCTCACCAGATTATTGAAGACTGAAAGAAAATAAAGTAGAAAGACCTCCTGGCACACAGTAATGGCCAAGAAAACGTCATAGATTGGAATCACAGTTTGGAATCCCCTCACTTTGTTCTGCTATGGCCAGACTTTGGGCTATTGAGTTTGTCCTAGGCATTATATTTTAAAAGAGTGATGTTGACAAATTATGACCCAGAAGCAAATGACCAGATAAGGAATCTGGAAATCAGACTTTATAAGGAGCAGCTGAAAGGAGTTGGGAACATTTAGCCTGCAGAAGAAATAACTACTAATGGGAGTAGAGTGGGGTAGGGCAAGGCCTTAGAAGGGTCTTCAGATAATTGAAGGGCTAACATGTGGAAAAGGATTAGGCCTCAATTCTATTCCACACATATCTATGGAACTCCTATTATGTGCCAGGAACTGGGAATGCAAATAAATGTAAAGTACAATCCGTGTCTTTAAGGATCTCAGTCTACAAGGGACCATGACAATGCAAAAAAGGCTATTACAGAGGACTTTGCAATGTCCTCTGTAATATGGAGAAGGCAGAGGAGGGTTCATTGAGCCCAGAGATACTGGGGAAGACTTCACCAAGAAGGTGACATTTGAGTGGACCTTAAAGGAAAACTAGGACTTTTTTAGGCAGAGAAGGAGGGGAAGGACACATAGGCAGCAAGTACAGCATGAACAAAGACAAAAAGGCATCCTCATGGAAAACCTAGGATGCATCGGAAAAGAAGAGGGAAGTGAGCCTGCAATATTTGACTGGAGCCAGATTGTCAAGGGCCTTGATTATTAGCTAAAGAGCTTGGACTATTTACCTTGAGTGGGTATTGAACTATTTACCTTGAGTGGGTATTGAAGAGCCATCAAAGGCCTTTAAGCAGATTTTTATTTTAAAAGGAAATCTCTAGCACAGCTTGCTGAAAGAGCTACACTGAAGAGAGATAGGAGGCAGGGAAGACAAGGCCTCTCAGCATACCAAAGAGAGTCCATGGACTTGACTCTTCCACTGACCATGGGTAAATTTGGGCACATTATTTAAACTTTCTGAACTATTTTTTTTTTTTTAGTTTGTAAATTGAACATCTACTTTATAGGGATGTTTCAGGAATCAAGTGAGGTAACATATCCAAGACTCTCACATGT
Organism: Homo sapiens; assembly: GCF_000001405.40. Lineage (NCBI taxonomy): Eukaryota > Metazoa > Chordata > Mammalia > Primates > Hominidae > Homo > Homo sapiens. The sequence goes on from NC_000001.11 coordinate 41,247,420, forward strand.
GTCTGGTACACAAACGGTGCTCAGTAAGTGAACACCATTCCCTTCCTTCCCTTTCTCTTAATGGACAGAGTAGACAGAGAAACAGAGTTCTACTTGATGATGCTAGCATTCATGGGCAAACAATGGGATAATACTCTTGGGGAAATGAATACATCACTGGACACATTCAAGAAGGGTATTTCTTTGGTAGAAGATGAATTGAACCAGATAAGCCTCTAAAATCTCATTCTTACTCTAAGAGTCTATGATTCTGTCACCTTTAGGTCATAGTATTATGGAGATGGTCAAGAACCTGAGGTTTGATATATATTTGATATATAGTATGATATATACTTAATATATTATATATCAAATATCTTATATATATATATTATGGAGATGGTCAAGAATCTGAGGTTTGACTTTGTTGAAAGCACCAATTGGACCCAAAAGAAATGAATCTTCCTCAAAATGAATATCTGTTACTGAAGTGTACAATTAAAAAGACCTTACCCTAAACAGTCCCTCAGGAGTAACTGTACTACAGGAGAAAGAGAGCTGGGTTTCCAACTTAGAGGCCTGCATTCCGGTGTCAGAAATTAAGGATTTTGCTGTACAGCTTTGGACAGGTCATTCTTCATGTCTTGGCCTACATTCCTCCATCAGGAAGATGTGGAGGTTGGGCCTCTAAGGGGTCTTCTATTACTAACATTTTGGGATTCTGGGAGTCTAAGTTATTGAGATCATGAAATTGTGGATGTAAAAATGTTAGGAGATTTCAAGGGTTCCCACAGCAACTATATCATTCACAGTTTATATATATGTCTCAATTTAACAGCATCAAATCCACCTAAAATATATTTTTTTAAATATGTCACATGCATTGAGAGTGAGACTCATTTGACATTCTTCTTGGAATCAGAACTTCAGAATTCAGTGCATTTCAGGTCCCAGCATTAACTCATCTGCAAATTGGATTAGTTCATATTTCTGGTTGAGAGAGGAGGCACTTTATATAGTATGGCAAAGAAATGAAAACATCAGTCATCTGTCACAGAAGGAAGAGATGGCTCACTTCAGGCCCTAGATGCCACCTCATCTGGAAGTAGACAAAAAGGAAGACTTGGAGCCAGGACAGCCACGTGTTGGTCCACACTATTCCCTTGGAAGATCCTCCTAGCCAGCTCCTGCTCATTCTCTGTTTGAAGTTTTCCCTTTCCTTCTTCTCTGCTCAATAAAACAAGTTCCTCTATTATCTACACTTCCTTAGCATTATAGCATTGATCATAGGGTATGATAATTATTGCCTGTGTTACTATTGATTCTCTACAAATGGATAAGGGGCACAGCATTAACATTTATTGAGCACCTGCAATGTGCCAGGTGTGTATATCATCTTATGTAATCCACACAGCAACCCTTATGGTGTAGGTATTGTTACCCCTCTTTAACTGATGAGACTAAGGTCAGAGAAGTTAAATAACTTGCTCACAATCATATAGCTAGTAAATAACTGAGTCTGGCTTTGAATCAGGTTTTTTTTGTTTCCCAAGCCCCTGTGATTTTGATTGTTCATGCCTTTTTCTTATCTCTGTAACTTGAACTATTAGTATAAGCCCAGCCTTTGGTATACAGTTAGCCCTTGAACAATGTGGGGGTTAGAGGCGCCAACCCCCTGTACAGTCGAAAATTGCATGTAACTTTTGACTCCCCACAAACTTAACTACTAATAGCCTACTATTGACCAGAAGCCTTACTGATAACATAGTCTATTAACACATATTTTGCATATGTATTATATACTGTACTCTTACAATAAAATAAGCTATAGAAAAGAAAATGTTATTAAGAAAATCATATAACAGAGAAAATACATTTACAGTACTATACTGTATTTATCGATACCATAAGTTTACATTGTCTGTTTACAGGGTGAATCATCTGTCTGAAATAGCATGCAACTGCAGCTGCAGACATCAATCTGCAGCACATATCAAGCAATTCAACTTTTTCTTGTAATGTCCCGACTTTTCTCTGCTTCTTGGGAGCACTTCCAGCATCACTAGTGGCACTTTGTATAGGTCCCATGGCGTTATTCAAGATTTATGGTATTGTACTAAACACGATGAAAAATACTTGAGAACTGCAAGAGATCACTTTTTACTGCGATATGCAGTTTACTGGAGAGATGAATGGCTCACATGGAGATGATTAGCGTCACAGGTTGTTTTAAGGGATACTCTTAACAGCTGAGCTCACCACAATGGCTATAGGAGGTGGCTCCAAAATCATTACAGTAGTACCTTATGCACTGCAGTTAACTTCTTGTAGTTATGATTTAATACTGCATCTTTATGTTTGTTTACATTTTTCTCAACTGCAAATGGCACTATGTACATAAGGTCTGTAAATGTTTGTGTGCATAAGTTTTGATAAATTTTATTTATTTTTTATTTTTTGAGACAGGGTCTTTCTCTGTCGCCCAGGCCGACACGCTTGCAGTGGCACAGTCACGGCTCACTGCAGCTTCAATCTCCTGGGCTCAAGTGATCCTCCCACCTCAGCCTCTTGAGTAGATGGGACTACAGGCACGCACCACCATGCCGGGCTAATTTTTTGATTTTTAAATAGAGACAAGGTCTCACTTTGTTGCCCAAGGCTGGTCTTGAACTCCTGGGCTCAAGCGATTCTCTCACCTAGGCCTCCCAGAGTTCTGGGATTACACGTATAAGCCACCATGGTTAACAAATTTTAACTTTTTACAGTAGATTTGTATATATTTTATTGTCATAAGTGATTAAATAGAATTGTTTCTACATATATTTTATGCATTCATGACATAAAACTTTTTCTTAAATTTTTTGATATTTCTAGGCTACGTGGTTTATCTGAGTTTTTTCAAATTGTCTCAAACCTCCAAACAATTTTTCAGTATATTGAAAAAAGTCTGTGTAAAATGGACCCATGCAGTTCAAAACCATGTTGTTCAAGGGTCAACTGTACACAAGTGATTGAATTATTGTTGAATGACAATCCTATTCAATCGATCAGTAAAGATTTACTATATGGAGCAGTGCTGGGGATTGAGCTAGCCTTTCCTTGACTATCAGCTTCTGGGGACATCTGCTTTGAACTAAATACTCTCATTAGCTTTGCTGGTATCTCAGCTCAGCAGGAGAAGCTGTTGATAGTCTCTTGACAGGGCCAGCTGGCATGATAGACTTGTTTAAACCAAATTTGTTTCACATCATTCTAACAACCCTGCTTTAAGGTCCTAATGTCACAGGAGAGACAGAATTCAAAAACAACTGTCATACATATGAAAAGGGCTATACAGAAACTGTACAAGATTCTAAGAGCAAAATGGAGGGAGGGATTAATTCTGCCTACAAGAATTAAGAAAGGTTTCACAGAGAAGGTGGCATTTGAGCTGGGACTCAAAGGATAAGCAGTTTTATTTTTCCATTTGTTTTGTTGGTTTATTTTTAGTTTTTATTTTAGGTTTGGGGATACATGTCAGGGTTTATTACATAGGTAAACACGTGTCATGGGGGTTAGTTGTACATATTATTACATCACCCAGGTATTAAGCTCAATACCCAATAGTTATTTTTCCTGCTTCTCTCCCGCCTCCCACCCTCCCCGCTCAAGTAGACCCTAGTGTCTGTTGTTTTCTTCTTTGTGTTCATAAATTTTTATCATTCAGCTCCCAGTTATAAGTGGAAACATGCAGTGTTTGGTTTTCTATTCCTGCATTAGTTTGCTAAGGATAATAGCCTCCAGCCCCATTCATGTTCCCGCAAAAAAACATGATCTCATTCTTTTTTATGGCTGCATAATATTCAGTGGTGTATATGTACAACATTTTTTAAAATCCAGTCTGTCATTCATGGGCATTTAGGTTGATTTCATGTCTTTGCTATTGTGAACAGTGTTGCAATGAACATTTGCATGTGTATGTCTTTGCATACACATTTGCATGTAGAATGCTTTATATTCCTCTGGGTATATACCCAGTAATGAGATTGCTGGGTCAAATGGTAGTTCTGCTTTTAGCTCTTTAAGGAATTGCTATACTGCTGTCCACAATGGTTGAACTAATTTACACTCCCACCAACAGTGTATAAGGGTTTTCTCTGCAACCTCCCCACCAGCATCTGTTATATTTTTGACTTTTTAATAATAGTCATTCTGACTGGTATGAGATGGTATCTCATTGTGGTTTTGACTTGCATTTTTCTAATGATCAGCGATATTGAGCTTGTTTTCATATGCTTGTTGGCTGCATTATTTCTTCTTTTGAGAAGTGTCTGTTCATGTCTTTTACCCACTTTTTAATGGGGTTGTTTTTCTTTTATAAATTTAAGTTCTTTATACATGCTGGATATTAGACCTTTGTCAGAAGCATAGTTTGCAAATATTTTCTCTCATTCTTTAGGTTGTCTGTCGATAGTTTCTTTTGCTGTGCAGAAGCTCTTATGTTTAATTAGGTTCCATTTGTCCATTTTTGCTTTTGTTGCAATTGCTTTCAATGTCTTTGTTGTGAAATCTTTGCCTGTTCCTACATCCAGGATGGTATTGTCTAGGTTGTCTTCTAGGGTTTTTCTAGTTTTGAATTTTACATTTATGTCTTTAGTTCATCTTGAGTTGATTTTCATATATGGTGTGAGGAAGGGGTCCAGCTTCAATCTTCTGCATATGGCTAGCTAGTTGTCCCAGCACCATTTATTGAATAGGGAGTCTTTTCCCCATTGCTTTTGTCAGCTTTGTCGAAGATCAGATGGTTGTAGATGTGCAGCCTCATTTCTGGGATCTCTGTTCTGTTCCATTGGGCTATGTGCCTGTTTTTGTATCAGTACCATGCTGTTTTGGCCACTGTAGCCTTGTAGTATAGTTTGAAGTTGAGTAATGTGATTCCTCCAGCTTTGTTCTTTTTGCTTAGGATTGCCTTGGCTATTTGGGTTCTTTTTTGGTTCCATATAAATTTTAAAATATTTTTTTTCTAGTTCTGTGAAGAATGTTGTCAGTAGTTTGATAGGAATGGCACTAAATCTGTAAGTTGCTTTGGGCAATATAGCCATTTTAATGATACTGATTCTTCCTATCCATAAGCATGGAATGTTTTTCCATTTGTTTGTGTCTTCTCTGATTTCTTTGAGCAGTGTTTTGTAATTCTCATTGTAGAGATCTTTCACTTCCCTGGTTTGCTGTATTCCCAGGTATTTTGTTTTATTTTTTGTGGCAGTTATAAATGGGATTGCCTTCCTGATCTTGCTGTCAGTTTACTTGGTGGGTGTATAGGAATGCTAGTGATTTTTGTATATTGATTTTGTATCCTGCAGTTTTGCTGAAGTTATTTATCAGCTGAAGGAGCTTTCACAGGCCAAGACTATGAGGTTTTCTAGATATAGAATCATGTTGGCTGGGAGTGGTGGCTCACGCCTGTAATCCCAGCACTTTGGGAGGCTAAGGCGGGTGGATCACGAGGTCAGGAGATCGAGACCATCCTGGCTAACATGGTGAAACCCCGTCTCTACTAAAAATACAAAAAAAATTAGCCAGGTGTGGTGGCGGGCGCCTATAGTCCCAGCTACTCCGGAGGCTGAGGCAGAAGAATGGCGTGAACCCAGGAGGCAGAGCTTGCAGTGAGCCAAGATTGTGCCATTGCACTCCATCCTGGGCAACAGAGCGAGACTCAGTCTCAAAAAAAAAAAAAAAAAAAAAAAAGAAAAAGAATCATGTTGTCTGCAAACAGAGATAGTTTGACTTCCTCTCTTTCTATTTGGATGTCCTTTCTTTCTCTTGCCTGATTGCTTTGACCAGGACTTCCAATACTACGTTGAATAGAAGTGGTGAGAGATGGTATCCTTGTCTTGTGCTGGTTTTCAAGAGGAATGCTTCCAGCTTTTGCCATTCAGGATAATGTTGGCTGTGGATTTGTCATAGATAGCTGTTATTATTTTGATGTTTGTTCCTTCAGTACCTAGTTTATTGAGAGTTTTTAACATAAAGGGACGTTGAATTTTATCAAAAGCCTTTTCTGCATCTATTGAGATAATCATGTGTTTTTTGTCTTTAGTTCTGCTTGTGTGATGAATCATATTTATTGATTTTTGTATGTTGAACCAATCTTGCATCCTGGGAATGAATCTTGCAAGTATTTTGTTGAGTATTTTTGTGTTGATGTTTATCAAGGATGTTGGGCTGAAGTTTTCTTCTTTTGTTGTGTCTCTGCCAGGTTTTGGTATCAAGATGATGCTGGCCTCATAGAATGAGTTGAGAAGTCCTTCCTCTGTAATTTTTTGGAATAGTTTCTGTAGGAATGGTACCAGCTCTTCTTTGTACATCTGATAGAATTCAGTTGTGAATCCACCAGGTCCTGAGGTTTTTTTTTTTCTGGCCGGTAGGCTATTTATTACTGATTCAATTTTGGAACTTGTTATTGGTCTGTTCAGGGAATCAGTTTCTTCCTGGCTCTGTCCTGGGAGGGTGTATGTATCCAGGAATTTATCCATGTCTTCTAGGTTTTCTAGTTTGTATGTATAGAGTTGTTCATAGTAGTTTCTGATGGTTGCTTTTATTTCTGTGGGGTAAGTAGTAACCCCTTTGTCATTTCTAATTATGTTTATTTGGATTTTCTCTCTTTTCTTCTTAATTAGTCTAGCTAGTAGCCTGTTTTATTAATTTTTTCAAAAAACCAATTCCTGGATTCATTGATCTTTTGAATAGCTTTTTATGTCTCGATTTTTTTCAGTTCAGCTCTGATTTTTTGTTATTTCTCATCTTCTGCTAGCTTTGGGGTTGATTTGTTCTTGCCTCTTTAATTTCTTCAATTGTGAAGTTAGATTGTTAACTTGAGATCTTCCTACCTTTTTGATGTGGGCACTTAGTGCTATAAATTTCCCTCTTAACACTGTTTTAGCTGTGTCCCAGAGATTCTGGTATGTTTTATGTTTGTTCTCATTATTTTCAAAGAACTTCTTTATTTCTGCTTTAATTTCATTACTTACCCAAAAGTCATTCAGGATAGGTTGTTTAATTTGTGGTAATTGTATGGTAATTTCCGTGTAATTGAGTGATTTTCATTGTGTTGACTTCTATTTTTATTGCACTGTGGTCTCAGAGTGTGTTTGGTATGATTTCAGTTTTTTTACATTAGTTGAGGACTGTTTAATGTCCAATTATGTGGTCATTTTTGGAGTATGTGCCATGTGACAATTAGAAGAATGTATATTGTGTTGTTTTTGGATGGAGACTTCTGTAAAAGTCTATCGGATCCATTTGGTCCAATGCTGAGTTTAGGTCCTGAATATCTTTGTTAATTTTCTGCCTCGATGATCTAATACTGTCAGTGGAATGTTGAAGTCCCCCACTATTATTTTTTGGGAGTCTATGTCTCTTTGTAGGTGTCTAAGAACTTGCTTTGGCCGGGCGCAGTGGCTCACGCCTGTAATCCCAGCACTTTGGGAGGCCGAGGCGGGCGGATCACGAGGTCAGGAGATCGAGACCATCCCGGCTAAAACGGTGAAACCCCGTCTCTACTAAAAAAAAAATACAAAAAATTAGCCGGGCGTAGTGGCGGGCGCCTGTAGTCCCAGCTACTTGGGAGGCTGAGGCAGGAGAATGGCGTGAACCCGGGAGGCGGAGCTTGCAGTGAGCCGAGATCCCGCCACTGCACTCCAGCCTGGGCGACAGAGCGAGACTCCGTCTCAAAAAAAAAAAAAAAAAAAAAAAAAAGAACTTGCTTTATGAATCTGGGTGCTCCTGCATTGGGGGCATATATATTTAGGATAATTAGGTCTTCTTGTTGAATTGAACCCTTTACCATTATGTAATGCACTTGCTTGTCTTTTTTGATCTTTGTTGGTTTGAAATCTGTTTTGTCTGAAATCAGGATTGTAAACCCTGCTTTTTTATGTTTTCTGTTTCCTTGGTAGATTTTTCTTCATCCCTTTATTAATATTTTGAGCCCATGAGTGTCATTACATGTGAGATGGGTCTCTTGAAGACAGCATACCATTGGGTCTTACTTTTTTTATCCAGCTTGCCACTCTGTGCCTTTTTTTTTTTTTAATCAATGTTGACCAGGCTGGCCTCGAACTTGTAGCCTCACCTCCCCGAGTGCCAGGGCAACCAGCCTGAGCCACAGCAGCTCCCACACTCTGTGCCTTTTAAGTGGGGCATTTAGCCTGTTTACATTCAATGTTCGTATTTATATGTGTGGATTGGATCCTGTCATTGTGCTGTTGGCTGGTCATTATGTTGGCTTATTTGTGTGGTTGCTTTACAGTGACACTGGCTGTGTGTTTAAGTGTGTTTTTGTATTAGCTGGTAGTGGTCTTTCCTTTCTATATTTAGTTCTCCTTTCAGGATCTCTTGTAAGGCAGGTCTGGTGGTAATGAAGTCCCTCAACATTTGCTTATCAGAAAATGATGTTATTTCTCCTTCACTAAGGAAGCTTAGTTTGGCTGGATATGAAATGATTGGTTGAAGTTTTTTTCTTTAAGAATGTTGAATATAGGCCCCCAATCTCCTTTGGCTTGTACGGTTCCAGCTGAGAGGTCTGCTGTTAGCCTGATGGGGATCCCTTTTTAGGTGACCTGCCCATTCTCTCTAGCTGCCTTTAACATTCGTTCTTTCATTCTGACCTTGGAAAATCTGATGATAATGTGTCTTTGGGATGGTCTTCTTGTGTAGAATATTTCAGGAACAAAGTTGGGGAAGTTTTCATGGATGATATTCTGAAATATATTTTCCAAGTTGTTTTTCTTTCTTCCACTCCCTTTCAGGAATGCCAGTGATTCATAGATTTGGCCTCTTTACATAATCCCATACATCTCAGAGGTTTTGTTCATTCCTTTTTATTCTTTTTTCTTTGTTTTTTTCTGTCTGTCTTATTTCAGAGAACCAGTCTTCAAGTTTTGAGATTCTTTCCTCAGCTTGGTTTATTCTGCTGTTAATATTTGTGATTGCATTGTGAAATTCTTGTATTGTGTTATTCAGTTCTGTCAGACTCAGTAGATTCTTTTTTTATACTAGCTATTTTGTTCTTCCGCTCCTGTATCACTTTATTGTTAATTCTTATTTTCCTTGAATTTGGTTTTGCCATATCCTTGTTCCTATTTTTCTTCCTATCCATATTCAGAATTCAATTTCTGTCATTCCAGCCAGTTTGGCCAGGTTAAAAACTCTTGTTGGAGAACTGGTGTGGTCGTATGGAGGACGTATGACACTCTGGCCATTTGAGTTACTGGAGTTTTTGCAATGGTTCTTTCTCATCTCTGCATTGTGAGTGTTCCTTTAACTGCAGTGTAGATTGAGTACAGACAATAGACTTCTTTTCTGGATTTTTCTACTGGGCCAAGGTTTTGCATAGGGTCTTTATTTGAAGCTGACTTCTTGTCTCTGGTTTCAGAGGGGGGTATGTTAGTGAGGTATTTTTGGTGTTGGAGCTTTAGAGTGTGAGCCAGCAGGTGGTAATTGGGATTCTTGGTCAGTTGATAGAATTTTGCTTAGTTGTATGGCTCCCCTATGTTTCCTAACAGTTGCAGCTGTGTTCCCTCTCAGTGCTCTGAAAGTGTGGGTTCCTCTCCTTCTTGAGTGCTGGCTGTAGTTCATGACTTGACACTCCTGGGCTGCCCACTGCAGCTCTGGGGAGATCTCAGTGTTTATGTTCCTTCCCCAGCTTAGAGGCAGCAGAGGAAGAGATCTTAGTAGTAGTGGTGGCCAGGGTCATTTGCTTGTCTCCTAGGGGCTCCACCCCCGGGAGATGCAGGTCAGTAATCACTCAGTGCAGTCAGCCCAAGATGGAGGGTTTGTGCTGTGGGCTCAAGCCAGTGGTTCCCTGATGAGCTGTGGTGGGTGTGTGGGACCTATAGGAGATGGACTGGCCTCATCTCCTTGGGTCAACTACAGCTTGGAGGTATGGATAAGGCACTTAGGGTCTTTGCCCATTCATTAGTCTGAGGGTGGCAAGGGCAGTTCCACTGCAGAGGCATGGTTGAGAGGCTATCAGTTGCCCCTGGAGGCTCTGTGCAGGGAGTTGCTGAGTTGGTTCTGGCTTGATAGCTCTGGCAGGGGGTGGCTGGAGGCCCCCGCCTGGAGAACCTGCCTGGTGAGGAGATATGGGAATAGGCACCCACGTAACACTGTGGCTACATTTCCATAGGGCTGCTGCAGTATGGTTGGGGTCTGCTCCAGTCTCCAGTCGCCTTGGATTTTCCAGAACCAAGAGATGTCACCAGTGAAGGCTGTAAGATAGCAAAGATGGCAGCCTGTCCCTCCCTTTGGGAGCTTTGTCCCAGGGAGGTACAAGCCTGTTGTGGGCCCAAAGGCACCTGTAGGAAGTGGCTGGGGACCCCAGTTGGGAGGTCCTTCCCTGCGAGGAGGAATGGGATCAGGACCTACTTAAGAAAAAGCAGTCTGGCCATGTTTTGGTATAGCAGCTGTGCTGTGCTGGGAATCCATTTCAGCCCCTGGTTGCTTCAGACACTCTGAAGCCCAAAGGCTGGAACAGCTAAGTCACCCAAACATCAAATATGGTGGCCCACCCCTCCCTCTAAGAGCGCAGTCCCAGGGGGAATTCAGATCTCTATTGGCTGGAAAGCTCAGGTAGGGGTGGCTGGAGGCCCCAGTAGGAAGGTCCTACCCACTGAGGAGGAATGGGATGGGGTACCTGCTTAAAGCAACAGTCGGGCTACACTTTGGTAGAGCTGCTGTGCTGTACTGGGGGATCTCTTCCACCCCAGGTTGGCTCAGACTCTCCAAAGCCTAAAGGCTGGAATGGCTAAGATGCCTGAACAGCAAAGATGGCGGCCCACCCCTCCCACGGGGAGCTCCTTCTTAGGGAGATGCAATGCCACTGTTGGTAGCTTGCTGGAATTCCAAGCCAGTGGGTCTTATCTTGTGAGGTGCCATGGAAGTGGGGCCTGCAGGCTGTTTCTGCTCAGCCCCCTGGATTCAGTCTCCTTCCTAGGGGTACGTACAGGAGTTTAACCTCCCACTTTGCTGGAGCTGCAGCTACTTTTGCTGGAAACCCCAAGTATCTTAAGGTTCCAGGGTTTCTATGCATGCCTGAGCAGCTGCTCTGCCAAGACTCCACATAGCTTTGTCAGACAGAAGACTGAAGGCCCTAGTAGTGTGGGTTCATAAGGATATCTCCTGACCCGAGGGTTGCAAATATCTATGGGAGAAGCATGGTTTCCTGGGATCACTCATTCACTCACAGCTTTCCTGGGCGAGGGAGGATCCCTGGGCTCTGTGTTGCTCCCAGGTGGGCCATTGTCCTGTCTTGCTTTTCTTCGTTCTCTGTGGGTCAAGTTGTTTCCTTGATTAATCCCAATGCAAGTACCTGAATGTTTCAGTTGAAGGTGTTGTATTTACTCGCCCCTTCTGTACCTCTCTTTGAGAGCCACTCATACTAGCTGCTTCTAGTTGGCCATCTTGGCCACTCCCCGCTTTGTTTATTTTCTAGGCATAGAAAATGAGGGGCATTCCTGGTGGAGAATATGTAAAGGGAGGGAGGCACCACCAGGAAGCACCAAATAGTTCTCTGTTGACATATGCCACACTTTCACGTAATGTACCCATGTCATCGCTGACATGGCGCCATCATAACAGGGGAGAATGGCAAGAGGTGAGACCAAAAAAAAAAAAAAAAAATTGGTTGGGCCAGGTAGTCAAAGGGCCTTGAATGTCATGCTAAGGATTTGAATTTATTCTGAAGGTATTCTAAGACATTCCAATACCCACTGAGCTACAACTTCAAAGTGCCATCTAACTTTCCAGCTTGTGGCTTCAGAGTCCTGACAATAAGTAGAAATGGAACCAGTAGAGTATGTTGGAAACTGGAAGTCAGAAGGTCTGGATTCTAGTCTGACTTTGCTGTCTGGGTTTCTGTTTTCTTCTAGGTAATGTGAAATGGTGAGACATGATTCCTCAGAGCTCTGTTATCCCACAAGTCTGTGTCTACCAGCCGCACAAGGAAAATCTTTCACGAGGTTCCTCTCAGTTCCTGTGGCAGACAGACTCTTGGGGAAGTTGCTCACCATCCCACCTGCTGATGTCATGGCTTTCTGTAATTCCTTCTGTTTGAGTGGTGGGGGTGGGTGGCTGCAGTGGTGCTGTGACTTGCTTCTCACTGGTAGAATGCAGCAAAGGTGATGAGATAGGTGGGATAGATGGTGCCATGTCAGCGATGACATGGGTATATTATGTGACAGTGTGGGGCCGGGCACGGTGGCTCAAGCATGTAATCCCAGCACTTTGGGGGGCCAAGGTGGGCGGATCAGGAGGTCAGGAGATTGAGAACAACCTAGCTAACACGGTGAAACCCTGTCTCTACTAAAAAATACAAAAAATTAGCCAGGCGTGATGGCAGGCGCCTGTAGTCCCAGCTACTTGGGAGGCTGAGGCAGGAGAATGGCGAGAACCCGGGAGGTGGAGCTTGCAGTGAGCCGAGATGGCGCCACTGCACTCCAGCCTGGGGGACAGAGTGAGACTCCGTCTCGAAAAAAAAAAAAAAAGAAAGCGTGGCACTTGTCTTGCTGAGTCTCCCTATGCCTCTCCATTGGTTTTGAAGAAGCAAGCTGGCATGTGGCAGCCTGCGGATGTTGGGAGGCCACACGGCAAGGAACTGCAGCATCTCTAGGAGCTGAGGGTGGACCCTGACTGGCAGCCAACAACAAACTGAAGCTCTCAAGCCTACCACCATAAGGAATTGAATTCTGCCAATAACCTGAGTGAGCATGGAAGCAGATCCTTTCCCAGCCAAGCCTCAGACAAGGTTCTGGCCCTGGGAAACACCTTGACTGAAGTCTTGTGAGACCATAGGAAGAAGACTTAGCTGAGCCAGTCTCAGATCCTGACCCATAGAACCTGTTAGATACTTAGCATGTGTTGTTTTCAGCCTCTGTGTTTGTGGTAATTTATTATACAATACATACTGTTCCCCACCCTAATACTTGAAACTCCTGACCCCAATCCCTGTGCTCTATTTACAACTCCATGCCACCACTGGGGGAATAATCCCATAATAGTATCTGTGTGTGGGTAGCTTTACCTGTCTGTATCTACACATAGATCTTGTGACAGTAAATTTTATCTATCAACTTGACTGGGCTAAAGGATGCCCTTATAGTTAATTAAACATTATTTCTGGATATGTCTGACTAGCAGAGATTAGCATTTGGATTGGTGGACTGAGTGAAGCAGATGGCCCTCAATGTCATCCAATCCTTGAGGGCCTGAATAGAGCAAAAAAGGCAGATGAAGGTTGATTTTGCTCTTTGCCTGACTGCTTGAGTTGGGACATTGATCTCTTGCGCTTGGTGCTTTGGTTCTTAGGCCTTCAGACCTGAGCTGAAATCTACACCACCGGCTCTCTGACTATCAGGCTTTGGACTATACTTTGGGCTTTCCTGGGTCTCTTACCTGGCAGACAGCAGATTTTGGAACTTTTCAGCCTCCATAATCATGTGAGCAAAAACCTTATAACAAATTATCTATCTATCTATCTATCTATCTATCTATCTATCTATCTATCTACCTATCATCTATCTATCATCTATCTATCTATCTATCTATCTATCTCTCTATCTATCTATCTATCTATCATCTTCTGTTGGTTCCGTTCTCTGGAGAACCCTGACTAATACAATTCATATTCAATCACAGGCCTTTAGGAAGTACTTAATATGTGCTGAGCACATACAGAGATAGGTAAGTCCAGGGTATCTCTGAGGTGCTCACAGTCTGAAGAGGAAAACAGCCCCATGATGCTTGAGCTGTGGAAGGCTCACCTGCAAGGGTGAGCTAGCTGAGGAAATCAATGTGTGTCCTGCACTGTAGAAATCAGTTTGTTTCCCCAGGGTTATTGCATTAGATTCTTATAAACCTCTAAGGTAGATGCCTTTTACAGAGAAGGGAGCTGAGCTCTAGAGAGGTTAAGGAACTTGCCTTAGAGGCAAGTCCACTTAGTGTGGGTCAGATCCAGGATTCTAACCCAGTTCTTCTGATTTCAACTTAGTTGGATAATTAAAATTGACTATATATTTCCTTTGTGTTAACAGATTCTACTGGAACTTCTAGCAGGCAAACTCACCTAGTGCTCTCTGGAAGGTGATGTGGGTGGAACTCTGTCTGATTCCAATGTCTAGATGCCAATGAGCTCTCCACCATCACCCCAGAGACAGGGGAAAGAAGATATAAGTAGACCTGGGCCTGTCTTCATTCACTCTCAGTGAGCACACGGCAGGCATTCAAGAAATATAGAGGCTGAATTACATTTTTTTTGAGGGTCTAAACTTTGCCCTCTGTGACTAGGTGTCATTTGATATGGCAATGAGAATACAGAGCAGAGATACTCAAACTCAGGAACCAAAAGAATCATCTGAAGATAACTGTTAAAATGCAGATTCTAGGGTCCTCCCTCCAGAGATTCCGATTCAGTGGGGCCCAGGAGACATTTTCAATTATACCCTCAGATTATTCTGACACAAGTCAATCACAGAGCACATGGCTACTTGTGACAAAATCACAGCCAAGCTAGGTTGAGATAGTTTGCCTAGACTCTGATGTGGGTTGTTCCCAAACATCCCCACTAATGTTTATAATTCCTTTTCCTTATGGGAGGGAGAGGCCAGTGATGTGTTGGCAAATGTTTAATAACTGGATCTCTGGTGGAAAAGAAAAAAAATCCCTGATTTGCAGCATTTGCCAATACCCATGGTGTAAATACTCTCACCGTGGCTGATAGCAAGCTACCAACAGTAGCTTGTTAAGACTGAATTGGGAAGAGATGCACATCATTGGCCTTTGCAGGTCAGTAGGAGTCAGCTCCAGCAATCATTGGAGGGAGGCTGAATAGGAGAGGAGAGGACTTACCTCCCTGGGCCTCAGTTTTCCCACTTATAAAATGAGAATTCATGAAGGTTCTGATCTGTGACTCGAGACTAATTTTAGGCCTTAGCTCAGGGGCCATGTGGCCAAAGGAGGTGGTCAGGTTGCCAGGGCACTCAGGGATGAGGAGGCAGAGTGGGTCAGCTCTGCTTCCTCCTCCCTTCTTGGAGAGGGTGGAGGAGCCCACAACCGGGTGAACAGAGGAGGGGCCTTGGAGTTGGTCCTGCCTCAAATCTTGAACCAGATGCTTACTAAATTTCTGAGAGCCTGTTTCCCTATCTATAAACTGGGAAAATACTACTGTACCTACCCCATAGAGTGGTTACAAGAATTAAATGAGACAAAGTCTGGCATGTGGTAAGGTTTCTGTAAACATTAATCTTTCTTCTTGTGACCATTTCTTCCCCTGCCCATGACATTTATTTCCCAAATTCTGCCAGAGCCTGGTTAGACCAGTGGGCCAATTTCATTCATAAGCAGAGTAGTAGGTCACCCATCACTGTGCAATTTGAGGTAAAGGTCCTTCAGGCAAAAAATTATATGTGTATACACACACACACACACACAGATATGTGTACATATATTCTCCCACTGGTCTGTCATAGACTCTGAACTTCCACTATTTAAATCTTTATCAATGCTCCATAGCAAAAGACCACCAGGAACACACCCGTAGTCAAAGTTGGTATTACTACATGCTGCACAAAGGACATAACACACCTTGGAGACCATGGGGCAGCTCAGAAAGAGAGTACCAGGAGAGTTTTTCTCTGGGCCAGGTGCTGTCAGGGAGCAGTGGCAATTCAGTGATTAGGCATTTTAATTATTTTTATCTAAGAGGGGGACGAATGGAATGTGGCTAAGGCTGTCATTGGTAAAGAAATCACCACACTCATGTTGACCAGGAGAGGGGGCTGTTTGGTAGTTTTAACGATTTTGCAGTGTTCTTTTTTTTTCGGTTGTTGTTGTTGTTGTTGTTTTGTTTTGTTTTGAGATGGAGTCTCGCTCTGTCGCCCAGGGTGGAGTGCAGTGGCACAATCTTAGCTCACTGCAATCTCTGCCTCCTGGGTTCAAGTGATTCTCCTGCCTCAGCCTCCCAAATAACTGGGATTATAGGCATCCACCACCACACCCGGCTAATTTTTGTATTTTTAGTAGAGATGGGGTTTCACCATGTTGGCCAGGCTGTTCTTGAACTCCTGACCTCAAGTGATCCCCCTACTTCGGCTTCCCAAAGTGCTGGGATTACATACGTGAGCCACCACGCCTGGCCAGGTTTTTCTCTGTATTCAGACATGGTGTGGAGTGATCTTTTTTTGGTCTTGCTGCCTGTCTTATGATTATAGAGGCTTTGCCTGGTGTCAGTGTTCTGGGAACATGCTTATGTTCAGCAGGAGAATGCCAGGGCCTTGCTGTGAGTGCCAAGCCAGGACACTGCTGATGCTGATGGGGCTGCTGTTTTCTTTCTTGTCTTATTCATTTGCAAAACCTTTACTGATGACTTTTACCACAGTCACACATATTATCTCATTTAAACCTCACAGCAACTCTGTGAGGGATTGTTATCTCCATTTTATGGATGAGGAAGCTGACTCTGAGAGATGACTTTCCAAATTCATCCAACTGGAAGAAAAAGGAAGTCTCTGGGGACTTGAATCCAGAACTGTCCAGCTCCAAGTCCAGGGCTCACTCTATTAAGCCACTCCATGAGGAATGAGTCCCTAAGGAGGCCACAGAAGGCCCTAAGCCCTCTTTTGTTCTCTGGAAGAGAGTGCCATTTCTTGGCCCTTCCCAAGGCCTTGACAACTGAAGGTGAGTGTGGGCCCGCCGGCCAGGCACACTGGCTACACAAGGCTGACTTTCCACTGGCACTGTGGTTTGGCATAGGTGAGAAGGCGGGCAGTAACTCATGTGACCTGTACAAGTCATTCCCCACCTCGGCCCTCAGTTTCTGCTTCCAACGACCTAAGAGCCCCTGAACTCAGGAAATCTGTGAATAAATATTTGTTGAATGCATGAGTAAAATGCACGAATGAATGGGAGTCTAACCAGAAGTGGATTTTCCAGTCACTATTTTGTTGTGTTTTTCTCTTTTTTTCCTTAGTTCCCAGAAGAACCACAAAGCATAAATTTCCCCAAAAGGGGAATTTTGTTGATGGCTTTAGTCTATTCCCTCCTAAAAGACCAGCTACAACCAAATGAAGTGAACATAACCTCAAGGGTGTATTGTCTTCATAATAAAAGATGAAGCTTAGAACTGGATCACTTGGCCCTTTCTCTTCTGACATCCTCCCAGTTGAAAAGGCCTGCATCTCCTAATAGCCTGCCAGCATTCTCTTAGATCTGCAGTTGGGCTCAAAACACCCAAGCCTCTGCACAATGTTCTTTGTAATTTCAGTCTTTTCCCTGAAAAGTTGGCCTAGTAGCCATACTGCTTCCTGTCATAATGCTGCCTTCCCCGGGCATACAGAAGACCCTTGCCCTTCTTATATTGTGTCACTTTGTGGGGTTGGTGCTTGCTACAATTCTTATAGAAAGTCTGGTGAGTTTTAGGAACGTTCACCATGTTTGTGGGAGTGCTATAACTACCTTTGTTGTGTTTTTCTGTCTTTTTCTTCTTTCTGATGTGCTGGTTCCTTGCTTTTCCCTTCCTCCCTTGGTTCCTATCTGAGCTGCTTTTTTTTTTTTTTTTTTGAGACGGAGTCTCGCTCTGTTGCCCAGGCTGGAGTGCAGTGGTGCAATCTCGGCTCACTGCAACCTCCGCCTCCCGGGTTCAAGTGATTCTCCTCCCTCAGCCTCCCGAGTAGCTGGGACTACAGGTGTGTGCCCCCACGCCTGGCTAATTTTTTGTATTTTTAGTAGAGACAGGGTTTCACCATGTTAGCCAGGCTGGTCTCGAACTCTTGATCTCAGGCAATCCACCTGCCTCGGCCTCCCAAAGTGCTGGGATTACAGACATGAGCCACCACGCCCGGCCTCTGAGCTGCTCTTTCAGTCCTTCCTCTACTGTTTCTGGGGGCCCTGGACTCTCCCGGCCCAGTGGCCTAGGAATTTGCTGCTGACATAGCTGCATGTCTGGCAGCTCTGAGTCCAGCAAGCAGCTGCTTCTGTGCCGGCCACAGTGTGCTGGCCATCGCCCACCACCATACCCAGTAACCTCCCCCAGAGGCTCCATCTCATCCTGCCCAAATTGCTGAGCCAGGACTCCCTTGGGGTCATTAGTGTAGAGGGGCTGGGGCTTGCCCTACTTAGAAATGGCACAGTCCAACCCCCTCAGGTCCAAAGAGGGGACACAATATACCCATAGTCACACAGCAATTTAGCATGATGATAAACAGAACCCAGGCATTCTGATTGGTTGGTACACTTCCCTTATCTTCTGGGATAGGTCTGCTTTTATTTGGAGTCTGTACATTGTAGTATATTTAGTATGTTGATTCCACACGTTTGTTGACCAGACTCCTGTGCTGCGTTCTGGAGATAGGAAGAATAAAAAACCATCTGTGCTTTTAGGGAATTCTAGTCAAGTTGGGGAGATAAATAAATTGACAATTACATTGTAAGTGCTCCGACAGCTAACCAGACAAAATGCTGCAGGAGGACAGGAAGGGAGCAAGGAACTGCCAGGAATGGGGAGAAGGTCATGATGTTTGAATTGGGTCTTGAGGATGGGTAGGAGTTTACCCAGCAGAAAGAGCATGGTTGTGGGTAGGAAGAGCATTGCAGTCAAGGTTAACTACTTACCTGTAGAAAAGTGTGGTGCTATTGTAGAGCAATGTTAGATGTCTCCACATCTAGCAGTGATGTGAGGAAAAAGGCCTGTTATGGAATAAGAAGGACCTAGGTTCTGGTTTCAATTCTGTCACAGAGTCACTGAAAACCTTTAAGCAAACCACTCAGTCCAATTGTGTCTCAATTACCTCATCTCTCCAGGAGGATGCTCTCAAAGCCAAATATCTCAGAGCTGCTCTATCCGATAGAATAGCCAGTAGCCACAACGGTCTATGTAAATTTAAATTAACTAAAAGTAAATACATTTAAAATTCTGTTCCTCAATTGCACTAGCCATGTTTCCAGTGCTCAGAAGCTACTGGTGACTAGTGGCTGCAATATTGGACAGCACAGATATTGAATACCTCCATCACCCTAGAAAGTCCTGCTGGGCTGGGCTGGGCTGGGCTGCCCTAGAGGCCTGTGATTCTCAGAGGAGAAGGGATTTGTCCCATCACCTAGCAAGGTCTCCAGGCTCCCCACTTACCCGTTTAGGAAGATATCCCAAGGAACAGGATAGAGAGGATGCACCATTCCACTGCCCAACCTCAGTTCCTGAAGTACAGTGACCCAAATCAGAGGGCAGGGGTCCCTTGTCCCTTTGTCAGTGCACACTATACTCTGATTTCGCTGTGTGAAAGCTTATCACAGTGCCGGGCCCATAATAGCAGCTTTCATAAATAGCCAGTCCAATTCCCAGTTTTGCAAGTGAGAAAACTGAGGCTCAGAGTGGCCTGGTTTAGGATCCAAGTCTTAGAAATTTCCAGGATATCTTGAATGATGGAATTTAGGAGAACACAATGGTCTTTGATCCTCATTTTGGCTTAAGACTTTCAGGTTTTATTTATGTTGTAATCCAGATGATACTATGTGGAATCAAACACATGACCTTATCTGTGGCTAGATGCATGACTGTCCAGGAGCTTGCAGGAATTAACCAGTGGCCAACCTTGTAATGCACAAGACTTTTATGTTACCTGAAACAAATAGAATTAGGTAGCAGGTAGAATTTTTATTTTTATTTATTTATTTGTTTATTTATTTTTTGAGACAGAGTCTCACTCTGTCACCCAGGCTGGAGTGCAGTGGTGTGATCTCAGCTCAGTGCAACCTCCGCCTCCTGGGTTCAAGTGAGCTCATGCCTCAGCCTCCCAAGTAGCTGGGACCACAGGTGCGTGCCACCACACCCAGTTAATTTTTGTATTTTTAGTAGGGGCGGGGTTTCACCATATTGATCAGGCTGGTCTTGAACTCTTGACCTCAAGTTATCTGTCCTCTTTGGCCTCCCAAAGTGCTGGGATTACAGGAGTGAGCCACCACGCCCAGCCAGAATCAATATTTTTGAAAAATGAACACAAATGTATTACCTACCATGTACCAAGCACAGTTTTAAGAGGGTCTAGTAGATAACTGAGCAACACTATGAGGTACAGATGATTACTCTCATCATCCTCATTTTCCAGACAAGGAAACGGAGGCTGAGATAAATAACTTGCTGAAGGCCTCATAGCTATTGTGAAGCCTGGACTCACCCAAGCAGTGGCCTCAGAGCCCACAATCTTAACCCCTTTCTAGAGCCCTCTCCTCAACTTTGCAATTGTTGAACATCAGGACCTGAGGGAAACTTTGGGATCACCTAGTCTAATCCCTTTCCTTTCCTCATGCGGTACTGAAGGCCACAGAGTGACCCAGATCCAGCCAAGGTTATTCAGCAAGTTGTAAAAGACAGAGCTTGAATCTGAGTCCTGAGGGTGGGTCCCCTGGCTCCTGTTCAGTTATTTTTGCTCACTTCTTTTAAAAAGCCTAAAAAATGAAATGATCCACTGAGCATCTTCTGGGTACCCACATTGTGCTGGATGTTTTTGTGGAAAAAAACCTTGGGTTTACATTGAGAAGTCCTGGAATCAAATCTTACCTCAATTGCTTGCCCAGTGACCTTAAGCAAGTCACTTTCTATGTCTTGGCCTCAGTTTCTCCAGAAAAGGAATAAGGATATAATTGCCTTAAGGATTATGTCAGAATGAGTGGCACAAAGTAATTACTCAAGTAAAAGGAATGGACGCTGAAGACACAGGCCGTGTGCCCTCTACAATCTGGATGTGGAGGTGAGACTGACATGCAGAGGAGGATCAGAGGAGAGCAGAGAGCATGCTTTGTTGGCAGGTCAGACGATGAATGTTAGGACACTTCATGCACTGTTGGCTCCATCTGGCAATGGAGGTGATTCAGGATCAAGAAATCATCCAGGGAAAGGCTGGCCTGCAAGAA
Source organism: Homo sapiens (assembly GCF_000001405.40). Taxonomy (NCBI): domain Eukaryota; kingdom Metazoa; phylum Chordata; class Mammalia; order Primates; family Hominidae; genus Homo; species Homo sapiens. The sequence continues at coordinate 41,268,336 of NC_000001.11, forward strand.
CCCAGACTGGACACGAGGTGGCGCTGGTGGCCCACCTGGGAACAGGCAGAGACCGGCGACCAGCCCCGGGGAATCTGATCCTGGCAGTTTCATTCTTTTTGCTTCTAGGCATGAAGTCTACATGAGGGACCCTGGTGGGCTGAGGATGAGGGCGCTCTGCCCCACCAAAGGATAAATGGGAATTTTACACTCCTTATCTCATTTAGTCTTCACAGCCACCTTTTCAGGTATTCAGTTTTACACACAGGACACTGTGACTCAAAAGATGTTAAATAATTTCCTCAAGGGATACTATTGAGAAGTAGATCCAGGCCCACTGATTCTAAATCCCATGCTCTTTCCAGGAAAATATGCTCCTCCCAGCCAGTGGAATCAGTCTATCAACAGAGGCTAAACAGGATGTAAGGGAGATCGTACCAGAAAATAGAAGACCAGATTAAAACTGCCTCCTCCTCATGGCCTTCCTAGACTGTCCCCATTCCTTTTTCACCCAGTCCACTCCAACAACCTCCTAATCCATTTCCCTGCTTCCATTCTTGCACCCTAGGCTCTGTTCTCTACAGTGATCTTGTGAGAAGGAAACCAAGTGGCAGTATTCTGCCTTTTTGCCGTTCAAAACACTCCAATGCTTCTGATTCCAATTTGAACAATGTCTGAATTTCTCACCACAGCTATGAGCGGTGCTGTGCTGGTAACAACCAGTTCTCAGAGGCAGAGAGCCCTGATATGTAGCATTTGCTAATTGTGGTGCATATTCTCCCTCCATGGCCAATTTCAAGCTTCCAAGGTAACATCACTGAGCTCAGAGTTGAGAAGGGATGTAAAGAATCGAGACAGAGCCAGTCTGAGTTGACACCAACGCACTGCTGCACCAAGGCTCCACACATAAGATCTGGCCTCAGACGCCTTCTCCAGACAACCCGCTTATTCTGCTACCCCTGTTCACTCTGCTGGATCACTGGCCTTCTTGCTGTTTCTTGAACATAACAAGTACATTTCCACCTCGGGGCCTTGGCACTTGCTTTCCTCTGTTTGGGATGCTCTTCCCCAAAAATGTGCATAACTTGCTGCGTCACTTCATTCAGGTCTCAGCTCAAATGTTACAGAGAGGCCTCCCCTGAGCATCTTCCCTAAGACATCCTACCCACTCCCACCCTCCATCACTTTTATTCCTTGCTCTGCTGTATTTTTTCTCTAAGGGCCTCAATCTCTATTTAATAATAAATGATAGACATTTAAACTTATTTGTCTAGGTCAGGACTGGATGGCCATCCCTAGAACAGACCTGACTCAAAGAAAGCACTTAATACATATTTGCTGGTTGATAAATGAGTAATTACTTTTCCTCTACATGTAATGCCTTTTTTTACTGCAATAGCCTTGATGTTTTCTCTTTATTCTTGATGTGCTATCGTCTCACTACACTGGGTCTAGGTGTAAATTTATTTGTTCTGTTCAGCACTGAGTGCGCATTTTGAATCTAAGCAATGTCTTTCTCTCATTCTGGACAATTCTCAGTCCTTATTTCTGTAATCTTGCTTCTCCTGCACTCCCTCTGTTCTGGAACTCCTACATAACAGTCTGTCAGTCTCTACTCTGTGTTTCGTAACTGCTTGGCATTCTATAGAATGCCAGTTGTCTCCCAGTGTCTATTCCACTTTTTCCTTAGTAATAGAATCTCTAACTTTCAGCTAGGCACATGCCTACTTGGGTTAAAAATGACATTTCTTGGCTGGGCGTGGTGGCTCATGCCTGTAATCCCAGCACTTTGGGAGGCTGAGGTGGGCAGATCATCTGAGGTTAGGAGTTTGAAACCAGCCTGGCCAACATGGTGAAACCCCCTCTCTACTAAAAATACAAAAATTAGCTGGGTGTGGTGGTGGGTGCCTGTAATCCCAGCTACTTGGGAGGCTGAGGCAGGAGAATCACTTGAACCCAGGAAGCGGAGGTTGCAGTGAGCTGAGACTGCGTCACTGCACTCCTGCCTGGGCAACAAGAGTAAAACTCTGTCTCAAAAAAAAAAAAAATTTCTGAGTCTTCCACTTAGCTACATTCGGGCATATAACTGAGTTCTGAACAATGAGTATAAGCAGGAGTCTTGTGGAACCTCCTTGTAATGTCTTTTAAGCAGGGGAGTGTGCTATTCTTTGTGCCTTCTTCCTGCTATCTGAAAAATACACGAGGTGGCTGGAGTTGGTGCAGCCATCTTGGACTATAGGGTAGAAGTCAGATAGAAGGAGCCTGGGTTTTGATGGCTTTTATGAGACTGCCCTCTTAGCTTTTTTTTTTTTTTTTTTTTTTGAGACGGAGTCTCACTCTGTCCCCAAGGCTGGAGTGCAGTGGTGCCGTCTCGGCTCACTGCAGGCTCCGCCTCCTGGGTTCACACCATTCTCCTGCCTCAGCCTCCCAAGTAGCTGGGATTACAGGGGCCCGCCACCGCGCCCGGCTAATTTTTTGTATTTTTTTTTTTTTAGTAGAGACAGGGTGAACCGTGTTAACCAGGATGGTCTCAATCTCCTGACCTTGTGATCCGCCCACCTCTGCCTCCCAAAGTGCTGGGATTATAGCCGTGAGCCACTGCGCCCGGCCGAAACTGCCCTCTTAGCTTTAAACTTCCTAGTGCTGGACCATTCCATGAGAGAGAAATGGACTTGTATTTTGCTTGAGCCATGGTTATTTTGCTGTCTTAGTTTGGGTATCCCAAAAGCAGGACCCAAGAGAAGGATTTGGATGCTAGTAGTTAATTTGGGAAGTGCAGTGAAGAAGTGGAGATGTGAGGCAAGGAAAGGAGAAAAGCCAGTAAAAGATTTGAACATGAGCAGTTTGCTGCTGGTGGCCAACGGAGGCTCAGCCCTGGTGTGGGGCCTGTGGGAGACTATGTGAAACAGACCACATAGTTGTCCTACCAATGGGAAAGGAAGCTGGAGTATTTATCATGAACTAATAATGCCCCTCTTGGTTGAGGGTCTTTGTTGGAACTAACTCCCCCAGGAGTCCACCTGTCCTTGTGCAAGCTTGAGCATGCTCCTGTGGCCAGAAACACTTAGGCAGAGATGTAGGAAGCTGTCTTCGTGTACAGAGCCCATCTTCAGGTGACTGCTGGGGTCAGCCAAGGGAATGTGGGCTGGGCATTAACAGTGTCTGCAACTTGTCTGCTGTATTCCAACCTCCTCTAACTTCTACAATGCTCTTTCCTATCATTTATCTCTTGTTGCAACGTAGGTGAAATGCACAATTCATTTGCTTCCAAATAATTAATCCTATCTTCTACCATGTCTAATCTAGATTTATTCTTTCTCTCCAGTTTAGTTCAACAACTATGTTTCTCATTCCCAGTGTTTCTAAATGGCTTTATTTAGTTTCTGCTTGTTTTTAATTTATAATTTATTATTCTTTTGTATGTATGGATGTTATTCCTGACTTTATTTGAAGAGTCTAAACATATTTATTTTGAAATTGTTTTCAGATAATTCTATTATTTCACTTTTGTCTGTAGTGGATTCATTCTGCCAATTATTAGTTTTGTTGACTGTCTACATCTGCATTCATTTTCGTCATGTGTTTTGGAATTTTAGTTTGCAGGCTTTTTTAAAGTGGGATTTATTTTTCTGTACATACTCACTCTGCTTAGTGGGTTGATAGCTTCTCCCCACACTCCTGGGACCCTGTCTAGAGCCAGGTTTTAGGCTGCTGACTCAAGGCTTTCATCCTGTAATGGTGGTGGGAATTTCACATGTCCAGTCACTGAACCAGCATCATGAGATTTGGCCCTGGCCTCACAAGGGTCTCATTTAGCCCCTCAGGCAGTGAGGGAGTCAAACTCCTGGCTGCTTCCCCTGCTTCTGGTGCCAGACCCCTGGCTTCCACATTATGTAGCCCCTTGTGTTTCTATTGAAATTCTGATCCACAAAAATGTTGATTCTGATTTTGAGCATGGCTATTCCTGTTTTGAATCTATCTTTTTATATAATTGCTGTGAGTTTGGTGCATGAATTTACAGCACCATCTTGATCTGAAGTTTCTGGACCCTTGAATCTCCCCAGGGAAGACACTCTCTGACTGCAGATAGGATTTTTTTTTTCCCCCAGCATCCAGGCTTGCAGATACAAGAAGGAAAGGAATCTGCCTTTATGGATCCTTCTCTTTTATTCCCCAAGGTGACTCAGGCCCTGGAGGATACAAAGAGCCCCCTGTAAAAAGTGTCTTTAGACCTCTTGGCCTCTAGTCTCCATCACAGGGCTTCCTGCCAACACTCCATCTCAAAGGTCTTCCCTGACGTGGGGCTTTAGGTGTTCACAGCCATATTTGCATTTCAACAAGGGACTCATAAAGATGTTTTCATCTTTAAAATGTACAGGCATGGAATTCAAATCGCGGAGTGACAGGCTGTGTGTGGGGCTGATTGTCTGGGTCAGAGACATCACAACTGGCTGGTGAGGAGAGCTTTCTGACAACAGGAGCTGTCCAACAAGGAGTGGGCTGCTGTCACCGAGGAGCTGAAGCGGCCGACGGCTGACCTTCCACTGGGCACTAGGCAGGGCCTGGATGGAGGGAGTCTTAAAGTAGGAGGGAGAAGCCAAGGAAATAGCTCTCTAGAAGCATTTTGTACACTGAAAAGTGTCATTGAAACGCTGTCACAGTTCTAAGAGGAGACATTGCTCCTCTGAAAACCAGCCTCACTCCCTAAGCTGATGTATTTCCAGAAGCAGGGCCTGAGCTGCCACATGCAGGCCCTGAGGACTTGAGGCACATCGTTCTTTTTTTGGGTCTCATCTGTGAATCAGCCACTCAAACCTAGTGGCTCTCAGCCTGCAAGTTCATTCATGCAATGCAGGGCTTCTCCACTGCTCCCCCAAACCTCCTCAGGCCACCCCTGCGTGTGCACCCACCGATATGGCCTGTTCTGAACAGGTGACCCTCAGCTGCCAGCATCACTGCCCTTCAAAACCTGACTTATCTCTCGTGTTTTACAGTTACCATAGCAGAAAGATTTATCTTCATCTTTTACCATTTAAAAATACTAATGGAATTACTGTTTTTGTCTGTTTCTGTTTTGAAGCCATACGATTTTTCTCTCACTGCCACCACATTTGTGATGGCCTTAAAAATTATTCTTAAAGATAAATATAATTCTAGAAAAACCTTCTCAGGGAAAAATGGGTATTTGTTTCCAACTGTTGTGGGGCTGAAAAACTTTTATAGCATGCTTGGTGGCATATATGGGATTCTAAGGGCCTTTCAGCACCAACCTTCCTTCCTGGTCCCAGCAGGTGAAGGCAGGGCCCTCCCAGGCCAGTGCACCTGTCACAGCCCTTGGCTGGCTCGAGGAAGGAAGGGACTTCACATCTATTGAATGTTGTGTGCTTCACAAGGGCTGTCTCCTTTCATCTGCACAGCAACTCATTGTACAGATGAGGAATTTGGGCCCGGAGAGGTGAGGTGACCCACCCAAAGTCACACAGCCAGGAAGAAGCAGAGTGCACTTCCCTCTCAATCACACTCTCCAAATCCTCCAGTTGGTTCCTGTTCAGCCTTCTGAACAGGGTGGATTTTTGCTTAAGACTTTCTATATGGATTATAACCCTTAAATTATGATATTTTGTCATAACTATTTTAGCTTTCATCTGTGTGGTACTTAACATTTTAGCATAACTTTTTGACTATAAGAAAAGTACACGATCTATTTTTTGTAACTTTTTTGGGGGGTGACTTTTAGTTTAAAATTATTATAAGTTCACAAGAGGTTGCAAAAATGGTATACAGAGAGGTCCCATGACATTCACTCAGTTTCCCCCAATGGTACCATATCAAAATCAGGAAAGTGACATTGGTAACTTGTGTGTGTATAGTTCATTGTCATTTTATCCCATGGATAGATTCATGTAACCACACTGCAATCAAGATATAGAACTGTTCCATCACCACAAAGGTTTTCTTCATGTTACCCTTTTTAATCATAGCCACCCCCTTCCCTCTCACCATCCCTAACCCCTGGCAACCACTAATCTGCTCCCCATTTCTACAATTCTGTCATTCCTAGAATGTCATATACATGGACTCATACTGTATGTAACCTTTTGAGACTGATGTTTTTCACTCAGCGTAATGCCCTTGAGATCCATCCAAGGTGTCCTGTGTATCCATAGTTCATTCTTTTTTATTGTTAAGTAGTATTCCATGGGTGATCTGTTTTTTGAACACTTGGAAACACAGAGAATATTTTTTAAAAATAGAAAAAAATCAAAACAAACTCAAACCTCCAGTTAGGAGGAGGGAAGTCTCCTGGTTTCCTTCTTGCTCATGTCCGAAGTGGCTTAGGCCCTGGGCTGACACTTTGAAGACCCAGGTGCAAAGACAGGAGAGAAAGACAGGGAGAAGACAAAGCCATTTGCCCCAAGCCTCTCTGCTCCCAATCTTCTCCTCGGTGGGACTCCATCTGGCTGCTGCGGACTCTCTGTTTGCATCTGTCTCTTTCCGTTTTTCCCCTCTCTTTCTCCTCACCCTGTGTGTCTCCATCTGTCTCTCTGAGTCAGTCTCTCTCTTTCTCAAACCACAAAACATGGCTAAATGCAATTTCCATTGAGTGCAGAATCTTGTGTCTGTGCTTCATTATTCTGTCTGGATTGGTACATGTTTTCAATTGCATAATTCCCCTCCTTCCTCATTTTCTCCCCAAGACTTTCTCCCACATAATATGAGCATTTGGGGGCCAGCTTTTGACAGTTCTGCTTTTGAATGCTGTGAAAAGTAGAGCGAGTGCCTTTTTCAGTCCTGCACCACCAGGGAAGCGAGGTTGGCAAGTTCCCCCAGGGTTCCTGCCGAGCTTTGTCCCTTAGGCCAGTCTTTGGGAGGAGTGTCCCTCTGCCAGCATTCTCAAAGCCAAGGCTCTCCCTGCAACACCTGCCTTGGGGGAGGGTTCAAAGAGCATTTTGATGGCCTGCTCAAGACCTTCCACCCACATGGGTGACCACGGCATCAGATCCAAACTTCCCTCTCTGGCTGTTCACACCCTTAAACATCTGGACTGACCCTATTCATTTATTTCTTCATTTTTATGTAACTGGGCAGTATAACTTCTTGCCCTAACAGCCATTGCAGTTTTGAAATGGGGTTAATAGAAAGTGATCTAAATATTCAACAAGAAGAGAATGATTAAATGTATTATAGGATGTCCCACATGACCAGACATTACAAAATCATTAGAAATCATGGTTTGGACAGTTTTCAGAGTGGGAAAATACTCATGATATATGGTACTGTTAGAACCCTGATGATATAAAAATACATAGGCATTGAAAAATGGCTTAGAGAAAAGGACCAAAGTGTTAGCTCTTATTTTTGAATAGTGGGATTGCAGATGACTTTTTAAATTTTTCTTAATGTTCACAATAAGCATGTTTTATCTTTATAATCAGAAAACAAATATGCATTATTAAAACTAAATGAACTCTATTGGACAAAACGTCTTGTCTACAGCCCTTTACTCAAGGGGTGTTATAGGGATTCAGCACCTCTTCTTCCCCATAACTCCATGGGAAGGCAAACCACTGTCCAGGCCCTTTTCCTTGAGCTCAGGCGCCTGCCAGGCGGGTGGAAAGCCATGCTCTGCATTGCAGTTGATGGCTGCCCTGTCCCTGCCCCCCGGCCATATTTTCGAATGTGATTTGCAGAATGGACAGGTCCTGGTTGATGTCCCCGCAACTCTGCACTGCATTTCCAAAGCGGGGTACTGCCTCATCCCGTGAAACAGTGTCCTTGTTTCCCCTCATCAGATGATCCCTGTGGCCCCTGCATTCCCAGCACACACCCAGTGCACAGAGCAGCCACGCATTCTGACCCCTGCCGGGAGCTAGCACAGACACTGGCCTTCCAGACCATGTGCATGGAACCCAGAGCTCCCTGGTTCCAGCCCAATGTACTAGAAAGAGCACAGAGTTCTAGAAGCTTCAACTCTGCCATTAACTCCTGCCTGAGAGAAGAGGACCAACAATCCTATTTGCCATATGGAAAGTTACATATAGTGTGTAGGACACATTTTTTTTTTTTCAAATGGATTTTTGAGCCAGTTCTGAATACAAGCAGCAGTTAACAGTTCAGCTGCTTCAATAATGGTTTGGGGTTGGGCCCTGTGTGCCTTGGGCACCTTGGGCAAGTTTTCCCCCTCTCTGTGCCTCTGTTTCCTCATCTGAAAAACAGAAGTAATAATATTACCTACTTCATAGGATCATCATAAGGATTAAACAAACTGGTTCATGTGAAGTCTTGGTGAAGTGCCTGTCTGAAGTAGCCCACAGTCAATGTTAGCTACTATTGTTTTTATTCCGAGATGCAGGATATTTGACATTAGGGCTCTCCCAGAAAAACCCAGATGTAAGTCTCTGTGATGAATGCCAAATGAGGATTACCAATTAAAAGCCCTGCCTCAAGTCTGTTCCCGAGTGAGGTAGGAGGTATAAAGAAACGCAGGCTGCTGTGTGAGGGGATCGGGGGGTGAACATGGTGAACATGGGAGGGCTGCTCAGAGGGAGCACCCTGTGCTTGGCCTCTGTGGAGACAAAAGTGACTCCATCTTGGATGCTAATCCTCCATGTTGACTTCTGATTAGCTCCAGTCCTGTGAATGCCCCCGATTCCCGTTTTATTTACTGTCCTTTGTGTAAGAAAGTCAACCTTGATGTTATCATACAAATTATAAGCTATCACACATACAGCATCTCACCTGTTTTAGAGGGCTGCCTTTAATAGTCTTGCTGAAGCACGTATACCCTTTTCCTGTGGTATAGAAGCTCTGGGTCTGGGGGGTTGCTGGGTGGAGATCCACCTATCTTGTGGCCATCCAAGACCATGCTTCTGTCTATAAGTTCCCATAATCAATTTCACAGTACCGACAAACTGAATCTGTCTGCCGCCTTTGGTTTCTTGGCTCCTTCAGTATTTGAGGCTGCTTTTCATATACGGCCCTTTCACGGAACAGCTTTGAAGGAGGAGAGTAGGCAAAGAAAGGGGCTTGGCTGGGAAGGACAGGAGAACCCCTGGAGCAGAGGGGGCTGTGGCAGGCTTCCTCGGAAATTGTGGAATTCCGGCTGGGGCAGGGGCCCGTGGGTGGGATTGGGACAAGGGATATTTTTGAATCCATACCTGTGATGTCTACCCTTTTCCCAATGGTATCTTTTTACAACCACCTTGCACAGCAGGCTTATTTATAAATGAGGAAGTGAAGGCTCAGACTGGGCAGTGGCTTGCTCAGCACTCTGCACCTGAGAGGGAGGGAGCTGAGGTTTGAATCCAGAGTCAGGGAGCCCACTTAAGGCCTGTGTTACTGCCTTCCCCAGGGCCACGGAAACCTCTGCTCCAGGAATGGGGTAGGGAGGACAAGGCCTCAGAGGGAACATCTCGCTGCAGGGAAGAGGGAGCGGCTGAGGGAAGCCCGGCCCCAGGTGTGGGAGAGACACTGGGCAGCCACGTGGGGAAAGAGCAGAAAGTAGGTCAGTCACACAGGAGACGGAGCATGAAATTAATGAGCGTGCGGGAGCTGGAGTAGTCACCTTCAGGGAAGGCAGAGAGAGGAATGCAGTGCCTTTGGGAGAGGTGGTGGGGCCCCCCCGGAGGGTTTGGTGCAGGTGAGAGAAGCAGGATTGTGTTTTGGTGTTTTCTCTCCTTGCCCCCAGCATTGGGAGGATGTCTGTGGGGCAGGATGGGGAGATGATGGGAGAGTATAAGGGGTAGAGACTGGCAAGAGGTACTGACAGAAGCTCTATGAGGGCAAGGATCTTGTTTATTTTCTTAATGCTGACTGATTCTTGCTGCCTAGGCCAGTGCCTGGCATATCACGGGCAGATTTGAATGAATACATGATTAGAGACAGCTCTGCTATGGACGTTATTGTGTTATTGTGTGAACTGAGGAAGTAAAGCTTTTGTTCCTTATTTTTACCAAGGAGCACCAGCTGAATTCAGTAGCCTTTGCAGAGTCCCTGCCATGTGCTAGCCTGAGCTAGGTGCAGGGGAGACGGGAAGATGTAAGGTAGAGCCCTTTCCCTTACAGAGCTCACCATCCACAGGAAAGACAGGTTTGCACATGACTGTGACATCATGTGCTGAGCACATAAATGGATGGATAGTGGGGATGCAGAGAAGGGGCAGTTTTGTTGGGGGTGTGGAAGGTTTGAAGGTTGAGGACAGGGCTACATTATGATTTTCTTGCATCCTAAATCATTTTAACTTTGTGGACCCTTTCCTACACATACACACACACACACACACACAGACACGCACACACACACATCCCTAAAAAGTATATTTACAACCTCCTTGGTTTAGAAAAAATATATCAATATTACATTTTTTTTTGAGACAGAGTCTTGCTCTGTCACCCAGGCTGGAGTGCAGTGACTCAATATTGGCTCACTGCAACCTCTGCCTCCGAGGTTAAAGGGATTCTCCTGCCTCAGCCTCCCAAGTAGCTGGGATTACAGGTGTGCACCACCACACCTGGCTAATTTTTGCATTTTTAGTAGAGAAGGGTTTTGCCATGTTGATCAGGCTGGTTTCGAACTCCTGGCCTCAAGTGATCCACCTGCCTTGGCATCCCAAAGTGCTGGGATTACAGTCATGAGTCACCATGCCCAGCCTAATATTACATATTAAAACATGTTTTTTGACCTAAAATTTTTTTTTTCCTCTAATTTTAAAAGAAATTAAAATATTTCTGTGGACCCCTAACAGTGTTGTTGACCCCAGGCACTGGCCTAACATATAAGTTGGTCTGGGTGAGAAGGAATGTGTATGGCCAACAAGATGGAGACAGGTATTCCCGGGTAAAGAGAGTAGTGTGTAGACACAGAGGTGCGAGGTGCCAGAAAATTCTAGGAACAGCAAATTGTCCTGGTGAGGGGACAGTAGGTATTTGAAGAGACTGGCAGGAGATGGAATAGGAATATCGGATGGAGACACATGACTTTGAATGCCCTGCTTGGCACATCCTTTCACTAAGGGTTTTTGCCTCTATCAGGGCCTCTGGAACAGGGTTCAAAGGTTGTTGGTGAGAGGGGCAGACTCCTGGACCTCAACTCCAGAAGCTCTGCCAGGAATGTGGTAGGTGTCCCAACTCTAGGGACTCCTCACACTGGCTAGGACATGGTTGGGGGTGAGGGGTGTAAGTGAGAATCCTGGCTGGCTCCCTTTGTCTCTCCACGGTGCAACATGGGGTTCCTTTGGGGTTCCTTTGGGGAGACATCTTCTGGATTGCCTCATTGGGGCTGGTCTCTTGCTGATTGTGGGTGTGGATGTGGGGGTTCCTGCTCCTGGGACATCTCAGTTGGCCGTAGCTTGACTGATGCCATGGTAAGCAGAGATTCTCCAGGAAGTTATCTTCTCCAGCTGGGGCCCCTGAAGCTCTCAGGATTCTCCAACTGCAACCTGCCAGCTTGTCACCTCCAGTAGTAAGATTTTCTTCATGCTGGTTCAGTACTTTGTGAATATTCACAAAAGTCCCAGTGGGGTAGAGCAGGGATTACGCCCCTGGCTTACAGATGAGGAAGAGAAGTGACTCCCAAGAGCACACAGAGTGAGTGCACGGACAGATAAGATTTGAACTCATGTTGGTCTCATTCCAAAGCCCAGCATCACCACTGAGAACAGGTGTGAGTGGGGGCAGAGCTGGGGGCTGTGAACCTAAGGGAGATGTGGCGCCACAGGGAACCCCCTTCTCCTGCAGATGCCCCTGACCTCCAGCCCCAGGGCCATCAGCCCTGCCAATGAGGAGTGTGAGGCCTGCAGGGTAGAGTCAGAGGGTTTAAATCATAGACTCCTAGAGTCAGGACAGACCAAGAGGTCTTCTGACCTGGCCTGTGTCCATCAGCAAACTCTTACAGGTGTCTTTACAGGCGCCACATTGGGCCCTGGGTGTGTAGAAAAGGCTCTGACACTTCTCACCCCTCCAGGGACTCATGGTCCAGAGCATGGCTTCTCTGCTTAGTACTGTTGACACTTTGGCTGCATAATTCCTGGGGGCACTGTGCATTGTAGGATGTGTAGCCGCATCTCTGGCCTCTACCCACTAGATGCCAGTAACATCCCCATAGTTGTGACAACCAAAGATGTCTGCAGACATTGCCAAATAGTCCCTGTCAGATTCCTCTTAGTCGAGAAGCACTGGCTTAGGGAGAGGGGCAAGCCAACATATCCACACAGAGCTGAGCATCCTGCAGCTGGGCAAGACAGGAGGAGCTCTGGGGAATGGGGCCTGCCGGGGGGAAGGCCATTTCCCGATGGATTTGGGATCCAATCTCAGCATCCCTGTTCTTTTCTCCGTGACTTGGCTCCTCTGGTGGAAGCAGCTTCTGCTCTGGGAGGCTAGCCATGCTGCTTTGATCAGTCTGGCATTCTGTGCCCTGGATTCGTCTCTTGGTCTTGCTATGGCAAGAGCTGGTGCCCAGTCAGCTTTCATGCGTGTTAAGAAAGGCTCTGCTTGTTCCTTGGGATAGCCCTCTAAAAGCTGACTGGGTGGCCACTTAAATACTGTGCTTATTCAAAGAACAATACTTCAAGCAAGTGCTTCAGCATAAGTACCTCCAGGTCCCCCACTCCACGGAAGCTGCAGTGTGGGAAGACAGCTCTGCAGCTCTCAGCCTGGAGACTGGGTTCTCCTGGATCTTGCCTTTACAGTGACAAGACCCGGGCAGAAGTCCTTCGATCCACAGAGCTTCCACTTCCTTATCCATGAAGGGCATGGCCATCCCTTCCCTGTCTTCTCACAGTGTCCTGGGGTAACATTTATTATTTCACAGGAAAAGATATTGTAAATGGAAAAGTATCATACATGTTACCTATCTTCTGAGTTTCCAAGTGGCATTGGGGGTCAGAGTTTTTTCTTTCTTTTAAAAATTATTATTTGAATAGTCATTCACACATTTAACAAATGTTTACTGAGCTCCCACTATATGCCAAGAAGTCAGCAATGAGCACATCAAATGGGAGGAGATAATAAATGAGTGAATTACATTCAGTGTAGTAGGTGAGATGGTCACAAAGGCTGAGGGGAAAGAAGCAGTCATGTGGAGGAGGATGGATATTGAAATTTTAGATAGGGAACACCCCTTTGGAAGGTGCTATTTGAGTAAAAACCCAAAGGCAGTGAGGGAGCAGGTTATGCAAGTGTTATTACAGGCAGAGGGAACAGCAAACACCACACCCAGGGTGTTCAGGAACAGTGAGAAGGCCAGTGGTGGGTGGTGGGTGGTGGGAAGGGGACAGGGCAGGAAGTGAGGTTGGTGGGTGGAGAAGGAGGAGAAAGGTTGTCGAGGGGGCAGGGGTAAAGGAAGGCAGGTCATGGTGGGGACTTCGGCTTTTAACCTGGGTTTGGAGGCTTGTGGGGGGTTCTGAGTGGAGAAGAGATGAGACAGTTCCGGCCATGGCATGTAGGACAGACCTATTGACACCAACCATGTGTTTCAGGAGTCACAAAATTTGTTAATAATCCTCCCAAGAACCCAGTAAGAAAGTTAATCCTGCATTGCAGCTAGTTCAGGGACTTGTTCCTGGAGGGGACATAGGGATGGCCCAGCTGTGTCCTTGATAGAGCCAGGACTTGGTCCCCAGTCTGTCGGGCACCCTAAACCCTAAACCTAACCCTAACCCTAACCCTAACCCTAAAAAGCTCCTGGTGTTTCCACTAGGCCACTTCACTGCCTGTTGTCAGACCTGTCCCATCCTAAATCCTTATTGAAGCAAACGAAAAAGTCTCTCTGTGATTTAAGATGACCTCTGTCCTACCAAAGAGTTATTGTTGAAGACTTGCCTCTTTTTAAAAAACTATTTAAAAAATTTTATAGAGACAGAGGTCTCACTATGTTGCCCAGACTGGTTTCAAACTCCTGACCTCAAGCAATCCTCCTGCCTCAGCCTCCCAAAGTGCTGGGATGACAGGAGTGAGCCACTGCACCCAGCCTTTCTCAGAGATGGAGTCTTGCTCTGTCGCCCAGGCTGGAGTGCAGTGGTGCGATCTCCGCTCACTGCAACCTCTGCCTCCTGGGCTCAAGTGATCCTCCTGCCTCAGCCTCCTGAGTAGCTGGGATTACAGGTGCCTGCCACCACGCCTGGCTAATTTTTGTATTTTTAGTAGAGATGGGGTTTCACCATCTTGATCAGGTTGGTCTCGAACTCCTGACCTGAGGTGATCTGCCCGCCTTGGCCTCCCAAAGTGCTGGGATGACAGGTGTAGGCCATCGTGCCCGGCCTTTACTAATCTCTTACGTGTCAACTGTCACTCCACCCAGATGTTCACTTGGACTGGAGGTTGGTATGGGAGGTAGAAAAAGCTTGCTGGAATCAGGAGGCCTGAGCTCTGGTTTGGACTCTAACACATCATTGCTGCTTCACCTTTTCAGTTTCTCTGTCTTCAAAATCCCCTGCTCTGCCCGCCCTTCTCAAGGTGACAGTGAGGACCCCGAGGCAGAGGAGGGTTGGGAGAGCTCTGGGAGGAGAGGGGAACCCTGGATCGCACCTTCCTCCTCTACCAGGCTGCAGTGGGGGCTGAGTGCCCCTAGGTGGTGCAGTTTTCCCAGGCTGAGCTCCCAGCAGCTGCTGCCAAAGGGGGCTGGAAGATCTGGGGGAGACAGAGGGGCAAAAGTGATACCGAAGCCCAATAAAGTGGAAGTTTGAGGTAAAAGCCTGCACTGAGGATTCCTGCTGCTCCTCCGATGGGCACTATGGGGATTAGTGATGCAGGGCCCTCTGGCTGCCCTGGCCACCAGATTCTGCTGTGGGATGTTGGCTGCAGTCCCTGGAGTTGTGGTATGAAGGCCAGGGGTGTATACAGTGTAGCGCCCACTCTTTCACAGATGAGGAAGTGGAAGGCTAGAGAGTGGGGGGCTTGCCCAGTCACCGTGGGGGCAGGGATAGCTGCTGTGGAGCTGGGCTGTCTGCGGAGGAGTTGCTCCCTGGCAGGACCCTCTGTAGACAGCATGTAGTGCCGCAGCTTTGATTTTGGTCAATTTCTCCTAGCTGGTGGCCCACCCCTCTCTGGCATCTCCTTTTGGGCTTGCCCTCCTTCCCGCTCCGTGGACACTCTCAGGAAAGGCCAAAGGAGCAGTCATTTGCTTCTCATATAAAGAGCTGTGTCCCAGGGCAGTGGAAGAACGCCGCGCAAGGGTCAGGAGACGTGGGTGTTCGGAGGCTCTGTCGCTACATAGGGCCCATGGCTCTTCTCTCTCTGGCCTTGCTTCCCTTATCTGTAAAGTGGGGTGGGCAGGAAAGAGAAGGTTGGAGAAGGAGAGGGCTGGGCTGGATAGCCCCAAGGTCACTTTCTAGCGTGGACATTCTGAGTAGCACTTGAAGCTTCCCTTCTGTTCATCAGGGGACAGGTGGGGGAAGGAAAGGCTTCAGTTCTCTCATTTAAAAAACACAAGGGAGTGGACGAGATGATGTGTCATTCTGGCTCTGACATCCGGCTCAGCGAAACTGAGAGGCAGTCATCAAGGCCAGAACCAGCCCCTTGGAGCTGCCCACACTTGATGGCACCTGTCTTGGGAGGTGCAGACCTGCTTCCCTCAAGGTGGACCGGCATGCCCCCCAGCGAGACCGGCCTCCTTCCGAGCTGGCTCCTGAGCCACTGCAGAAGTTCTTCCTCCCCTGTAGAGCTGAAGCCCATCTGCACATCCAAAGGGTGTTCCTTCCCGGGCTTCATTACTAACAGGCTGCCTCCCTGGCCAGATGAGCCTCTCGGGGACCTTGGGCTCTTTCCAAAATCAAATCTTCCTTCAAAGAAAGTAAGAGATTGGTCACCATGGAGGAAATTCAGAGAATGACAGCTGGAGGATTGAGGGGAAGGGGAGAGAACACCCACTTATTGTCAGCCAGCCATGCGATAGGCACCACTCAGTCCCCTTCCTGTATATTAACTCAGTTCATCCTATCAACCAGGAATTTATTATGATCATCCCCTGTTTGCAGATAAAGAACCACTGAGGATATGAGTTATTCTTCCTACAGTTGTACAGCTTGTGAACAGTAGAGCTGGGGTCCGAGCCAGGTCTCTGACTCTGCAGCCTACCCTTGTCCTGCTTGAACACACTGAGGAAGACAGGAATAACAGGACATGGGTCAGAAGGCTTGGCTTCTGCTCCAGCTTTGAAGTTGAAGGATTAGGTGACAGCTAACACTTGATAGTATTTTATGGTTTCAAAGTGATAACCATGTAATATTTTAATTGATTCTCAGCCCATTTTGTAGATGAGGAAACTGAGGCTCACAGATCTGATGACTTCCTAATTGTGGCAAACTACCAGCTACACAGTAGCTGGGCTGGCTTCGAACCAGGTCTTTTGACCCCAGAGTCTGTGCAGCTCACAAATAAAGCTGATTCTTTGACAAGTTAAGCCTCTTCTCTTGGATTCATTTTTCCAGTCTGTGAAAATGAGGGATTGGATTAGATTAGTAGGCAATCACTAGTTCCCAGGCCCTTTTATTTAAAGAAAAAAAGGAGAACCCATAGAGTCTGGCAACTTAAACTTTTGCTAAGTATGAACACTTAAAAAAAAAAAGAACATTTTGTCTTCAAAAAGCTAGGGGGATATTATCTCAGTGTAGTGGGGAGAAAAAAAATAGTAACTGAGAACACAATTCCTCTTAGGAATTAAGTGAGCTGTGTTTAGCATAACACTTTGATGAACCATTGTGGTTGTACCAAACTGCTCTCTGGGTCTGGCTGGAGCGGGCCAGAAGGGAAATGGAACTAGAATAATTCTCTGCAAAAGAATTGATTTGCAGTGGGGATTTGGAAGGCTGAGCAAGCTAGTGACATGAAGAGGAGATGCTGAAGGAAAGTCCAGATCCAGGGCAGGGATGAGAGTCCCAGAGACGAGCAGCAAATGTTCTTCAGGTGGGAGGCAGAGAATGAGCAAAGGGCCCTAGGGAGAGGAAGGTCTGGTATTCCATTTCCACAGGGAGGTGTCTGCTTTCCTGGTGTCAGTCAACCTGTGGATACTCTGGCTCTCTTGTCAAAGTGCCCTTGCACAGTGCAGGAGCTTAGTGAATGCAACCTTGGCAGTGTAAGTTTAGGGAGCCCTTGGTTAGGAATCATCCAGATCTGGCAGACCCGAGTTTGAGGCCCATCTCCATCATTTGGAAGTTCTATGAACTCTTTAATCTTCAGTTTCCTTCTCTGAAATGGATATAACACTCCGCACCTAGAAGGCTGATACAAGAAATAAGTGCGACCATGGACTTAGTACTTGGTGCTCAAGCCTTCAGTAAACAGCTACTTAGCTGCCTGTTACTATTAATCATGGTTATTTGGATATTCACAATTTTACTTACTGTGGCAAGCTTGTAGGAGGTTTTTGTTCTGTTTGGGAAGCGGGGTGGCTTTTGCTGCTGTTAATTCAGTGCAGGATCGGGCAGGAGTATCATCTGGAAGGGAAGGGAAATGGGTGGGGTACTAAATTCAACACCCTCAGCCCTTTCAACACTGCCAACACCAACCTCAGCCCTTTCTATGTTTTCAAGGCTGAGCACTGTCTACATCTGAGAATCTGCTTCCTTGGAAATGACAGCATATCCTTCCAGGGCTAAGCTCAGAGGGCAGATCTCCTGCCAAGGACAAGCTGAGGGCCAGTGGGGTGGGGGAAGACACAGGGAAGAGGAGGGAGAGTGAGTAGGAGGAGGTGTGAAGAGGAAGGAAAAGTGCTTCCAGGAACTGACAATCACTCACAGAAGCAGAGGGAGGTGCGTGTGTGCATGCACATATTTGCACCCACATAAATATGTAATCACAAGCATGCATCAGGTAGCAGGTGCATGCGACGTGTATGTGTAGGTGTGACTGTGTGTGACTGAGTGTGCGAGCCTGTCCATGTATAAGCATGTCAGTGTGTGACTCTGCCTGTAAGCGGTTGGCTCTGTGTGTGTGTTTTTGAGAAGTTCATATGTACATGTACCTCAGGTAAGCTTGGGCGTGCTGGACTGGAGTGTGGGGTTGGCTCTGTGACTCTCTGAGTGACAGTGAGAGGAGGCTTCTGTCCTGTAAGAGTATCTTGGCAGCACTCAGGGTGTATGTGTGCCCCTAATGCATGTGGGATGTCTAAAAGCAGGGACCTTCTACAGCTTCTTTGGGGAGACCCAGACCCCTCACCCCACCCCACAGCAAACTATGTCTCCCTTCCAGGTCCATACCAGCCCCACCACTGACACCTCCTGCTGGCTGCTGGCCTGGACAGTGGGGTGGGGAGGAGAAAGGGAGGAATGGAAGGAGTGAGAGGAGTGACCAGCCTCCTAGCCCCAACCCTTGGTGCTGCCAGGGAAACATCCTCCTCCCACCCCCCATCCCCCAATCACCGTGATTCCTGCTGTGAGGGAGATAGGAACCCTCCGTTTCCATGGCAACATAGCAGCCCTGCTTCTCAGCCTGAGCCCAGGCTCCTCTGAGCCATGGAAGTAGTGGGAAGAAAGCCCCTCCTCAGGTTTTTGAGCCCCCACCAAGTGCCCTCACCTGTATACTCCCTACCCCTACCCCAAATATCCCCCACGCTTCTGTAATATTCATGACCCTGCTGGGACTCCTGAGCGCACACCCACCACTGCCTCCACTCCCAGGGTCTGGGGACTGGTCTTGTAGGCAGGAAAGACCACATGTGAGTTTGAGCCCTGGAGAGTGGCAGGATGGAGTTGAATTCCAGTCTTCACCTGTAAAATGGTACTAACATTACTACCTCTCAGGGTTCTTGTGAGAGGCAAATAAGACGGTGCTGTGGAGGTGCTTTGTAAATTCAGGGTACGGGATGGGTGGGTGTGTCATGCACTGATGAAATGTAAATTGACTCTGCTTCTTTGAAGGGGCAACCCTCCCTCATGACTTCACTTCCGGTTCTCTCCCATAGAAACACACATGTGCTCAGAGAGGCTCACATGGGATTATTTGTTGCAGGCTGCTCTGAAATAGTGAAACTTGGAAACAACCCCAATGCCCACCAATGGAGAAGCAGTTAAAAGAGTCATGGTGCATCCATAGACCTACAGCTCTTAAAAAAGGCATCTATGTGTGCTGATGGGGCACACGCACTAAGACACGTTTCTAAGTGAAAAAAATCAAGTTGAAGAATAGATACAGTATGATCCTATCTATTAGGCATGGTTTTTAGCATGTGAGTACATGTATGGTCAGGCCAGACTGTTGGCAGTGGGAATGGGACTGGGGAGCAAGGCAGTGAAGGGGAACTTTGATTTTTTTCTTCTATGTGTCTGTCATCTGCTTGCTTATATAGCAAATGTAATTGAAAAGTTCTGGCCAGGCATGGTGGCTCACACTTTTAATCCCAGCACTCTGGGATGCTGAGGCAGGTGGATCATTTGAGGCCGGGAGTTCAAGACCAGCCTGGCCAACATGGCGAAAACCCATCTGTACTAAAAATATAAAAATTAGCCGGGCGTGATGGCACGAACCTGTACTCCCGGCTACTTGTGAGGTTGAGGCACGAGAATTGCTTGAGCTGGAGAGGCAGAGGTTGCAGTGAGCTGAGATAGCACCATTGCACTCCAGCCTGGATGACAGAGTGAGGCTCTATAAAAACAAACAAACAGACAAAACTTCTGTGTCACTATTGTTATAGTTGATGAGAGAAAACATACAGGAGACAATCGGAGAACAGGGCAAGAGAGTATAGAATCTAGTACCAGAAAAGCTTGGAGGAGAGAGGGGGAAAGTCAAGAGAGCTTCCAGGAGGAGGAGAAAGGTGAGCTAGATCTCAGAGGATGAGGAGAACTCAGAGACTTGAAGCACAGAGGAGGGCAGTCCAAACAAAAGTGAAAACTTGGAAGTGAGGAAGTGCGCTCCAGGCAGGGAGGCTTGGAGGTAGAAGAAAGAGCAGAGGTCTTGGCATCAGATGCCTAGGGGCTGATTCCCATCTTGGCCACATCCTGAAGCTACAGTTCTGGGTAAATCACTTGCATTGTCAGTGTCCTCATCTGGAAATGGGATAATAGTGCATATCTCACTAGATGGTTGTGAAGATTGGTTGATGTCGGTATAGAGGAAACCGTAAGATATCATATAGATGTGAATTTACTGTTGTTGGTTTCTCCCAGGGGACAATGAGGCACAGACATGACTATAGTCTACCTATTTGCCAATGCTTGGTGAACGCTAGTCAACCCTTTACCGATCTGGTCAGGTTCAGGCCCACGCTCAAGGTGCTGGGAGATACAGAGCCAGCATGGATTCTTCAGCAAGGGAGGGAAGAGAAGATCTAAAAATGACAAAAACCCTTGATTAGGACCCACATTATGCCAATCATGAGCTGGGTATTTTAATGTATTTATTCAATCTTCTCAGGTACTTTATGAGATGACTGTGCCTATTTTTCAGGTAAGGAAAAAAATTCAGAGAAATTCATTCATTCATTCATTCACCAAATACTCATTGAACAGCTTCCATGGCAGACACCATTCTGGTTGTTGAGTGAAGGAAAATCCCTCCCCTCATGCAGTGTACAGCCAGCCTGATAGGGGAGACAGACAATGAAACTAACAAATCTTTGAGGTTATGCCAGGTGATAATGAGTGCTTTGAAAACAAAGCTGAGAGCATGACGAGGTGGTAGGACAGGTCACTCTGACTTTTTTTTTTTTTTGAGATGAAGTTTTGCTCTTGTTGCCCAGGCTGAGTGCAGTGGCATGATCTTGGCTCACTGCAACCTCTACCTCCTGGGTTCAAGTGATTCTTCTGCCTCAGTCTCCCTAGTAGCTGGGATTGCAGGTGCCCGCCACCACGCCCAGCTAATTTTTATATTTTTAGTAAAGATGGGGTTTCGCCATGTTGGCCAGGCTGGTTTCAAATTCCAGGCCTCAGATGATTTGAGGCCAGGAGTTTGAGACCAGCCTGGCCAACATGGCGAAATCCCATCTCTACTAAAAATATAAAAATTAGCCGTCCTCCCAAAGTGCTGGGATTTCAGGCATGAGCCACTGTGCCCGGCCATGTCACTCTGACGTCTAAGCAGGGAACTGAATGAAGCCCATGTAGACCATCCTGAGCAGAGGCATAGCCTGTGCAGAGGCGCTGGGGTGGGGGCATGCTTGCTGTAATGAGGGCTGGGTTGGGGAAGGAAAGAAGGCAGGTGTGGTAAGAGAGTGGCTGAGGTTGGAGAGAAGTGAGGGATGTGGAGGTGCATATTATATGGGACTTTGGAGGTCAAAGCTAAGACTGTGGATTTAATTCTAAATGGGTTGAGAGGTCATTGGAGGGATTTGACCAGAGGTGTGACACCATTTCAGAGTTAGGTTTTAAAACAATCACTCTGGCCATGGAATGCAGATAAGACTGTAGGGAGCATGCATGGGAGCTGAGGGGTTAATTAGGAAGCTGCTGTACACGTCCAGGTGAGAAGAGAAAGACAGAGCACAGTGGCAGTGTGGAGGTGGTAAACAGCAGTCAGCTTTGAAATATATTTCAAAAACAGAAGCAACAGGGTTTCCTATTGGATTGAACGTGGACTATGAGCTAAAGGGAGGAGTAAAGCATGACTCCATGACTTTGGTCCTGAGCAACTGGGTAAATGTCAGTGCCATTTACTGAGATGGGGAGGATGGTGGAGGAGCAGGTTTGGGGGCAATTAGGATTCACTTTGATTTTGAGATGGCTTTAGACATCTAAACGGAGATGTCAGGTGGGCAGCTGGATGTATGTGATGGAATTTCAGGGGAGATGTCAGGACTGGAGCTATAAATTGGGACATTGTCAGCATATAAATGCTGTGGAAAACCATGGGATAGGATGAAATCGCCCAGGGAGAGCGTGCAGCTGGAGGACAGAAGAGGCTCCTGGGTGCTTTGGCTTTTGTAGGTCTGGAAGATGCATCCTCTTGGGAGACTTGCCTGGCATCTCCCTGGAAAAGATGCTCTCTTCTATCTAGGCAGGGAAGCCTGTGCAGGGCAGGGGTTCTCAGAAACACTCAGGCTTATGGAAACACATATTGCTAATCCCAGCCCCATGGGTCTAGGGAGACCACACTTTTAGGATGACTGGTCCAGCGGGAGAAGGACTTGCAGCGAGACCATAGATTTTGGAGCCAGGTAGAACTGGTTTCCAAACCAGGCTGTCCCACCAATTTGCTATGTGATCTTGGGTGAGAGTGCCTGTCCCTGAGCCTCGGTGTCCTTTTCTGTAAAATGGGAACAATAATACCAATTGCTCAGGGTTATTGTGAAGGTCAAACAAATTAGCATGTTTTCAGCTTTTAGGAACAGTGCATAGACAGGTGCGGATTGGGAAATGTCACATCTATCCTCTGAAGAAGCCCTGGGGCAGGCAGGAGTGACTGGTTTCTGTCCTCTCAGATGGCTCTAGGTTGTCAGCTGGAACCCTGGTGGGGGCAGCTGGGCAGACAGATGTCCCTGTTTTGATGCCTTGTCTCAGGATAGCTCTGAGACTTGAGTCCTGGAGGGAAGTAATGTCCGGCAAGGCTGCCTCACCCCTGGGATCCTGCTGTCCCCTAAGCCCTTCTGCTGCCCACTCTGTCTCTGTCTCCATGTTCCACCACAGGACCCTTCCAGTCCTGGTTCCTGAAGAGCTCCCGATGTCCCTTCATCTCCACCTGTCTCCAGTGACCAGTGACCACTTCCCCTCTTTCGCCCTCACTTCCCCTCTTTCGCCCTCACTCTCCCTCTTTTGCCCTCACTCTCCCTTCCTGGACCTTGTCACTCAGCTTCCCTAGAAAGGGAGTGTGGCCTGACCACAAGAACCTGGCCAGGAGTCAGGCAGATGAGGGTCCAGCTGCCAGGGACAGGAGCAAGCTGTCATCTCCATGGCCCAGCAAAATGGGGGTGATACGTGCCTGCCTGAGGGTCAGTGGGGGCCAGCGGGAGACAGCGTGTGCAAAAGCACTCAATTTCCAGCAGGGATGCGATACATGCTCCTTTCTTTTCCTCCTGTTCTCCACTCTCTCCCCACCACATGCCAAGAGCCTCCCTCTCCCATGGCTGCAGAGCCAGCCCAGGTCTGGATGCGCCAAGAGGAGAGAGGAGGCTGCCTCCACCCTCCCCGCTGTTGCTATTTAATGCCGCTAACAATGGATTCATTAACTGGGATTAATCTCATATACCAGCTCTCTATCCCCTTGGCTATTAATCACTCACTTCATTAACAGGACAGCATTAGCCAACCTGGGAGCCAAGACATGGTGCCCATACCAAGTACCTGTGTCTGCACCTCCTCATCTTTCCTCCTCACTGGTCCATCTTCTCCCTGCCTTTCTGCCTCTGGCCCGGTTCCTGTTGCAATCAGGCAGACACACGTGCCTCTCTCCCCATGTTTGCCACTGTGGCCTTGCTTCTGCCTCTGATGCCTTCTAAGCATCTGTTTCTCTTTTTCCTCCTAGCTGGAGCCTAACACGTAGTAGGGTCTCTTTACAGGCTGGCTGAACAAAGCACTAAGAGATACAAATAAGGAGATGCCAATTCCAGGAGGCTCATTTTTAAAAATTGCCTTTTCTGTTTACAAAGATAATATATGCTCACTGTACAAAATCCAAACAACACAAGAAAGGAAGAAAGGAGAAAATAAAAATTCCCTGAAATCTCCGCCATCACAAGATAATAACCTTTAGCGTTTGGTGAGCATCCTCTCAGATCTTGAGTGATATATATATATAGTTTTACCTAAATGGGATCATACTATGCATGCTGTTTTGCAACCTGCTTTTCCACTCAACAATATGTTGTCGAAATCTTTCCGTATCAGTGAATATAAATATACATCATACTTTTTAATGGTTGCATAGCATTCTGTTTTATGGAAGTAACATAATTTAGTCAATGGATTTCCTATTGAACATTTACATTGTTCCCATTTTTTCACTGATATATTTGACATACAGAACAACATTCTTATATATACATCTCTGTGCATTTGCCTAATTGAGTCCTTAAGATTAATTCCCAGAAGTAAAATTTCTAGGACAAACGATTTGAACAATTGACATTTTGGTATGGAATAGCATAGGAGAGCCACCTGCCTGGATTCAATAACAATTTTGCCATTTCCTAGCAAAAAGATCTTGGGAAAATTATCTTTAACTTCTTGGGCTTCAGTTTCCTCATCTGTAAAATGGGAATAATAACAGGATTTACTTTATGAGATTACTGTTTGGATGAAATAAATTCTTTATATGCAAAGCACTTAGAACAATGCCTGGTATGTCATAAAAGCTATATATATTAGCTATTGCTGTGGGGTCATTGGCCTGCTGGCCTCCAGAAACAATGAACCTTCCCACGTCTCTCCCACCATCAGCAGTGTGGGAGAAAGCCCCCTTTCTTACACCATTGTCAGTTTAAAAAAACTGGGCGCAGTGCCTCACGCCTATTATCCCAGAAATTTGGGAGGCCAAGGTGGGTGGATCACCTAAGGTCATGAGTTCGGGGCCAGCCTGACCAACATAGTGAAACTCCATCTCTACTAAAAATACAAGATTAGTTGGGCGCAGAGGCAGGCACCTGTAATCTCAGCTACTGGGGAAGCTGAGGCAGGAGAATTGCTTGAACTCAGGAGGCGGAGTTTGCAGTGAGCCGAGATCACACCACTGCACTCCAGTTGGGGCGATAGAGTGAGACTCTGTCTCAACAAACAAACAAACAAACAAACAAACAACTTTTGCCCACCTTATAGGTGACAATTGATACATCCTTCCACTTGCATTTTTCATCGATACTGAACTAGGGCATATACTTGGTTCTTAATGGACAAATGGACATTCTTACTTCATCTGTGAGTTGTCTGATCATGTTCTTTGCCCATTTCTCTATTGGAGTATTTGTTTTTTTCTTATTTGTGGGAGCTCTTTCGTAAGTTAAAGATAGTATTCCTAATATTTTTCTACTTCATCCTGACTTTCAACCATATGTATTTTTTGTCCCGCATAAGTACTTGATTTTTATGTAGTTAAGTCTGTAGGGTTTTTTCCCTTACTGCTTTTAGAGTTTGTGCTGGGCTTAGAAAGGCCCATAATACAAATATTCACACTTTGCTTTAGTACTCGTGTGGTTTCACTTTTTATACTATATGTTTTTATCCTTTTGAGTTTATTTTTGTGTAAAGAGTGAAGGACAATTCCAGCTTTATTGTTTTCCAAATGGTTGGTCAGTTATCCTGACAACATTTGATTTTCCATCTTTCCCCCAGTGAGAACCAGAGAGGGAAAAAGGGCAAATCAATACTGTTCCAAGACAGAAAGGGGAGCTAATGGGTCAAAGGGCAATTCTGGACAGTATTCCCCAGAGTCTGTTAGGAGTGAATCCCTGGGGGGATCCCTCTTCACTGTAGTTCTGCTTGCCCTTCATGGGTGGAGGCTGGGGGGTGCTGGGTGGGCTGAACCAGGCCCTGCAGTATTACAAAGCCCCTTTAGGAGCCTCTCATGTGCAAGCCAGTCTTGTTCCCAGATCTCAGAAATTAAGAAGAAAATCTGTCCTTCCCATTTTGAAGTCAATAGCCTTGTAACTTTGGATCTTTGTCCTCTAACCTCACCCCCATTATCCCCCCAGCCACTCATCCAGAGCCTCCATACTAGCACATCAACATATATGTAATCCATCTTGTCTTTCTCACCAATGCTGCTACTTGTCCTGGCAGGGAGCCCCAGAGATGATTTAGGATGCCCCCCCTTGGAAGGCAGCCCAGAGTCACGGCAGCCTGTGTGTATGTTGGAGATGGAGAAAAGGGAAGGCTAGGTGATGGGAACTGCAGCTTCCAGGTTGCCTGTGGAGGAATAAGCCTGGATTCTCACCATCGGTGCCTATGCCCCAGGTTTGGGCTGCTTGAATCCTCTTTGCCAATTTGTTTAAGGCAGCTTGGATTTGACTGTGGTCTAGGCAGAGAGAGGGGTTTGTCCTGGAGTTCTCTGGCCAAGTGCTCAGCACCGAGGATCCTGGAAGACACAGGGTGATGGAAACATCTCTGTGGTCCACTCTGCAGCCTTGCTCTTTCCTGGGAGACCCAGCCCTTATATGACCTCAGATCCCCAAGCCATCCCCAGCTCAGGGACACAGCTTGGCTATGAGGCCAGGAGGACAGGCACAGGCAAGTCCAGAGTCTGTGTCAGGCAAAAGGCCAGGCTGGGCAGTTATCCTGTGGGCACAGAAGGTGAATTATGGCACCAGCACCCATGGAGCAGACACAAATCACAGGGCTGTCAGGAACAGGGGAAAGGCAACGCCCGCCATCCTCCCCAGAAGGATTGATGGATTCAGGTCCTGGGTCTGGGTTCAAAATGATTGGACTTTATGATGTTTCATTTCCCCAGATGCTCCTGGTGAAAAGCTTGTCACCTAGGACTGTATGTGTGAGTGTGTGCATGTATTTATCACCATACATGCCTTGCTGGGACTATGCAGGAGAGTGACTTTCTACAGAGCTCGCTGTATGGTTCTGATTTTATTTTTGTGTGATTGAATTGTGTGAATGTTGTAGGAGTGTGAATTTTGTGTTAAATAGGACTTGGTGTGGCTCTTCACAAGGATGAAACAAGTTTTGTATGTGGCTATACAAGACTGTGTGTGTCTACTGGAGAATGAGTTAGAGATCTTGAGTTGGTGTGTCTGGGTGCTGATGTGGCTACAAATCGAGAAAGGGAAAAGAGGAGTGAAAGCAGATTGGGAAGGACAGTTTTGGTTGCAATGAGTCTGAGGTCTTGGCGGAACATCAAGGGGAGACATCTAGAAAAGTGGGACAGGAGCTCAGGGGACAGTAAAGGGCAGGAGGGCATTGGCTCGGGCTGCCTTCCAAACCCTTTCAGATGACAATGCCTTGGGGTGGTGGTATTTGGCTGGAATGAGGAAAACACACTCATGTGCACACGTGTGTGCACACACGCTTACACTCTTCTTTGAAGACTAAAAGGATACATGCTATAATTTCAGCTGGACAGAGCTCAATAGGAAATTTCCAAGGGTTGCTGGATGCGCCCGAGGGTGAGAGTCAGGGAACTCTTCCTGGCAGTGGTGAATATTCAAGGGAATCTCCTTGGTGCCCTCAGGGAACTTGTTGTCTATACACCTTGCTAGATTGCAGGCTTCTTGAGGTCAAGGAAGGTGTCTATTGTATGGTATGCTCTGCTGGCCTTCCTAAATGGTGCTTGGCAGACATTAGGCATTTGATAAATATTTGTTGAATGTATGAATGAATGACTCCTACAATTAGGGACAGGCTTGGTTCTGAGCTTTGGGCAGGGTTAATGGGTGGGGAGTTGATGAGGAGCCTGGTCTGTTGGAAGCCCCTGATGCTCTCTGAGCACAGAAATGATATGACCACAATGGGCTCAAGGGCAGTAAGGACACCAATGTGCACAGGAGGGGTAAGAAGGTCAGCCGGGACCCCGTGCTCATCATGTAGGCATTAGGTTCCAGCTACAGAACCAGTGTTCAGAGAATTGGCAATGCCGTTATGAAGACATGATAGGTTGAAGTGGTGAGTGTTGGGGGCAATATCTCTGAGTCGTGATGTCAGAGACCTATTGCAAAATAAGGATGGTAATAGCATCTACCTTACAGGGTCACTAAGAAGAGTACACAAAGTGTCCAAAGAACTTAGTCTAGTGTCAAGAGGTGCTCAGTAAGTAATTAAACCTTGGCTTTGCCTTTGCCAGTTTGTTTGTTTGTTTGTTTGTTTGTTTGTTTTGACAGAGTTTTGCTCTTATTGCCCAGGCTGGAGTGCAATGGCATGATCTTGGCTCACTGCAACCTCTGCCTCCAGAGTTCAAGCGATTCTCCTGCCTCAACCTCCTGAGTAGCTGGGATTACAGGCATGCACCACCATGCCTAGCTAATTTTGTATTTTTAACAGGGACGGGGTTTCACCATGTTGGTCAGGCTGGTCTCAAACTCTAACCTCAGGTGATCCACCCGCCTCGGCCTCCCAAAGTGCTGGGATTACAGGTGTGAGCCACTGTGCCCAGCCACCAGGTTCTTAACCTAAGCAATTTACTGTTCCAGTCTCCATCCCAAGGTAATTGTGAATTAATCCTGGTTCTTTCTCATTCCAACAAGAACTCCCAGAGTGCGATACACCAGGGCTATGCTCTCTGCAACTCTTTAACTTTCCTGAGCCTCTATTTTTTTTAATCTAGTTAAATGGGGGTAGCCTCCATTTCTTTATCTAGTTAAATAAAAGGGGGTAGTAACACCCTAAAATGTATTATATTATTTGACCCTCATATCCCCTAGCTGATATGAGGGTCAAATAACACATCTCAGTGTGCTTTAGAAACTGCAAAGGACTGTTAACATGTGAGGAATTACTGTTCCTAATATTTTGTTGGAGTTGGGCTCATTCCTGGGCCTGGCATCTGCTTTGACTTTCTCAGTTCCTGTTTCTTGCCAGTCTCCGTTTTCTCGTAGCCACCCACAATTCTGGCACTGACAGTGTAAGGATATAAGATGATATCCAGGGAGTCTGAATGTAGAAAGAAAAAGAAGGAAAGTGACAACAGCTAGCAGCCCTCTCTCTTGTTCCCAGGCTTACCACCTTTCCAAGTCAGCAGACCCCAAACCCGGGCACCATCCATGTGCCAGTTAGCTATTGCTGCATAACAAACCACTCCAAAACTCAGAGACTTAAAACAACCTTTTATTATCCCTCATGGCTCTTGGGGTTGATTCTAATGGGTAGTTCTACCTTTCGGACCCTTGTAGAATTGTAATCAGAGGGTGGTTGGGGCTGGAGTCCTCTGAAAGCTTGGCTGGACTGGACATTCAAGATGGCTTCTTTCACTCATATGGCTGGTGCCTGGGCTGGAATGGCTGGAACAGATCAGGGCTGGCCAGCTCTCTCTCTCTTTTTCTCCATGCAGCCCCTTTATATGGCTTCTTTGGGCTTTCTCATAGCATAGTGGTCTTGGCATAGTTGGATGTAATGGCAACTAGCTTCTCCCAGAGTGGGCATTCTAGATGACCAAGGTGGACGTTTTATGGCTTCTTCTGACCTAACCTCAGAAGTCACAAGGCCTCACTTCTAATGCATTGTATTAGTTACACACGGTCAACCCCGATTCAATGTGGGAGGGGAATACACAAGGGCATGACTACTGTAAGCCACAGCTCATCGGGGAGCTGTCTTTGGAGACTAGCTAGCAAGATCCTTGTCTGGTAATTGAAACACTGCTCCATGGTGCCCTCTCAGAGGCCAGGGTTTGGGAGGGGGGCAAAGCAGGCAGCAGTGAAGCACTGAGCAGCTAGGACTCCTGGCCCCCAACTTCATTTAATATGTATTTATTATTAATTATTATTTCATATTTTGAAGTTTTACAAAGAATTTAATGTAAATTGAAAGTCCTGAGGCTCATTTTGTCAAAGAGATACAAATGGTAAATAAGAATATGAAAATATGCTCAACAACATTAATCATTAGGGAAATGCAAACTAAAACCTCAATGAGATATCACCACACACCTATTAGAATGGCTAAAGGGATAGTAATTTTTAGAAAACCGATAATATCAAATGTTGTTGAGAATGAGAACCACTAGAAATCACACACATTGATGGTGGGAATGCAAAATGGGGCAGCCGCTTTGGAAAACAGTTTGGCAGTTAAACATACACTTACCATATGATCCAACGAGTCCACTCAGATATTTAGAGAAATGAAAAGATACATCCACACAAAGACCTGTACACAAATGTCCCAGGCAGATGTATTCATAATAGTCCCAAACTGGAAAAAAAAACAAACCGATCCATCAACTCGTGATTGAACAAACCTGTTGTGGTACATCCATACACTATTCCATTTAATACTTCTCAGCAATAAGACAGAATGAACTACTGATACACACATCTGCATGGATGAATAGCAAAGAAACTGAGTCAAAGAAACTGGATTGAAGGCTGTATACTATACAGATCCGTTACGACAATCTCTGGAAGAGGCAAAAGGGCTGTCACAGAAGGCAGATCAGTGGTTGCAGGGCCTGGCAGTGGGCTTAGGTACAAAGGGACACAGGAGAACTTGCTGGGATGACAGAAATGCTCTGTGACTTAACTGTGGTGGTAGTTTCGCAAGTGTTCACATTTGTCAAAATCCGTCAAACTGTCTACCTAAAAAAGGTGAATTTTTCTGAATGTAAATCATACAGTCCTGCAGCTAACAGACTTTGAAAATCCAGACTCCTCTTTCTCCCGCATGTTCCCTTATGCAGAGCAGGGCCTGTCTCTGGCCTCCAGTACTCCTGTGCGCCGCACAGTCCTGCCCTCTACCTTGGAGCCTTTGTGCGCTGCTTCCTCTTCATGGATTCTTTCCCATCTACTCTTCCCTACTGCTAACTCTTTTTTTTTTTTTTTTAAAGACAAGGTCTGGCTCTGTTGCCCAGTCTGGAGTGCAGTGGCACGATCATAGCTCACAGTATCACAGTAGCCTCTAACTCCTGGGCTCAAGCAATCTTCCTGCCTCAGTTTCCTAAGTAGCTGGAACTACAGGTAGGCACAATGATGACCGGCTAATTTATTTTAAATTTTTTGTAGAGACAAGATCTCTCTATGTTTCCCAGGCTGATCTTGAGCTCCTGGCTTCAAACCATCCTCCTGCCTTGGCCTCCCAAAGTGCTGGGATTACAGGCATGAGCCACTGTGCCCACCACTGAACTCTTATTTATCCTTCAGGCTTCAGCTAACTCTCACTTTCCCAAAGTGGCCTTTTGGCCCTTCCAATCTAAATTAGGTGTCTATTTTTACATGCAGATAACACACTTGCTTTTCCTTTCCTCTATTAGAAGGTAAGCTGTGTGCAGACAGGGACAATGCTTTGCTCATCTCTGGCACACAATTAGTTCTTAGTTTCATGAATTAATAAACGTGAGAGGGATATCCACATGTTCCTCTCTAAAGTTCTGTATTGCATGAATTTGTTTATCTACAAGCATGCACTACTTTTTTCATTTTCACTGTTTTAAACCTACTTGTTAAGAATAGAAATAATTCAAAAGTACATAGAATAAAAGATGAAAGTCTTCCCCATACATGTGTAGAAATCTCACTTCTTTTTAATAGCTATGTAATGTTCCAAAGTATGGTTATACCATTTAAAACATTATTTAATCATTAATGGGAGTTTTGGCTTCCCCACCCCCCACCAGTGTTTTAATGTTTTTCTATTTAAAGTACTGCATTATACCTTGGCACATATTATGTGATTGTTGCTGAAGGTTGGATTCTTAGAAAATTCAGCTATTAGGAAATAGGTCATGTGTATTTTAGATGCGGAGTTCATCTGTCTTATTCCAAAAAGATGTATGCAAATACCTATTGTCATTGCAGCAAATGAGAGAGCCCGTGTGGCCAAACTCTCATGAACTTTGCTTTTTTTTTGAGATGGAGTCTCACTCTGTCGCCCAGGCTGGAGTGCGGTGGTGCGATCTCTGCTCACTGCAAGCTCTGCCTCCCAGGTTCACGCCATTCTCCTGCCTCAGCCTCCCGAGTAGCTGGGACTACAGGCACCCACCACCACACCCGGCTAATTTTTTGTATTTTTAGTAGAGACAGG
This sequence comes from Homo sapiens, assembly GCF_000001405.40. NCBI lineage: Eukaryota > Metazoa > Chordata > Mammalia > Primates > Hominidae > Homo > Homo sapiens. The sequence goes on from NC_000001.11 coordinate 41,299,852, forward strand.
GTTTCTCTGTGTTAGCCAAGATGGTCTCGATCTCCTGACCTCGTGATCTGCCCACCTCAGCCTCCCAAAGTGCTGGGATTACAGGCGTGAGCCACCACGCCCTGCCGAACTTTGCTTTCTTTAACCAACTGTGGATAGCATCAACCTTGCCAAGTTTCACCACTCAGCTTAAAATGCTACCTCATCATTTTAATTTCCATTCCCTGCAACTGAGGTTGTACATATTTTCTTTTTTTGTGGGGGAGGGGGGTGGGGGACAAAGTCTCACTCTGTCACCTAGACTGGAGTGCAATGTCATGATCACGGCTCACTGCAACCTCCGTCTCCTGGGTTCAAGGGATCCTCCCACCTCAGCTTCCCAAGTAGGTGGGGCTACAGGCGCATGCCACCACGCCTGGTTAATTTTTGTACTTTCAGTAGAGACTAGATTTCACCATGTTGGTCAGGTTGGTTTTGAACTCCTGACCTCAAGTGATCCGTCCACCTTGGCCTCCCAAAGTGCTGGGATTAGGTTGTGCATATTTTCATATGATTATTAGCTATTTGTGTGTCTTGTGCTGTGAATTCCTGGTTATACTCTTTGCCCATTTTTATTTTTTGCTTTATTGATTTGTAGTAACTCCTTATGTATGTATGACATGGAAATAATTCATTGGAAAGTTATAAATAACGTTTAGGGGTGATGGGTATGCTCATTCTTTATTGTAGTGACGGTTTCACAGGTGTATACTTATGTCAAAACTCATCAAGTTGTACACTTTAAATATGTGAAGCTTATTGTATGTCAATCATATCTCAAAGCTGTTTAAAAAGAAAAGTTACAAAATTTGTAATATAAATATTGCCTCCCAGATGTCCTTTTTCTTTAGACTTCACTAACTTTTTTCTGTCTATAAAAGTTTTATAGTTACATGTCAATTATTTATATTTTGTTCTGGAGTTATCTTAGCTCTGTGACTTTGGCAAGTTACCTAACCTCCCTGTGCTTCAGTTTTCTTACATAAAACAAGGATAAGAGTACTTACTGCATAGGGTTGTTGTGAGGATTAAATGAATTAATACACATTAGAAGTTCTTAGAATGGTAATCACCACAGGACATGGTGCAATAAATACTAACTATTACCATTTTCTGTGATCTCAGATCTATCTTACTTAGGAAAACGTTCTCTGCCTCACTATTATAAGATATTTTCCTTTATTTTCTTCTGGTAATTTTATAGTTTCTAATGTTTAGTTCTTTTAGTCCATTTAAAAGTTACTCTTGTAGATTGTGTGAGAAACAAGTAAAATTGTGTTATTTTCCCAGTGGAGAGACACTTGTTCAAATACTATTTATGGCATAATCCATCATTTCTGCACTACTTTGAAACATCATCTCATTTAAATTATGCATGTCTATGTACAAGATGATTCCTACGTACAGATGTGTCATTTGCTGTGTATGTTCATTCCTCTGCTAATGCTTTCTACCGGTAAATTGGAAGAGCTTCTCTCCAATTGTAATTCTGCCATAATTATTGGTAATTTCAACATTCAAATAGACAATTTTCTGGTACCTTGGTGCTATGGTTTGAATGTTTGTGTCCCCTCCAAAATTCATAGGTTGAAACTTAATCCCCAATGTGATAGTGTTGGGAGGTGGGGCCTTTAAGAGGTAATTAAGTTAAGAGGGCAGAGCCCTCATGAATGGATTAATGCCATTATAAAAAAAGGCTTGAAAAAGTGGGTTCACTCTCTCTTATCCTCTAGCCTTCCACCACGTGATGACACAAGAAGGTCCTTGTACGATGTTGGCACCTTGATCTTGGACTTCCCATCCTCCAGAACAGTGAGCTAATACGTTTTCTTTTTTTTTTTTTTTTTGAGGTGGAGTCTGACTCCATCACCCAGGATGAAGTGTAGTGGCACCATCTTGGCTCACTGCAACCTCCGCCTCCCAGGTTCAAGCGATTCTCATGCCTCCCTCCTGGGTAGTTGGGATTACAGGCATGTGCCACCATGCCTGGCTATTTTTTGTATTTTTAGTAGAGACGGGGTTTCACCATGTTAGCCAGGCTGGTCTTGAACTCCCTGGTCTCAAGTGATCTGCCCGCCTTGGCCTCCCAAAGTGTTGGGATTACAGGTATGAGCCACTGCATGCAGCTAAATTTCTGTTCATTATAAATTACTCAGTCCCAGGTATTCTGTTATAGCAGCACAAAACAGACTGAGACACTTGATCTCTTGGTTCCTTGACTTCCTCTTTCACTACTGGTCCTCCACCCTGCTTCATCCACTCAAGGCCATCATTTTGCTATAGACCTGATCATGACCAATAGCTCTGACATCGCTATAACCTCAATGTAAGCAATTTACCTCTTAGATTGCCACCTCTAATTTTTCCAGCTCATTCCTCTTTTTCTACTCTGACAATTATTCAACCCACCAGGACCTATAATCTAATGACCTTTCTATATTTTCATTGCCCTTATATTCCACTCTAACCAGCTTATGTTCTATGGTTCATCATTGTCATTCCCTTGCACACTTCCTCAACTCTTGTGCCCTTGACCTACTTCTTCATATCACTTGGGCAACTCTCGACCATAGTTAACTCCAATTGTCCATATGCTCCCTGCTTTTCCTGTGCAACTGAATGAGTTTGGAGAAAAGCACAAGACAGGCTGACTAGTCTCATCTTATATTCATGGGCACTAAGCTCAAGTGGACCCTTGTGGTTGCAGGTAAAGCCCGTAATCCATTGACCCTCCTGTCCCATTTAACACTTTCTTATCTCTCCTCAAAAGACTTGAACAACCACTTCATAAAATAAAATATCCAAACAGCCATGAACTGTAGGAAAATATGCTCAACCTTATTGGTCATCAAGGGAATGAAAATCAAAACCGTGGTGTGGCACCATGACACAATCATCAGAATGGCCAAAATTTAAAAGGCTTATGACAGTACCAGGTGGGTAGGGAACAACTGGATTGCCCTTCTGTAGGAGTGGAAATTGGTACAAAACTTTTTTGGTGCAACAAGTAATTGTGGTTTCGAACCGTGAATTTTAAATCATTGTAACTAGACTCAAACACATTTTTATTAATCAAAATAGGAACCATTGCAATCAACACATTTTTGCCAAAGAGAAATAAATTTAATCCTGTAGCATAAAAATCTGTCCTTTGGAATTTGACAAACTCTTGGAAAGCATTTTCTGCATCCTGCTCATTGTGGATTGTCTTCCCTGCAAAACGTTGTTGAGATGTTTGAAGAAGTGGTAGTTGGTTGGTGAGAGGTCAGGTGAATGTGGCAGATGAGGCAAAATTTTGTAGTACAATTCGTTCAACTTTTGAAGCGTTGGTTGTGCAATGTGTGGTCGGGCATTGTTGTGGAGAAGAATTGGGCCCTCTCTGTTGACTAATGCCGGCTGTAGGCATTGCAGTTTTCAGTGTATATCATCACTTTGCTGAGCATACTTCACACATGTAATGGTTTCGCTGGGATTCAGAACTCTAAAGTGGATTAGACCAGACCAGCAGTAGACCACCAAACAGTGACCATAACCTTTTTTTGGTGCGAGTTTGGCTTTGGGAACTGTTTTGGAGTTTCTTCTTGGTCCAACCATTGAGCTGGTCGTCGCCGGCTGTTGTATAAAATCCACTTTTAGTGGCATGTCACAATCTGATCGAGAAATGGTTCATTGTTGCATAGAATAAGAGAAGACAACACTTCAAAATGACAATTTTTTTGATTTTCGCTTAGCTCATGAGGCACCCACTTATTGAGCTTTTTCACCTTTCCAACTTACTTCAAATGCTGAACGACCGTAGAATGGTTGACACTGAGTTCTTCAGCAACTTCTCTTGTAGTTGTAAGGGGATCAGCTTCAATGATTGCTCTCCATTGGTCGTTGTCATCTTCCAACGGCCTGCCACTACACTCCTCATCTTCAAGGCTCTTGTTTCCTTTGCAAAACTTCTTGAACCACCACTGCACTGTACATTCGTTAGCAGTGCCTGGGCCAAATGCGTTGTTGATGTTGCGAGTCATCTTCTCTGCTGCTTTACGACCTATTTTGAACTTGAATAAGAAAATCACTTGAATCTGCTTTTTGTCTAACATCATTTCCATAGTCTAAAATAAACATAAAATAAACAGCAAGTAATAAGTCATTAGCAAAATAAAAGCGAGAAATGCCCATTAAAATGATGTATAACATAACTACATTTATTTGAGAATGTATTCCAATATCAAATGGCAAATTCCGACAATGCAAAAATCTACTAAAGCCAAAACTAAACTTTCCTTATGATCCAGCAGTTTCATACATAGTTATATACCAAACAGAAATGCATACATTTGTGTACCAAAAGACATGTAGAAGCATATCCATAGTAACATTAAATACTGTAGCACAATCATTAAACAGGCCAAATGCTTATCTATCAAGAATAGAATTGGGAGGCTGAGGCGGGCAGATTACCTGAAGTCAGAAGTGTGAGAACAGCGTGGGCAACATGGCAAAACCCCATCCCTACTAAAAAATACAAAAATTAGCTGGGTGTGGTGGTGCGTGCCTGTAGTCCCAGCTACTCGGGAGGCTGAGGCAGGAGAATCACTTGAAACCAGGAGGCAGAGGTTGCAGTGAGTCGAGATCACACCACTGCACTCCAGCCTGGGTGACAGAGTGAGACTTCGTCTCAAAAACAAAAAACAAACAGAAGAATAGAATGGATATGTAAATTGTGGAATAATCATACAAGGATATGCTATATGTCAATGAAAATGAATGCACTGTCGCTACATTTATCCCACAAACAACGTTGAGTAAAAGAAGTTATACTATATTATTCTACTATATAAGTTTCAAAGCAGACAACAATTAACTTATGGTTAGAAGAGTGGTTACCTTTGAGAAGGAATGAGTGGGTAACACCTGAGAGGGAGCATGTGGAGTCTCTGGGATGCTGGCAATGTCTTTTTTCCTGATTTAGGTAGTGGTTACATTAATATGTGAACTTGTGAAGACTTCCTGTGTTGTACATTCATGATCTGTGCACTCCTTTCTATGTATGTTACACTTTAACAAAAAGTTATTATATATGTGTGCATGCATATATGTGTAGTATGTACGTATGTATATATATAATGTTTTTATATTCCTCTCCCCACTTGGAAATGACCCACTTTAATTTCCAGCTATTATGTCATTTATCTCCTTCACTTTACAGCCAAACTTTACAAATTTGCTAATGTTTGCAGTCTCCAAGTTCTTAACCCCAACATTCTCCTGAAATTGCTCTTGTCAGGGTCACTTACCAATGACCTCCATATTGCAAAACTCGCTGGTCAATCTCAGACCTTACTGTACTTGACCCGTCAGCAGAATTGGACACATCCAACCCCTCTCTTAGGCACATCTTCCTCATTTGACTTTCAGGATGCCACTCTTCTGGTTCTCCTCTTACCTCTCTGGACTCTCTTCTCAGACCCCTGTGCTAGTCTCTCTTCATTTCCCAGGCCTCTAAATATTGGTTTACTCCAGGGTTCAGTTCAGTTCAGGACCTCTTCTCTATCTTGCTCCATTAATGTCATCGATGGTCATACAGCTTCTACCTCTACACTGATAACTCCCAAATGTATACCTGCCTCTCAAATAAATCTCTTTCCTGAGAGGCCTCATATATATAATTTCAACTTGATGTTTAATAGGCATCTCAAACCCAGCATCCTGAAGAAAACTCCTCATATCCTCCTATCCCCTCAAATCTGCACCTCCTCACTAAGGGCTGACTCTGTTCTTCTAGGTGCTCAGGTCAAATACCTTGCAGTCATCTCTGACTCTTCTCTTTCTCTTACTTCCGAAATCCAGTCTATAAGCAAATCATTAGTCTCTACCACTTCTTATCACATCCACAGCTGTTACTCTGGGGCAAGCCGCCTTCATTGCTCTCCTGGACTGTTACATTCACCCCCTAACAGGTCTCCCCCTTTCTATCTTACCTCCTTCTTTCAGTCAGGATCCACCCAGGAAAACAGAAGCCATTCCATGAAGGGATGCAGTACTGGAAACTGGTTACAAGGTGACAGAATTGCTGAGATGCCAAACAGGGGAGGGGAGGCCACCCAGCGATCACCAACAGCAGGAAGTGGTGACCACCCCTAGGCTGTAGAGATAACAGGAAAAGGTGGCGTTACCCACACCCAGGGGCCAGAGGGACTCTGAAAGAAGCAGAAACCCAGGCAGGCCTCTTTAACAGGAGCTGGAGGCAGCAAGCAGAGACCAGGAATGCCTGGCTGCAGAAAGGAGGGAGGAAGAGCCAAGACTCCCTTCTCCCAGCCCTCTCATCTACTTTGGCCTCTCATTGGCCAGATGCTGTCAAACGGCAGTGGACACAGGATCCCTGGAAACAGGCCACAGGGTCAGTTCCCTGCCATAGAGCAAGAGAAGGGTAAGAAATGGATCCAAACAAAGACGCCAAGGGCTAGCACCCAACCCCAGCCATAGAATGCTCTTCCCCAGGGGATTCAGGTCTTGTGAGGGCTTAAGCACATGACATTTTTTATGGCCCTCACTAATAGTTAAAAAATGAAAAACAGTAAATTAGGCATGAAGGTAAATATCTATTTAAGATGAAAAAGAAATCACAGAAAATTACAAAATTTTTAAAAGCAGGCAATACCACAAATATCTTACCTAATCCGGAAAAAAGAACATAGTCTTTTTAATTTATTAATTTATTAATTGCTTGATGTATTGCTATATTACTTCTTCCCTTATATTTTTTGCCTTCATATTCTTTCATCACTTGTTTGTATGACATGATTTGTAATCCTTTTTTTTTTTCTTTTTTTGAGACAGAGTCTTAGTCTGTTGCCCACGCTGGAGTGCAGTGACGCGATCTCAGCTCACTGCAACCCCTGTCTCCCGGGTTCAAGTGATTCTCCTGCCTCAGCCTCCAGAGTAGATGGGATTACAGGCATGTGCCACCACACCCAGCTAATTTTTGTATTTTTAATAGAGACTGGGTTTTGCCATATTGTATTGGCCAGGCTGGTCTCTAATTCCTGATCTCAGGTGATACACCCACCTCGGCCTCCCAAAGTGCTGGGATTATAGGTGTGAGCCACCATGCCTGGCCTGTAATACATTTTTTAATAGAAAGAATACAAAAGTTTCCTCTACTGTAGTTGATTAAAGTTCATTTTTAAAATTATTATTATTAATAGCTTAGAAAAGTTTCCTCTACTTTCACAATTTGTTAATGGCAAAGTTGGATAAATTTTTAGAATTGTCAAACCTGAGAGAGCTCTATCAAGATTCTTTTATATATGAGCGGTAAGATTTCTGGGCTTTTCAAGTTTTCTTGTGCAGTGACTACTAATTTAAAAACTTCTGTGAGCTGACAACACTCTATTAAAGCTCTCACATCAATATCCTGTCGACAGAGTGGGCGGTGGGAGGGTTCCTGGAAGCCAATCTTGCTCCAGGATAGCTGGTAATAACTTCCAATAACATGGAAAGAGCTGTGAAACACACAAATATATCTCAGTAAACTCCAACTAAAGGTATCCCCAGCTCAATTTTTTCTAACTGGATCCCAAAAATATCTGTACCCACTCCAGCACCAAGAGAAGATATGGTAGAAAAGTCAAGAAAGAGATCAAGTGGTCTTAACTAATTGTGGCTAAGATATCTTACTTTCGTAAATTTTACAAAACATATGACCACCTGATTGCATGACTGGGGTCTTGGAAGGGATCCGTGCAAGCATAGAGTTCTGGGATTTGGGCTTCATTAGCTTTATGGTGAATTCACCCCGGTCACCCACAGCAGACAGTGGTGCTTTTAAAATGTAAGTCAAATTGTGCACCACTCTGCTCTAGGCTCTCAAAAGGCTTGGTGTCTTGTCCAGTGTAAAAGCCAAAGCCCTCACAATCACTTCTCAGGCTCACCGTGGGCTGGCCTCATCCCCATCACTCCTTGCTGACCCATCTCCTGGTCCCTCCTCCTGACTCTGCTACTCAGAGCACCTTGCCCTTTTGCTGTTCCTCTAGCATTCTTACCACGGGGCCTTTGCTCTTGCTTTTCTCTCCATCTGAAACCCGATTCTCCCAGATACTTGCTTATATTGCGCCTGCTCTTCCCTCAGGTCTTCATTCAAATATTACCTTCTGTATTCATCTCCAACTGCGGCTATAGCAAATTACCACAAATTTAGTGGCTTAAAACAACACAGATTTATGATCTTATCATTTCAGAGATCCGAAGTCCAAATTGGGTTGACAAGGCTGCATTCCTTCTGGGGGCTCTAGGGTAGAATCCATTTTTGTGCCTTTTCCAGTTTCCAGAGGTCACCCACATTCCTTGGCTCATGGCCACATCGCTCTGATCCTGACTCTCCTGCCTCCTTCCTTTCCCTTGTAAGGATGCTTGTGATTGCATGGAGTCTAGTTGGATAATCCAGGGTCATCTTTCCCCTTGAGATCCTTAACTTCCTTATACCAGCAGAGTTTCTTTTGCCATGTTGGGCAACATGTTCATAAGCTCTGGGGATTAGGATATGGACATCTTGGGGTTTGGAGGCACATTATTCAGGGTACTGTATCTTCCAAGTAGAACACTCCCTGACCATCTGATATGGTTTGGCTCTGTATCCCCACCTGTATTAGCCAGGCATTAGTCCATTCTCATGCTACTAATAAAGACATACCCAAGACTGGGTAATTTATAAAGAAAAGAGGTTTAATTGACTCACAGTTCCACATGGCTGGGGAGGCCTCAGGAAACTTACAATCACAGCAGAAGGGGAAGAAAACACATCCTTCTTCACATGGCGGCAAGAGGAAGTGCTAAGCAAGGGGAAAGCCCCTTATAAAACCATCAAATTTTGTGAGAACTCACTCACTATCATGAGAACAGTATAGGTGTAACCATCCCCATGATTCAATTACCTCTTACGAGGTCCCTCCCACGACATGTGGGGATTATGGGAACTGCAGTTCAAGATGAGATTTGAGTGGGGACACAGCCAAACGATATCACCACCCAAGTATCATGTTGAATTGTAATCCTCAGTGTTGGGGGAGGGACCTGGTAGGAGGTGACTGGATCATGGAGGCAGATCTCCCCCTGGCTCTTCTCATAATTGTAAGTTCTCACGAGATCTGGTTGTTTGAAAGTGTGTAGTACTTCCCTCCTTGCTCGCTGTCTCTCCTGACAGCCATGTGAAGAGCATGCCTCCTTCCCCTTCCCCTTCCGCCATGATTGGAAGTTTCCTGAGGACTTTCAAGTAGCTGATGCCTGTACAGCCTGCAGAACCATGAGCCAATAAGCATCTTTTCTTTATAAATTACCCAGTCTCAGGTATGTCTTTATAGTAGTGTGAGAATGGACTAACATACCATCCCTTCAAAATGCTGGGCATAGTGGACATCTTATCTTGTCCCTGCCTGAGAAAGAATGCTTGCTTTCTGGGGCTCACAGATATGTATGTTTTGCTGCAGTTATAGACCTTTATCAGTTGGGGTCCTACCAGACAAACAACCACTAGGACATACATATTAAGAGATTTATTTCAAGAATTGGTTTATATGATTGAGGAGGCTGGATAGGCATGTCCAAAACTTATAGGGCAGGTGGTCAGGAAGGTCCTGAGCTGTAGCTGTAGTCCAGAAGTTGAATTTCTTCTGGAAAGTCTCAATACTGCTCATAAAGGCTTTCACCTGATTGATTCAGGCTCACCCAGATTGTCTAAGATAATCTCGCTTAATTAAAGTCACCTGATTATGAACTTTACTTACAGCTATAAAATATTCTCACCACACCTAGGTTAGTGTTTGATTGAATAACTGGGACTATAGTTTAACCAAATAGACTCATAAAGCTGACCATCTCTGGATCCTTTATCTGGCTAAGGAAGCTTATTACAATTTTTTAAGCCATCTATAGAGAAGATAATTTAGTATTCTCTCTTTAATGTATCACTATAGTAAATTTTAAAAATAAAATTTTGTTTGTAATGTTAAGATCTATGCTAAATTCTTGGGATATACACCTATTTGCTCATGATTTATTTGTTTTATAATGTATAGCTAAATTAACTTTGCTACCATTTTATTTATGGGTCATATATTTATGTAATTGTGATTGGGCTATACTTTCTCGTGTGTGTTATCTTTGTTCCACATTGGTATGTCAGGGTTAGTGGCTTCAGCTGAAAATGACAATCCTGGCTGATTTAAACATTGGTTCATGGAGCTGAAGGGTATGGGGGGAAAGTGTACTTCAGGCGTGGTTGCAGTCAGGGCTCAAATGCTGTAATCAATGCTCATTTTTCTCTCCATCTCTTGGTTCTGCTTTCCCTTTATGTCCACTTTAGTCTCAGACTACACAAGGCAGGCAAATGGCTATTCCAGGATCTACTGCCTTAGTTTCAAGAGCAACTTTTTTTCCAGAAGTCACTGAAAAACCTCTTGGGTTTCATTACCCTTGGTTGGATTACATGCCCATCTCTGAATCATTCACAGTGGTGGGGAAAAACAAAGCTTGTTGAGGGTTGTGGGCCCAGTTCTGGAACTAGGAGTGGTGTCAACTTCCCTGGAAATACATAGACACAGAGTGGGGTACAGTGGGTTCCCTCCAAGGAAAATCAGGGTGTGGTTACTCGAAGGATGAATTAACACTGAGGAGCAAAAACAACAGATGCCTACTACAGTTGTGCTAGCCCAGCAGAAGGGATTGGGAAGTTTTCTGCCTTTGTTTTGAGCTCAGTAACAATTTAAATAACAGAATGTATTTGTTCCCAGAAGGTTTGATACAACTCGCCCTTAAGTCCATTCTGGGACTGATATCATTTTTAGAAGTAGATCTTTGCTGATTTGATTTTTTTAAAATGGTTATTAGTACTTTTACCTCTTCGTGAGCCATAAGGGGAATGACTAAATGAAAGAGCCAGCATTTGGTTTTATTTACCAAGTCTACATTTGTTTCTTGTTTCATTAATTTTGCTTTTATCTCAACTAATTCCTTCTTTCTATAGTTTTTTTCCTTCTAGTTTTCTTTTTCCCAGCTACTTGGATTCAATTCCTCTTTCCTGTTTTCTAATACATATGTTCAAGGCTACACATTTTCTACAAATACTGCATTGGCCTTGACAATTGGTTTCATCACAGGGTGCTGTCAGTAGCATTCATTTATAACATAATCTGTTGTTTTAATTCTGAGTTTCTCTTTAACCCAAGAGTTATATAGAATGGTGTTTATAAATTTCCAAATTGTTATCATATTGGTTTGCTACTCTTTTGTCATTGATTCTAGCTTTTTACATTGTAGTCAAAAAATGCAGTCCATATGTTTTTCACTTTTTGGAATTAAGATTTTACTTGTAGTCAGTTTTAGTGAATTGTCCATTTTTGTAAATGTGCCATAGATATTAAAAATGAATGTGTAAAGGTGTATCTTTGGTACATTGTTATATAAATCTCACACCAAAATTTTAAATTACTGTATTCAAATTATCCTATCACTTCACTTATTGTTTACTTGATCTATCAATTTCTGGGGAGGCATATTGTAAAAATCAAGTATCACTGCAAGTTTCACTTTCTCTTTGTTGTTCTAAAGCTGCTTGTCTCTATATTTTAATACTCCATTGTTTACTATGAAACTCACTTCATTGTCATAACTTCTTGGTAGATTGTACGTTTTATAAAGTCTCCTTTGTTCCATGTAGGGTTTTCATTTTGATTCTATTTAATCTGATATTAATATTTCTATGGCTTCATTATATTTTGTTAGCATATATTAATTTCTCATTCTTTTTTTTTTTTTTTTTTGGAGACGGAGTCTCACTATGTCACCCAAGCTGGAGTGCAATGGCGCAGTCTTGCCTCACTGCAACCTCCACCTACTGGGTTCAAGCGATTCTCCTGCCTCAGCCTCCTGAGTAGCTGGGATTACAGGTGTGCACCACAACACCTGGCTAATTTTTGTATTTTTAGTAGAGACAGGGTTTCACCATGTTGGTCAGGCTGGTCCCAAACTCTTGACCTCGTGATCCGCCTGCCTTGGCCTCCCAAAGTGTGTGAGCCACCACGCTCGGCCTCATTTTTCATTCTTTTAATCATTTTGTATCGTATTGTTTTAAATGTGACTTTAAAAAATATCTGCATTGTGTGTTGACCTGAGCATATACACATCTACTTATGGATGTTGGTGAGGGTTCTTCCCTGATTCTGAGAGTCTCTGTAGTTTAATAGGAGAGTTGAATCCATTAACTTTTATTACAATCTCTGATATGTTTGAATGATTCCTCTGCTTTTTGTTTGATTGATCAAATTTTCTTTATTTCTGTTTTTCTCTATTTGTTGGCAAATTATATATTTGTATGACACACCTATTACACTATTACACTAATAGTATGCATTATAGTATTTTATTTTTCTAGCGTCTTACATTTTAAATAGAGTTATTTAATTGTTTTTCTTCCAATAGTGTCTTAAATCTCCTCCTACTGCTCATACTTTGTTGAAACTTTAGTTACAAATGTTATTTTATTTTATCCCTATACTTTTAAAAGAAATCATTTCTTAAACACTGTATGAGGTTTTATAGATCCATTTTCATGTATTATTCAGATTTTAGATATTTACTGGTTTCTTTCAAATTTTTGTAACCCTATGAAATTCTGTTTCTCGGATTTCTTTTTTGTTTTCCTGCAGTACCTAATTATTTTTTCAGAAGCAGTGCATGGATAGTAAATTTTCTTTGTCCTTTATTATCTGAAAATATCTTGGATTCGCTTTCATGCTTGATAGTTTGGCTGATATAGAGTTGTAGGTTCAAAATAAGCAGAAGCATTGAGAATTTTGTTTTTATTTTGTAATTTAGAAATGTCACCAGGATGTGTGTCTTTTCAGTGTTTTCTGCTTAGCATTTGGTGGGTCTTTTTATAGTTTGAGGACTCAGATCTTTCTCTAGCTCTGCAATATACTTTAAAAATTATATTTTAAATTATTTTATCACCTCTAGTCTCTCTGTTATCTCAGCCTAGAACCCCATAAGGCAAATAGTAGGTCTTTAATTTCTCATATTTTGTATTTCTTTGTAATTTCACTCTACCTTCTAGGAGATTTCCTTGACTTTGTCTTCGTGTTTTTAATTTTCAAGGATTAAAATTTGTTAGCTTCTCTTCCATAACAATCTACTCTTATTTTATTAAAGCAAATTTCTTTTGGGTCTCTGGGAGGATATGACCTAGAACTCCTTTAAAGTTCCCTTCTGTCTCCCACATTATCTCCATTTCCTCCAGGATGAATCATTCTGGTTTTTCATCTTGGTCTTTCTCATATTCTTGATTTGCTTCCAATATCTGGTGATCCATAGTGGTCATTCAGATTTATAAATTAAAAACTAGGTGGACAAATGTATTTAAGAGACTGGCGTCAGTTTCTTTCCTAGTTGTGTAGACTTGCTTCCAGGATGGGTCTTTTCCTTGAAGGGAGGCTGCCTGCAGCTCTGTGCCAGGGAGAGTGGGAGGAAGAATGAGGGAACAGCACACAAGCAGGCCTCTCGATTGCCAAAGTCAGGCAGACTTTACTCTGTGTGTGAGGTCCTGAGCAGCACTGTGTCATTGGCTTTGCTTTTTCCCCCTTTTCTAGCATCCATTGCAGGAATTTAGCTCAGTTCTGCTTCTCTGGCCTCAACACCCAGATAGTCATCCCTCCTATATCAGCTGTCTAGTGCCACGTAACAGAATTCCCCATAACTTAGTGCCTTAAAACAACAATAATTTATACTTCTTTTGATTTGATGAGTTTCCTGGACTTGTTCTTCTGTTCCATGTGGCATTGGCTTGCCTTACTCATGGTGCTGCATTCAGCTGGCGGCTGGATTGTGTGGAAAGGCCCAAGGCTTCACACACGTGTTTGGGGCCTTGGTGCTGGCCGTCTGCTGAAGAACCTAGTTTCTCCACTAGGTGGCCTCTTTTTCCACATGGCTTTTTAGCCTCCAGGAGGCTAGGGTGGGCTTCCTTACAGACGATGGCCAGGTCCCAAGAGGACAAGCCCCAGTGTGCACGTGCTTATCCAGCCTCTGCTTGCATTATGCTTGCTAAGGGCCCGTTGACCAAAGCAAGTGAAATTGCCCATTACAAGGTCAATGTGTAGGGGACTCCACAAGGCTGTGAATACTAAGAGATTTGGTTCATTGCCACCAGTGTAACCATTTACTACACTTCCTAAGGTGATCTTCCATTTTGCTCAGAACGCAGTTCACCAGGCTTCAAGATCAGAGACAAAAGCCACAGCCAGGCATTGCATGTATGTTGGGAGAGGAAGAGGCTAGCTGGCCCATTGGCTTATTCAATAGTCCTTACCTGATGGTCGTGCTGTGGCCTGCTCCTTCTCCCCTGTACTTGGAGTTTCTCCAAGGTTCTGTTGAAAAGAACAGTTTACATCTCCTTAGCCAATTTCTTCTGTGCTGATTTAACCATTCTGGTTTCCTCTGTAGATTTGATTCTCTCTGCTTTTTATCTTCTAGAAAGTCCTTAAAATTTTCTGATTGACAGATGCTGCAATTTCTAGTTTGGGATGGAGGGCTTATATGAATGTATTCATTTTATGTCTCTGTTATTTCAAGGAAATATGTCTTGTAAAAAGGAAAAGAAAGCAGTGAGATTCCTGTCACTATAGGTCTGCTCTCACACGACAGGAATGCTAAAGGGAGGTGGTGGTTAGACTAGATGACTCTTGCTTTTTGCCAGTTCTGAGATGTTGGAGACGCCATAGCTTCAGCCATTTCTTCCTCAGGATTCCAGGTTGATGGAGCTAAACCTGATCATTGTGATTCAAGCACCTGCTGGGACCAGAACTGAGAACTCTGGAGCTGGCTTTTTAGATCATCGAATTCAGACTCTTGTGTTGCAGTTAAGCTATGGGAACAAAGGTCATCCAGCAACTCAGCTGCAGAACTGGGGTTGGAACATGGGCCCCCGGACTCCTGATCCCATGATCTTCCCTGCATCTTGCTCCAGTTTGCACTTCTGAGCACCCCTTAGAGAAGCCCAGGGTCTTACTTCTTGAGTGGGATCAGGCTGTGTCTCCACCCCAGGATACTCAGGGTTGAAGGACTTGAGGCTAGAATTGCCCCCAATGAGACAGATGTCTGTCTGGCCCCTCCTCCCAAAAGGCGATTATTTGAGCTAGAGACGCCAGCCGCGTTTGAATCCTAGATTCTCTTTCTCCCTCCAGCGCCCTCTCTCTCCCACTCGGTTATCTATTTACCTATCTATTTACGTGAGCTACCCCCCACCCCAAATGAATTACGTCTGCAAGGCAGTAAAATGTTATGTATTTGCAAGGCCCATAATCTTTAAAAGCCCAGTGATGCCAGCTCCAGACAGCAGCGAGCTCCCTCCAGTATGTTAATAGATAGTATTAGGGCAATAATGAAAACACTTGAGACAAGTAAGCTCCTATCAAAAGCTGAGTAATAGGGCTTTGCCGAGTGAATCACAATGCAGAAGAGATTAAGACGTCTGCCGTTGTGCAGTGTCTATTCAGACTAACAGCTGCTCTGTTTCTGATTAAAATGGGGTTGGGGAGACCTTTTCGAGCGAGTCCCCTTTTTATCCTGCACTGTCCTCACCCTTCCCACCTCCACCTCCAAGCACAGGCACCTTTATTTGCACTTAACTACTGCCATTCATAAACACACACACACACACACACACACACACACTGGAGTCTCAATCATGCATTGCATCATCACACACACGGAGCCTCAGAAGCACACACAGCCATTAGCCGACACACAGCTACACCGATATATCCAAGCACGTACACACAGTCACATCCTCACACACCGGTGCACAGTCACGCATGCAACCAGTCTCTCACACACTCATGGCCTCAGCCAGTCTCACACGCGCATTAAATTACAATCTGTCACAAACACAGTCTCACATATGCATTAAATTGCAATCTGTCACACATATACTCTTCACACACAGTCACAACCAGACACTCAGAGACAATCTAATCAGTGTCAAAAACGCACACATACCTGGCTGGTCATATCCACGTATGGCAAGTCCTTCATGTGCAAAATCACACTTGCACACTCACACTTGTGATGACTGTTTGTCATATACACACAGCCCTTCACTCACAGACTGTCATGTGCTCTCTTACCCACACACAGTCACCTTCATAAATAATCACACATGGCCATGTGCTCACTCACACATGGCCACAGCCCAGGCTCATATGAAGTCATGCTTTTCCTGCACCAAGATACAGAGCTAGTCTGCACACCTGCAACTCCCCAGCCACAAGTGTGCATGGAGTGCAAGGCACAAATACATATAGGCACACAGGCACAGACACCACTCTGCACACCCTCCAGGTGGTGACCCAAGATGCGAGACTTGACTATGAGCCCGATGGATGGCCCCGAGCTGGTTCAGCAGCCTCATAAAAAAGAAAATCCTCAGAGGTCAGGCATCAAGGTCACCATTCTCCCATCTCTGCAAGGCTGTAGTGTGAAGGGAGAAATGGAATCGTCTCTGTGGAGCCTAAGAGCACAGAGCTCTGACCTTGATTGGAACTGCAGATTTAGACCTAGGAGAACGCAGAGCTGTCCAAGAATAAGATGGCCAACTTCAAGAGAGTGAGTGCCCCATCAGTGGAGGTGTGCACAGGGATGCTGGATAGTCACTTGGTAAAGAGGACGAGAAGGGACTCCTGCATTGTACAGGAGTGACCTGGATGCCCTGGAGATCTGTCCCAGTCCAGATTTTGTGTCCTGAGGTCTGTGTATCCTCTTCCTCAACCCCTGTCCCATCAGTGACTCCCTTCCTCCAGCCCAATTCTCTAGACAGAAGCCAGGAGTCCCGGCCTTCTGCTTCTCTCCCTTATGTGATTTTTCTTCCAAGATCATCTTTAAGGTGATGATTCCATTTTTTTTCCCCAAACCTCCATGGCCCTTGCTCTAGGCTAAGAGGGAGATGCAGGCTAGAATCAACTCTTCTGCCTTCTGTGCTCTCACAGCCATTGCCCACCCCCACCCCACCCTGCACTGCTAGAACACAGCCCATCTCTCTTCCAGCCTTGGGGCTGGGTCAGGCGGGGTGGGAGTGCTCCTCAAGGGGATGGGAGTGGGAGGGGCCCAGAGCTGAGTTGAGAGGCCAAGTGGTCAGGAAGGAGAACCCGCTCCTGGCAGAGCAGACCCAAAGGCATAGGAGCTCAGATTCAACTATGGTGCCGATTTGGGGGCTGGAGATTGAGCCTGAAGGAGCTGCCTAGAGTGGGGTCCATTGGCTGAGGTTGCCTGAAGTGGAGGAGCTTGTTCTGTGGCCCAGAAAGCCAGGATCCTGAGACATCTCGTTGTCATGCCAGACCCTTATTAAATCCAGTAGGGATGGCGCCAGGTTCAAGAGGCCAAGGAAGAGACTCAGAGCCAGCCAACAAGACATGGGGTTTAATTAGTGGGAACTTACACACAGAGCAGACCAGCAGGGTGGGTTAGATGGAGAACCACACCACCTGTGAAAAGCATGCAGTTTATATAGCACCTTCCCTTAGCACCCTCCCCTTAACAACCTCCACCTGGCCACCTTCATTTAACCCAAAACAAAGGGCCTGGGTACCCTGTAGGGCCCGCATTCCATGGGACAGGCTGGGAGTTTAGATGTTCCTCATAGATAAAAATGAATCACTGGGTTGGCCACTCCCGGATTCCTTAGCTCAGAACTCCAAACACACATTCGGGTATGTCTCCCACACGGGGTAATTCTCCGGGTATGTTTAAGTGATGCTACTGCTGTCGGGTGTGTCTGCCATACACTCTTACAATGGAAGCAGGACCAGGATAGGACTGCAATGGGGGTAGGTTCAGAACAAGCTGTGGGTGTCCAGCATGCTGGCCAGGAGCTTGGTTGGACCTTTAGGGGCCTGTGTGAAGGACTGAATGACTGCCTTAAAGTGTCAGCGCTTAAGTGGATTCCAAGGGTCATGTCCAGAAGATCAGATGGCCAGAAACAAGAGAATTAAGAAGTGAGGTCAGAAACCAGAGACTTAAAACCTAGATGGCCAGGAAGAGCCCTTTGGACATAAGCTGATTTTCTTTCCATGGGGCCTGGTAGGATCTGGGATCCAAGAGCTTGTCAGGGCACTTAAAGGAATCTTACAAGGATGGCAGATACCATTATCGTGTGTTCCACTTCCCCATCCTCTGTGTCTTTCCCCCATTAGACAGGAGTCTCTCTGGGAAAGACCTTGTTTTATGCCTTTGGAGTCTCCCTTCTATGCTTCTCACAGTACCTGGCACAGAACACATCTCAGCAGGCTTTGTGACAGTTGAATTCTGCCTCTTGACTCTGTAGCTGTGGTCTAGACTCAACCTTCAGGCTCCACTGGTCTCTGAGGCCCACCTCCCTCTACAGCCATCATTATCTGACTCACCAGCAGTGGGTCTCCTCCCTAGTTCCCAGGACTGATCCTTCCTGGCCTGAGGCTGGAGGGGGTTAGGGGACCCAACCTGGCCCTGGATGCTGGACCCCAAGGCCCCTTGGCTGTTGCTGAACTGGGATCACCTTATTCTCTACCCATGTGGCCAGGTCCCATTCCAGATTCCATCTAACGCCCCAGTTCTGTTGATGGATTTTCAGTTTATTCTGTTTGTTCATTCAACAAATATTTACTCCTCGTCATTATCAGCCAGTTCTAAATCTTCATCTTACCTGAGCTGTCATTATCCTTAAGGCAGATGATCACCTCCTCCCTGAACCCTTTCAACTAGGGCACCGCACTGGCCTGGTTTTTCTCTTCCCTTCCTGACCAAACCCTCTCAGCCTCTACTGTTGGTTCCTCCTCAGCTCCCTCCTTCTTAATGTTGCAGTCGGTGCCACAGGTTCAGTCCTTATCCCTCTTCTCTTGGCCTACCCTCACTTCCCAGGGGATCTCCTCCAAGCTCATGGTTGAAGGACTCTCTCTCTGCCAGTGACTCTCAAGTCTCAGGTGCATTTCCTCAGCACACACCTCTGCCCTGAGCTCCAGACTGCGCATCCATTGGTTTGCTCATTTCCACCTGGATGGCTATAAGGTATCTCAGACTTTAACCAAACCCTGGATTTCCACCCCTAACCTTTTTCTCCCATAGTCGACTCAAACTTGACAAGTGGCAGCTCCATAAATGGTAACTCTTCAGTGACTCTCACCAAAGACCTAGGAGTTACCTCTCAACTCCTCAGGAAACTCAGTCCAAGCCACTATGATCTCTTGTCTGGGTCACTGCTGTGGCCCCACTCTTGTCTCCCTGCTTCTGCCTTTGTCTTCATCTCCCCTCAACAGCCTCAGATTGGAGGCTCTGCCACTTGCCCTGTTCTCACCTGCCGTGCCAGCCACAGACTGACGGTCTTGGCCCAGTGCTTTTCCCTTTCTCCTGGGTCAGCCCTGACCTCTCATTCCCATAGGCCTGGCTCCTGTTCCTACAACACTAGACCTCCTGATGGTGACATCAGCTCAGAAGTGACACAGACAACTCTTCTGTTCCTACCCATGCTATCTCTTCTATCTGTCCTCTGTCACTGCAGATCCAGTATTTTTGTGTCCACACTTAGTAGTCCTGAGGAAAAAAAAAAAAAAAAAAAAAAAACAGCCAGGCCTAAATCTCTAGGCCCTTGGCCAATATCTGGGGCTCAAGAGCCTGCCAGGAGCTGAAGGTCATGGGGCTGGGGATGCCAAGAGGGTGGGGTATTTCTTTTCTGTTAGGCTTTCACATTCCCTGTCTCCTTTAATTTCCCCCAGATCCCTGTGAGGCAGGAATAATTTCCCCTCCTGTGGGTGAGGGGAAGGAGAAAAGAGAACTCACTTGACCACAGCTGCACAGTTAGTTGGGATCAGAACCTGAGCCACCTGGCCCCATGCTCCTGAAGCTTTGACCTCCATGGTCATTAAAGACCAAGTCATATTCCTCCCACCCTTCATACCTCCCCCTCCTCATTTTTCATTTACAGAAGAGGTCACTGAAATCCAGAGGTGGGGAGGGCCTTTCCCAAAGTCACAGAGTGGCTCAGTGACTGGGCCTGAAGGAGTCCCAGGCCTCCAGGCACTGCTGTTCCCCAGTGGCCCAGAGGCAGGACGGGCACACACCCCAAGGCCGGCCCTCCCCCCACATGGCTCAGTTCCTGCCTCCCAGACTGAGGTCTGGAGCCCTAAATAGAACAAGCACCACCGTCTCCCTTCTCAGGGAGGGGAAGCCAGCTGTGGCAGTTGTGGCAGGCGGAGAGAAATTTTCCCTTTCTGTAGATTGGATCAGTCACTCTCAGAATTGATGGCAACGGCTTCATCACAAAGATCTAATGCTTTAATTATGTTGTGACATGACCTGACATGGGGGTGGCATTTGATGGATTCTCTGGTGTCATCAGCATGGCCCTGACATAGGAAAGTGGCAGAAGGCAGGGGGTGGGGAAGAGGAAGGGCTCTCAGTGGGAGACGTGTCCTTCCAGGGCCCCCTACCTTCCCCTGCTCTCTGTCTTCCAAGGCAGTCCTGCAGTAGTGGAGACTCAGGAGAGGAGGGGGAGCAGCCCCTGTGCAGGGGAGGGTGGCTGCGCCCTTCCGGGATGGACTGGATCCTGGGGGCCCCGTAGGAGTGCATGTGTGTGTGTACCTGTGTGCATGTGCCTAGATACACAGGGACATGTCGGAGCGGGTGAGAGGGATTCAGACCCATGTGGTAGAAGTAACAGCTGCACTGCTGTCTGGCCTGCAGAGGACTAGGAGGTGGAGGCCAGGGCAGGACACCTGGCTGGTCTGCATGTCCTGGGCTGTCGTGAGCAGAAGGAGCAGATGTACTCAGGCAGCCTGGGAGCAGGCTTAGCTCAGCAGAGAGAGGGCTCCCTGGCCAGGGAATGCACAGCTTTAAAAGGCACTGAGCAAATGTCTCTGGGAAGGACTGAGGGGTTGCTACAGAGCAGATCTTTTCCCTTGGTGGGCACTTGGTGACTCCCTACCTCTGGGGCTAGGATTGCATGTATCTGTGGGTGAAGGGGTTTGCCTCCCTCTTTTCCTCCCACCCCAGCTGCCTGCTCAGAGCCTTATGGGGCCTTCGGTGTGGCAAGAGTGAGAAGCAGGCTGCCGCCACCCGGCCAAGCTCATTTCCAGGATGCTGGCACACGCGCCCCTCCTCTGTCCGCCTTCCCATCCGTTCCTGTGGCAAGCTCTTCTTCCCCAAGGCCGGTGGGCTCTAGGGAGTCCCACTTCTCTGCCAGCCAAGTGAGAACGCAGGCTTGAAGGGGAAGGAGGAAGAGAGACTTGTTGGCGGGGCTCCCGCTGGGTCGAGAGCAGTGCCTTCTGGAGGGATGCAGCGTCTTGAGGAATCCTCATGACTACAGATAACAGGGGGTGAGCTGGTATCTCTCTCTTACACTGGAGGACAGTGAAGCTCAGAGACACGAAATTGCCTGCTTAAGACTACACAGCTAGGAAGGAGTGAATTGGTTTCAATTTAGCAAATGTTTGTTAAGTGACACCTGCACACCAGGCCCTGCCGAAGAAGTTGCAGGTCCAGACCCTGTCCTCAAGCAGCACAGCATGCCCGCAGCTGTCCCTGATTCCGATGACGCTGCCCCTTCCACTGCTCTGCTCTGCCTTTGCCAGGGGTGTCTGTGGTCAGCAGCCCAGGGTGGGGGGAAAGCATCAGAGCAGGTGACCAGGGAGTGGGGTCTGGCTCTGGCGCCTCAGTCACCAGTCCTGGTCTTTGGGGAAAGTACAGTTTGAGAAATATAAGACCGGAGGGTCCTTTCAAGCTCAGTTTAGTGCTCTCCTCCCGCCCCATCCCCATGGTGCAGAAGAAGAAATTGAGGCCCAGAAAAAAGACTAGATGGGCCCAGGGTCACCCAGGAAATTAGAATAGGAGCCAGGATTTCGACCTGGTTCTCCTGACTCCTGGGTCAAACTTGACCATGGCTGTACCCAGGGGCCGGTGCTACCAGGCATGGTCAGGAAAGGCTTCCAGGGGAGCCTTGCATTTCTTCTAGAAAGATAAGTTAAAGAAAGACCAGTCAGAAAGGAAACTCCCAATGCCTGGGAAGGTTTCACAGCCTGAAGAAAGCTCCACAAGCCCATGCTCATTCCTAAACCCACCCCAACCCAGCCTCAGAGAAGGGTGTGGGAGGAGGCCTGACTGGTGAGGCCCGAGGTTGCTTGCTGCTGGGGCTGTGTCTCAGAGATGTCAAGGTGGGGAGAAGGCAGGAGCTGTGCCTTGATTGGTCTCTAAAATCCCCTGCAGGACTGGATGCTCGAAAGTGATGCTTGAGCAAGACAGGAGAACAGAAGGGCCTCCCTGATATAGAAGCAGCCGCAACATGTGTCTGGACATGCACAGAAGCAGGTGCTTCTGTGTGTAGCCTGGGAACTGACTGTCCCCGGGTGGCAGGAAGACTTTTTTAGTAGCCCCATGAATGAGGAACTGACGGTCTGCACAGGTGAAGGTTTGTGAGCAAGAGCTGGGTCAGAGAGGAGGCACCTGTTCTTCCAGAGGGGCCTGGGTCTGGGTGTGATGGGGTAATGCAGTGTGTGTGGTGCGCCGCTGCTGGGTGACTACCCAAGGCTTAACTGTGGCTGGGTGTTGTGGGTGTCTGTGTGTCAACGTGTGGTCAGGTATAGCCATATCTGGCCAGGCTGGTATGGACACCTGTTCCTGTCTTCGTGTCCCATGGGTGTAGCTGTGTGTACCAACCCAAGTGTGAGTCTGAATGGAGCTGGACTTTTTTTTTTTTTTTTTGAGATGGAGTTTCTCTCTTGTTGTCCAGGCTGGAGTGCAATGGTGTGATCTTGGCTCACTGCAACCTCCGCCTCCCGGGTTCAAGCGATTCTCCTGCCTCAGCCTCCTAAGTAGCTGGGATTACAGGCATGTGCCACCACGCCCAGCTAATTTTGTATTTTTAGTAGAGATGGGGTTTCTCCATGTTGGTCAGGCTGGTCTTGAACTCCCGACCTCAGGTGATCCGCCCACTTCCCAAAGTGCTGGGGTTACAGGTGTGAGCTACCACGCCTGGCTGGACTTTTAGTGACTGTAGCTCCAGACATAGCCATAGCCCCCAACAGCTCTGTGTGCTGGAGCTGTACCTTTGTGTGGGTGTGTTGGAGACGGCCTCTGGGGTAGCCTTGGCCCTGTGACCTGGGCTGTTGGAGCTCTGTAGCAGGTGGCCCCCATCACAAGGGGGCACTGTGCATCTTCCTAAACCATCACCGCCGCTGGTGGCCAGTGTGTGGGCAAGGAAGGCTGGGAACTGGCACAAAGATGCCCTCAGCCAGGCCCAGCGCTTCTGCCCCTATTTCTCTGGGCAGTCCTGGCTCTCCTCAGAGTTTTTGCCCTGGGGGAAGGGAAAGGATGTCATTAAAAATCCTACCTAGTAAGTCTCATGGGAGGGGTCCATAGCGATGTCTCTCCCAACTGCCTCATTTGACAAGTGGAGAAACTAAGGTTCAGTTGGGAAATAACCTCTCTCAGACCCAAGCCCGGGATCACTTCCCAACCCTGAGATAAAGCCACATGTGCAACATGTTCCAACATGTGCAACAGCTTCCAACACAGGCCGTAAGTGCCCATTGCAAGACGGGTACTGACAGTGCATGTTGGAGCTGCTCTGGCCTGGGTTTCTGGTTCTGACTCCATCACTTACCTGGCGTGTGACTCTGAGTCTCTGATGCCTTTCTCTGGGCTTCTTTTTCCCATCAGTAAACTGAGAGGATTGATGCCTTTGCTCTTCAAGCCCCTCTTTTCCAGCATGGGCCTTCTAGTTCCTACAGGTTAGAGGTCAGTGTGACCTGGGAGCAGTGATGGTTCTGTGCACCTGGTGGGTAATTATCCTTGTTAAAGACGGCTGGGCATTAAGCATAGCCCAGAGAACTTAGGGTCACACATGACTTAGTGGCTGAGTCAGGATGAGAAGAAAGTCAGGCCTCCTGGTCCCTCACCAGCGCCCGCTGCCCTACCCCAGCACCCCCTGCCCTACCCCAGCAGCTATCCTGACCCTCTCTCTGGGCATAGGTATCAGTGCTTCATTGATACAACCCTGTGTTCCTCCTTGAAGTTGTCTTGCCATTTCCCAAGTCATCTGCCTCCCATATCCATGCCGGGCAGGTCCTGTGCTGGAGACTGTCCTCTCCACTCCCTTATTGAGTCCTAGGAGAAGCCCCATTTTACAGATGGGGAAACCAAGGCTTGATGGAGTTAAGAAATAATAGAAGCTATTATTTTTAAACCTTCTCTGTCTCAATGCCAGACTCTGTGCTGGACACTCACTAAAGTGGGCAGAGAGTGACTAGTCCAACCTCCCAAATTTTCCCCCAAATGGTGCCGAGACCTGCCCGGGATCTGCCAGCCTGATTTAGACAGCAATTTGCATACAATTTACCCAGAAAGCTGCACTGTGAAAAAATATAATTACTTTTTTAATATTCTCGCTCTGATGTGAATGCTTACTGCCCGGTAATGAATTACTTGCTTAATGAAGATAAACCTGAATTGGAGATGCACTTCGGACGGCTGCTGCGGCGTCCGGTTTGATGCCATCATTTGCAGCTGTTAATTTCTGAAATTGATGCCCTTGTTGGTGGGATCATAAATTGAGGGGGAAATCTATGAGCTCCAGCACTTCCAGTTTTTTACTCTGTGGCATTGGTGGAGCTACTTAGCCTCTCTGTGCCTCAGTTTCCTCATCTATAACAAGGGTATTGGGGTAAGTTAGAACTATATAAATGTGGGTCCATCTCACAGTAAAGTGATCTTTACTGGAGAATGATTGAGCATCTACAATGTGTCAGGTGAGAGACAGAGGGGAAGTGATTTATTCAAAGACACTCATGGACTCAGAGGCTTCTGAACTAGAATGAGTAGCCACAGCTTTGTGTCCAGGTGCTACACTTGGATCTCTTCTCCTAAATGGCCTTGAAGATGCCTCCTGACTGCTGGTGATGGGAAAGAGAGCCAGGCTGAAGTCAGACACTGGTAGGAGAAAAAAAAAAACAAAAAAAACTGTGGAGGTGTGGCCACTGGAAACTCTACCCGTTCCTTTACCTGATGCTAACCATGTCTGGGGACTGATCACAGAAGAGCACAGGGCTGGGGGCCAGCACAACAAGCCAACGATTCAGCAAATATGTAGTTACTGCCATCTATGGCCATATGTTTTAGGCTCCTAGCACACAGCCATGAGTAAGACCAGCAAGGTCCCTGCCTACATGGACCTGAAATTCTAAAAGGTGTGGTGAACACATAGCGATAATAGATGAGTTAACTAAGAATAAAGATAAAGTCAGATAATGATAAGTGAAATAAAATTTTTTAAATAGATAATATGAAACAGATCAATTGAGGGGGTAATTTTGACTTGGCCTAAAAGACTTCCCTAAAGAGGTGACACCTGGACTGAAATGTAAATGATATTAAGTCCCAGCATTTTGGGAGGCTGAGGCAGGAGGATTGCTTGAGCCCAGGAGTTTGAGGCTGCAGTGAGCTATGATTGTGCAACTACATTCCAGCCTGGGTGACAGAGCAAGACCCCATCTCTAACTAACTAACTTAATAACTAACAAACTGAATGAATGGATGAATGAATAAATGATATTAAGGAATCAGCCCTGTAAATATTAGAAATGTGATTCCAGGTGAGATCAGAAAAGTAGGTAGGAGGTAGATCATAAAGAGCCTTATAGGTTGTGGAAGGGACTTTGGTTTTATTTTTTGTGCAGAGGGAAGCCACTGAGGGCTTTCATAAGGGGAGTGATATAATTTATTGGCATTTATGAAGATTATTCCATAAAAGAAAATAGAAAATCTGGAAAACGATATCTATTAAAGAAATTGAATTTATAATATAAAAATTTCCCACCCAGATGGTTTCACTGGTAAATTCTATCAAATATTTAAGGAATAAATGATACCAATCATACACAAACTCTCAGAAAATATACGAGAGAACATACCCCAACTAATTTTACGAGCCCAGAGTAATCCTCCTGCTGAATTATTTAGTTCTCCATAGCTAACTATGCTGATAAGTAGTGGCTTAAAACAATAATTTGTTGTTATTATATCTCATGATTCTAGGGTCAGGAATTTGGACAGACCACAGTGGAGATGGCTAATCTATGCCCCACGGTGTCTGGGGCCTCAGCCGGGGTGACTCAAAGGTGTCTGTGATATGTAACAATTGGAGGCTGAGTAGGCATCTTTCTCTCCTCTCCAGGTGGCCTCTCGGTGAGCTTAGGTTCCCTCACAGCATGGCGGCCTCAGGGTGGTTGGATTTCCTACATAGCAGCTTGGATCTCCAAGTATGAGTATTACAAGAGGCCTGGGAAGAAGCTTCAAAGCTTCTTACAACTTTACTTTGAAAGGGCACTTCTTCTTCTTCTTTATTTTTTATTTTATTTCATTTTATTTATTTATTTATTTTTGAGACGGAATCTCACTCTGTCACCCAAACTGGAGTGCAGAGGTATGATCTCAGCTCACCACAACCTCCGCCTGCTGGGTTCAAGCGATTCTCCTGCCTCAGCTAGGTAGCTGGGACTACAGGTGTGCACCACCATGCCCACTATGTTTTTAGTTGAGATGGGGTGCCACCATGTTGGCCAGGCTGGTCAACTTGAGCAACTAGGCCATGATGGTGTGTGACTTACTGAGATGGAACAACTGGTAGAGGAATGGTTTGGGGCGAGAGGAATCAAGTCTCTGTTTCATATGTACTAAGTCTGGGAGACCCATGAGGCCATATGGAGAGGTGTTAAGGAGGCAGTTGAATATATAGGTTTGGATCCTGGGAAGAGATCAGGACTGGGGATTTATATTTTAAAGTCAATGTGTAGATGATATTCAGAGCCAAGAGGGTGCCAGGTGCAGTGGCTCATGCCTGTAATCCCAGCACTTTGGGAGGCTGAGGCTGATCATTTGAGCCCAGGAGTTTGAGAGCAGCCAGGGCAACATAGTGAGACCCCATCTCTGCAAAACATAGAAATTAGTCAGCTGTGGTGGCGCAGCCTGTAGTTCAAGCTGCTTGAGAAGCTGAGGTGGGGTGAATGCTTAAGCTGGGAAGTTGAGGCTGCAGTGAGCCACGACTGTACAGCCTGGGTGACAGAATAAGACCCTGTCTCACAAAAAAAGAAAAAAAGAAAGAGAAAGAAAGAAAGAAAGAAAGAAAGAAAGAAAGAAAGAAAGAAAGAAAGAAAGAAAGAAAGAAAGAAAAAGTGAGTTAAAGCCATGGGGCAGAATGAGCTCAGCTGGTGAGGGAGACTAGATAGAAGAGAGAAGAGAGCCAAGGCTTGTTCCCTGGGCCACTCCCACTTTTAGAAGAGGGGACGAGCAATAGAGTTTAACACAGGAGCCTGAGAGAGGTAGGGAGATGGACAATTGGGAGAATGAGGTGTAGAGAAAGTCACTGGGCTTGGGGAGGGGAGAACGGGGAATGTGGGAGGGGGCCTAACCCCCATTTTCCAGTGTCTTCTATGTGCCAGACGCTGTCTTGGGAGATTTACATGCACTCCTTCAGGACAATGTTGCCAAGTAGGGATTATTGTTCCTATTTCATGGATGATAAAACTGAGACCCAGATTGGTGAAATGACTTGCCCAAATCATACAAATAGGGATGGAGAGCCTGGATTAGCAGCCAGATCTGTCTTTGAGATTCTTTCCACCACCCTCCAGCAATCATGCCTCCAGCAGGGGTTGCAGGATTGGGGGAAGCCACTTATGGTTTCTCATCTGTAAAATGTTCACCTTTCAGGGTTATGAGGATAAAATGGGATAATCCGTGTTAAGCACCTGGCAGCGCTTAACCGGGTGGGCCCTTAGTAAACAATAATGACTGTGGCTATATGTGCAGAGTGCAACAGAGTCTCGCAGACAGTGACTGGTACTGGGGGGAGCTAGGGGGTGACGGGGTGAGGCTGTGGAGTAGGCTTCCTGTAGGAGGCCCAATGTGAGCTGAGGATTCCGTGGTTTGAAACACTGATCTGTGACAAAGTTTCCAGTGGTTCATGGGGTGAAATGAGAAAAAGGACAACACAATGGGTTTTATGTAAAGCTAAATGTGTTCAATGTAAAGGATTACTCTTTATCCTGAGATTATGTCCTTCCTGCTTTGTTGGTATTAAAGCATCCTTTTTATGAAACGATGGTGGTTAGAGGATGGTAGTTATATTTTAAATATCTTTACTAATGAAATGAAAACTTGGCAACCTTCGATCATTCCCCACACTTTCTTTTGAAGTTTTTAACTGATCCATGAAATTCAAAAGTCTGACAGCCACTGACAGCTGGAGCAGGGAGGGCATTCTAGGCAGAGAACTGCATGTGCAAGGGCAAAGTTGGCGGGAGAGGCACAGGCTGGTCTGGAACTGCAAATAAGTAGCAAGAGCAGTAAGGGCAGCTGGGAGGTCCAACAAGGAACCAGGAGGCCCCATCCTGGGGTGGGGTGGTCACCCTGTGAAGTCCCTACCCTCTCTTCCTGCTGCCCAGCATGGCAGGAGAATTCCCTGTGCACTAAGGCTGCTCCCCAGGGCATCCCATGACCATGTGCAATGTGTGCGTGTGTGTGCATGCGTGCATGTGTGTGTGCCTGCATCCTTGGTGAGGCAAGGAGGCCAGCCATGGACTGACGGGGTCTTGCCTAATAAATCTTGAAGAGACATACAGGATGGAAATAGAGATCAGGAAAGACACTGGGGAGAAAGACAAGAAAACCCGGGACTATCTGAGTAGAAGGAGCAGTGTCTGCATGTTGGGGCACATATGTGCATGTGTATGTGTGCGTATGTCCCTGAGAGCATGTGGACCGGTGTGTGTGTGTACATTTGCATTGTAAGAAAGTGTGTGCTATTTCTGGGTTATCCATGTGGGCAGGGGGAAAATCTCTGCTGGCTCTATTAGGCTTTGGCTTGAGTGTATGTCCAGTGTATGTTGGGGTGCTTTGCTGCTGGTGCAAATGTGGCACTGTTGTGCATACTGTACATATACAGATATGAGAGATAGGTGAGAGGTGTCAATACTGTGTAGCTCAGTGTGTCTGTGTGCTGTTAGGTGGTCTGTTCAACATGGGTAATGTCTCTGGGCTGTGTGTGTCTGTGTGTGGGCAGGAGCCACGGTGGGCGTGTACTGATGGTACTGAGTGTGAACTGTGTGTGTCTGTATGTGGGGAGGGAGTCTATGGTGGGTGTGTGCTGATGGTACTGAGTATGAACTGTGTGTGTCTGTATGTGGGGAGGGATCCCATGGTGGGTGTGTGCTGATGGTACTGAGTGTGAACTGTGTGTGTCTGTATGTGGGCGGGAGTCCATGGTGGGTGTGTGCTGATGGTACTGAGTGTGAACTATGTGTGTCTGTATGTGGGCAGGGAGTCTGTGGTGGGAGTGTGCTGCTGGTATTAAGTGTGAGCTGTGTGTGTCTGTGGGGAGAGAGTCCATGGTGGGCATGTGCTGATGGTATTGAGTGTAAGCTGTGTGTGTCTGTATGTGGGGAGGGAATCCGTGGTGGGCGTGTGCTGATGGTACTGAGTGTGAGCTGTGTGTGTCTGTATGTGGGGAGGGAGTCCATGGTGGGCGTGTGCTGATGGTACTGAGTGTGAGCTGTGTGTGTCTGTATGTGGGGAGGGAGTCCATGGTGGGCATGTGCTGATGGTATTGAGTGTGGGCTGTGTGTGTCTGTATGTGGGCAGGGAATCTGTGGTGGGTGTGTGCTGATGGTATTGAGTGTCTGTTGGAGCCCAGGCTCCCCTCCCTTCCCCCACTCTTCTGATGACCCAGGCTGCCAGTCTTGTTTATTTCCATATGTTGTCTGTCTCTTCCAGGCCTATGTCTGACTCTGACCAAGGGCTCATATACATGACCCTTGGAGATGGAGATTGGTACAGGCAAAGTCCTTGCTCCCTTCCTCTCCAACCCTCCCAGGCTCCGGTCAGCCCTAGGCTGCTAAGCCTCAGGATCCTACTTTCTGACCTGAGGAGGAAGAGGCCTTGTGGTTTAGGGATGGCCATTGCCAACCCATGTTACCAGCTTACTTTGGTCCTGTAGAGGCTCTCCATGCCTCTCTATATCCTTCCCATTCCCTGGCCCCGGCCAGCCTGTATTTCAGCTTTCTCCTGGTCCCTGTGGGGAGGCTTGGGTCAGCCTGCTCATCTCCAGCCTCCTCCATCATCCTTTCTGCCAGCCCCAGGCCCCTTCTCCAGCTTGTTCAGATTCAGGTTTCTGGACCAGGCTGGCTCATGGGGAACAAGTGTCTTCCCCAGTCCTGCCCTTTCCACAGGGGCCACTTGTCCTCTGCCCAGGAGCCTGCTGAGAGAGTTCAATGGAGAGAAAGAAATGCGGTGGGGGTGAGACAGTGTGTACAATGTAAACAAGGGTTCCCCCGTGAGTGGGTGTTTGTGAGTCTCTGCAAGTTGGGGCGTAGGAGGGGGGTGTCAGTGCTGCTGCCAGGGCCCATGCATGCAGCGTGTGCAGACAGACTGGGTGGGGGCGGGGCCTCACATTTATCCAGTGCTCACTGCTCGCCAGTCAGGATGCTAAGTGCTTTACTCAGATTATCTCATTTAATAAGTGTGACAGTGTGTGAGAGGGTGACAGAGACGGGGCAGAGAAGGGCAGGTGGTCAGGAGGCGGCTGCTTGCAAGTCCCTGGCAGAGTATTTCCTTAATCCATCCCAACAGCGTGCCCTGCTGGGTCTGACCCAGGCCTCAGGCTGGGGAGCAACCTCTTAGCCCCTCTCCATATGGAGACACAGGAGGTGGGAGCAGGCTATGCCCCAAGTTCCCGGCCCACCTCCCTGCCCTGCCCTCAGCCAGAGGATGTCCCCTCCCAGAACAGAGGGCTGCCTGCTCCTTTCCTTTTCTCCTGCGTGTGCTCAGTACAGGGCCCAGCACTGCAGGTGCCTAATTGGTCCCTACCCCTTAGCAGAGGCCAGGCCGACCTGAGGAGTTGTCTGTACATTCAATCAGCCTAGTCCCTACTCTGTAAATCTCATATAGAGGAAATGAGAACCCCCATGGTTCAGAGGAGCCAGGCCCCAGATATGAAGGAAGCAAAGGGGTCCAAGCTAAGGCCAAGACAGCTCACCGGTCATTCCACCGGAGGGAGCAGGGCTGCAGGCCCCACCAAAGTCTCGGAGTCCTGCCTCTGACACCCACTGCTTCACCTACTCCAATTCGTTGCTGGCTTTTAGGTAAGCTAATATTTGCCTGAGGATGCTTAGAAGTGAGGACTGGGGTCTCTTGTCATCCAGGTGGGATCGTCGCAGAGGTCTGATGGCAAGGATGCCATGGATTTCTAGAGGAAGAGGGACAAGGAAGGAAGGGAGGAGGGAGGGAGGGAGACCATGAACATGAATGGACTCCCTCCTATGCACAAACTACCCCAGGGGACCAAGCGGCTACCCAGAGACACTCAGACAAGTATCAGAAGACCGACCCTGAGCCGCAACAGGGGGAGGGCTTCCAGGAGGAAGTGGGCCTGGGACCGAAGCTTGGAGGGATTGCCATGGTGAGGAACACTGGGGGAGGAGCTGTGGGAGTGGCAAGCCCAGAGGAACACAGCCTTTCCGAAGAGCACAGCGCCCCCACCTTCCCCGGAGCTGCAATGATAACAGTAGCTATGAGCACCAAATGTTTTCGGGAAAACAAAAATATTAGCCATTATTTAAGGAGTATTTTGGGGAAAATGCCATTATTATTCACCCAAAGTCTGTGGCACCACCAGGTACTCAGGCTGAAAACCTCAGTCACTGTCCACGTCCCCCTCCACAACCCACTTCCACCCACTTCCAAGCAGTCACCAGATCCTGAGTATCCTCTTTCTCAGGGATTGGGGTCAGACAGACCTGGGTTCCATCCCAGCTCCATCACTTGTCTGCTGTGTGATCTTGGGCAAGTCACTTAACCTCTCTGTGCCCCAATTTTCTCTACTGTACTGAGAGGATGATAACAGTACTTACAGGTTTGTTGTGAGAATTCAACAAGTTAACACATATAAAGAGCTTAGCACAATGTCTAGCAGAATAGACACTTAGGAAACATGAGCTATTTTTATTTCCACTAAACTATGTGTTTCCCCAGATCAAAACTGTGCTTATAACACTGTCCTGCTGAGGAACCTGCCAGTGCTGCCTTGCACCTTGCAGCCCAGCAAGGTGGAACAGTCAGGTCTTCCTAAATGCATCATGCTACCTATATTAATTAGTCTTCCACAATGAAATAACACAGGCTGAGCAGCTGACACAACAGAAATTTATTTTCTCACAATTCTGGAGGCTGGAAGGCCAAGATCAAGGTGTTGGCAGATTTGGTTTCTCCTGAGGCCTCTCTCCTTGGCTTGCAGAGGGCTGCTTTCTCACTGTGTCCTCACATGTTCTTCCTCTGTGCACATCCAGCCCTGGTATCTTTTTATGAGTCCAAATTTCCTCCTTTTATAAAGACACCAGTCAAGGCCAGGCATGGTGGCTCACGCCTGCACTCCCAGCACTTTGGGAGACCAAGGCGGGTGGATCACTTGAGGCCAGGAGTTCGAGGACCAGCCTGACCAACATGGCGAAACCTTGTCTCTGCTAAAAATACAAAACTTACCTGGGTGTAGTGGTGCATGCCTATAGTCCCAGCTACTTGGGAGGTTGAGGCACAAGAATTGCTTGAACCTGGGAGGCGGAGGTTGCAGTGAGCTGAGATCGTGCCATTGCATTCCAGCCTGGGTGACAGAGCAAGACTCTGCCTCCAAAATAAATAAATAAATAAATAAACCAGTCAAACTGGATTGGGGCCCACCTTAGGGCCTAATTTTAATGTAATCACCTCTTTAAATGCCCCATGTCCAGATACAGTCACATTCTGAGGAACTAGGGGTTAGGGCTTCAACAAATGATTTTTGGGGCTGGGCATGGTGGCTCACACCTGTAATCCCAGCACTTTGGGAGACCGAGGCTGGCAGATCAACTGAGGTCAGGAGTTCGAGACCAGCCTGGCCAACATGGTGAAACCCCATCTCTACCAAAAAAACATACAAAAATTAGCTGGGCGTGGTGGTGCACACTTGTAGTCCCAGCTACTGAGGAGGCTGAGGCAGAAGAATTGCTTGAACTTGGGAGATGGAGGTTGCAGTGAGCCAAGATTGTGCCACTGCACTCCAGCCTGGGTGACAGAGCAAGACTCTGTCTCAAAAAAAAAAAAAGAAAAAAAAAAATTTTGGGGGGGGTCGTAATTCAGCCCATAGCGCCACCTTCCTTCTCTGCATCTTTCTGCATGTTGCTGTTCTCTCTGCCTGAAACACTGTCCACATTTTCTCTTCTTCTCCCAAGAAGTTCTCCTACTCATCATCTAAAACCTAGACAGAGCGTCACCACCTCCAGGAAGGCTTCCTAGCTAGACTGCTGCCTCCT
Source organism: Homo sapiens (assembly GCF_000001405.40). NCBI lineage: Eukaryota > Metazoa > Chordata > Mammalia > Primates > Hominidae > Homo > Homo sapiens. The sequence continues at coordinate 41,333,262 of NC_000001.11, forward strand.
CTGGGCTCTCACAGCCCACTGTGTTGACCTATATCATGACATGTATCACACTCTAAGAACTGTCATTTGCTGGGGTGGATGCCTGTTGTTTTGATCTGTACAGCATCCCATTCCCCCTCTGATAACAGCATCTTCTTCTCTTTGAAGAAGTGACGCCCCCTCACCCCCTCCACTCCTGTGACTGTGGCTCAGATGACTCAGTAAATTACAGTTGCTGCTTCTTGCCGCAGGAATGAGCATGTGATGAAGCAGAGCCAATCAGAGTCCTTCCCTGAGATTTTTATCTACAAATGTTGGGCAGGAAAATGCTGATCTTTCCTCTGGGGTCCAGAATGACGTAAACTTGGAGCTTTGTGTGGTCATGGCCCAGATTTGTCCTGCCAGGAAGGACGTCTATCTGCAGGGGAAAGAATCAGGCCCACGCCCAAGGGAAGCACCTATGAAGAGCTGGTCACTCTATGTAAATTTTAAGCTTTTCATATATAATTTTTTGTGTGTTTTGGGCAATACATTTAAAAGGTTCAAAAATCAAAATAATACACACAGCTATACAATAAAAAGTTTCAGTTTTATCCTTGTTCCTGTTAACTCATCTCCTATCACATGGATAATCATGTTTTAATATTTCTTGTGGGTCCTTCCTATGGTTCTTTATGAAAATATAAGTGGCCGGTCACGGTGACTCACGCCTGTAATCCCAGCACTTTGGGAGGCTGAGGTGGGTGGATCATGAGGCCAGGAGATTGAGACCATCCTGGCCAACATGGTGAAGCCCCGTTTCTACTAAAATACAAAAACAACAACAACAACAAAAAATTAGCCTGGCGTGGTGGTGCATGCCTGTAGTCCCAGCTACTCTGGAGGCTGAGGCAGGGGAATCACTTGAACCTGGGAGGTGGAGGTTGCAGTGAGCCGAGATCACACCACTGCACTCTAGCCTGGTAACAGAGCTAGACTCCGTCTCAAAAAGAAAAAAAAAAAAAAAGCAAAGAAAATACAAGGAAATAATAATATATATTATTTTTCTCTCTTCTTGGAAAAAAGAATACTATACATTCTGTTCTACACCTTGCTTGTTTTTATTCATTTAGCAATATATCCTGGGGTACTTTCCATAAATTACTCTGTGACCTTTCTCTCTCTTTTCACAGCTGCATAATATTTCATTGTATGGATAAACTACACAGTTCCCAGTGATGAAGACCAAGATTGTTCCCAATCTGTTTGCTATTATAAACAGTGTTGCAACAAACAGGCTTTGTGTGTATCATTTCATATGAGTACAAGAGTTTCTGTAGACTTGACAATAAAAAGATAACCCAATTGAAAAAACAGACAAAGGATTTGAATAGTCATTGCTCCAAAGAAGATATGATAAGTATATTAAAAAGTTGCTCACCATCATTACCCATTAGGGAAATGCAAATCAAAACCACAGTGAGATACTGCACATTCACTAGGATGGCTATAATCAAAAAGACACATAATAACAAGTGTCTTAGTTCATTTCAGCTGCTATAACAAAATATCGCAGACTGGTTGGCTCAAACAACAGAAATGTTATTTCTCATGGTTCTGGAGGCTGGGAAGTCCAAGATCAAGGGGCTGGCTGATTTGGTTTCTGGTGAGCCCTCTCTTCTGGGCCTGTAGAGGACCACTGTTGCACTGAGTACCTAGGACCTTTTTTTCCTCTGCATGTGTAGAGAGAGAGAGACAGAAAGAGAGCACACAAATGTATGCTGGTGTTTCTTTCTCTTTTATTTTTATCAACTTAATTTAATTTTTAGATTTCAAATTATGAAATATTTAAAGAATACAGTAAAGTACAGAAAAATATAATTGACCTCTATATAGCCCATTCACTTGATTTAACAAATGTGTGGTATTTTGCCATGTTTACTTCAGAACTCGCTCTTTTTGTAGAAAATAAAAATATTAAATACATAGCTAAAGCCCAATCTCATCCCTTCCCGCTCCCTCTCCTCATGTTAACCACTAGCCTGAAATTATGTTTTTATACTTTTATTGCATATTTGAATGAGATCATAAATAATACATTGGCAGCTTTTTTCCAATATTTTTATTGTGCTAAAATACATACAACATGAAATTTACCATCTTAACCATTTTAAAGCATATAGTTCAGTGGCATTAAACACGTTCATAAAGTTGTGTGACCGTTACCCCAATTCATCTCCATAACTCTTTTCATCTTACAAAATTGAAACTCCATTAAACAATAACTCCCCATTTCCACTTCCCCCTAGCCCCTGGAAACCACCATTGTACTTTCTATCATTATGATTTTGACCACTCTAAGTACCTTATGTAAGTGGAATCATACAGAATTTGTCTTTTTGTGGCTGGCTTATTTCACTAGTATAATGTCCTCAGGGTTCATCCATGTTATAACATATTGCAGAATCTCCTTCCTTTTTTAGGGCTGAGGAATATTCCATTGTATGGACATATCATCTTTTGCTTATCTATTCATCCACTGATGGACATCTGGGGTGCTTCCACACTGTAGCTATTGTGAGTAATACCGCTATGAACATGGGTTGATAAATATCTTCCTCTTCTTATAAGTGCACCTATAAGAGCCATATTAGGGCCTCACCCTTATGATAAAGGTATAACCTTTATCACCTTCTCACAGGTCCTATCTCTAATACAATGACATAGAGCTTCAACACATATATTTTGAAGGGACACAAACATTTAGTCCAAGACAATGGATGAGAATATGGAGAAATTGGAACTCTAATACATTGCTGGTGGGAATGTAAAATGGTACAGCAAATTTGGAAAACAGTTTGGAAGTTCTTCAAAATGTTAACATGGAGTTATCATGTGACCCAGAAATTATCCTAGGTATACAACTAAGAGAAATAATAACACGTTCATAAAATTGCACAAAAGCTTGTACATGACTGTTCATAGCAGCATTATTCATAATAGCAAAAAATAAAAATAATCCAGATGTCATCAACTGATGAATGGATAAACGTGGCATATTCATATGATGAAATATGATTTGGCAATAAAAAGAAATGAAGTACTGATACAGGCTACAACACAGATGAACCTTAAAAACATTATGCTAAGTGAAAGAAGCCAGTTGTGAAGGATCACGTACGATTCCATTTATATAAAATGTTCAGAATAGGCAAAACTATATACAGAGAAAGTAGATTAGTGGTGGCCTAGGGCTGGAGAAATTGGTAGAAAATGGAAGTGACTCCTTAATGGGTATGAAATGTTAGGGGAGAGATGAAAATGTTTTAAAATAAATTGTGGTAAAGGTTGCACAACTCTGAAAACAAACTAAAATTTGTTGACTTATACACTTTAAATGGGTGAATTGTGTGGTATGGGAATTAGATCTTAGAAGAGCTGTTAAAGAAAAAAAAAGTTTCTTGTAGAATAAATTCCCAGAACTGGGACTGTTGGGTCAAAGGGAAAATGCATTTAAAATTTTTTACATTTTTACCCTCATCAGCAATGTATGAAATAGCAAGGCAGGTACATTTTATGTAGGAGGAAACTGAGGCACGGACAATCCAAAATCACATAATTAATAACACCCGAGCTGTGACTGAAATCAGGTCTGTTGGACTCCAAAACATGTGCTCTGCTGCAGACAATTCATTTGGTATTTTTCCAATAGTCATTTGATCTTCTTTAAAAAAAAAAAAAAAAACGTAACTTTTGATTGCATTGATTTTCTTTGTTGCTTTTTCGTTTTTCTATATCATTTATTTCTGCTCTGATCTTTATTATTTCCTTTTTTTCTGCTGATTTTGGTTAAATTCACTCTTCTTTTTTCTATTTCTTAAGATAGAAGCTGATAACACTATTTGAGACCTTTCTTCTTTTCTAATATAGGTGTCTAGTCCTATAAATTTCCCCCTAAGTACTGCTTTAGTGGTATCCTACAAATTCTGATATGTTGCATTTTTATTTTCACTTGGATCAAAATACTTTCTAATGTCTCTTTTGATTTTTTTTTAACTTGGAGGTTATTTAAAGTGTCTTATTTTGTTCTCAACTATTTGGGGATTTTCCAGATCCCTTTTTGTTATTGATTTGTAATTTAATTCCACTGTGGTCAGAGAACATGCTTTGACTAATTTTAGATGTATTGAAATTTGTTTTATGGTCAGAATATGGTCTATCTTGATAAATGTTTTTATGTACACTGAAAAATGTGTATTCTTCTGTTGTTGGGTAAAGTGTTTTATAAATGTCAGTTAAGTTGGTTGATAGTGTTGTTCAAGTTTACTATACATTCTTGATGATTTTCTGCCTGCTTGTTCTATCAATTATTGAGAGAGGGACATTGAAATATCTCCAACTGTAATTGTAGATTTGTACATTTTTCCTTGTAATTCTATCAGGTTTTACTTAATGTATTTTGAAACTCTGCTATTAGGTGTATAAATGTTTGGCACTGTTATATTTTCTTAATGAACTAAACACTTTATCATTATGAAATGACTCTTTATCTCTGGTAATATTCTTCACTTGAAATCTACTTTGTATTATATTAATATAGCCATTTCAGTTTTCTGTTGATTATTGTTAGCACAGTACATCTTTACTCATAATTTTTACTTACTTTAACTTATTTCATATTTAAAGTGGATTTCTTTCTTTCTTCTTTTTTTTTGAGAGGGAGTCTCGCTGTGTTGCCTAGGCTGGAGTGCAGTGGCACAATTTTGGCTCACTGCAACCTCCACCTCATGGATTCAAGCGCTTCTCCTGTCTCAGCCTCCCAGGTAGCCACCACACCCAGCTAATTTTTGTATTTTTAGTAGAGACAGGGTTTTGCCATGTTGGCCAGGCTGGTCTTGAACTCCTGGCCTCCAGTGATCTGCCCAGCTCAGCCTCCCAAGTTGCTGGGATTATAGGCATGAGCCACTGAGCCCAGCCTAAAGTGGATTTCTTAGAAATCCACTATGAATCAAGATTCATAGAATTGAATCTTGCTCTGTACAAACAATCTGACAGTTTGGCTTTTTAACTGTGGTATTTAGACCATTTATACTGAATGCGATTATTGATATGATTAGGTTTAAATCTACCTGCTTGCTATTTGTTCCATGTATTGTTTCTTCTCTTTTCCCTCTTTTTCTGCCTTTTTTGGATTGGATATTTTGTGACTTCATTTTATCTCCTTTATTAGCTTAATTAGATACAACTACTTTTTAGTGGTTACTTTTGGGTTTATAGTGTACATCCTCAATCCCAAACCACTTTGAGTAATATTATACCACTTCACACAGAGTAAGAACCTTACAACAGCATGCTTCTCTTTCCTCCTTCACAACCTTTAGGCTATTGTTGTCATGTGTTTAATTTCTATATATGTTATAAACCCAGAGTACTTGTTGTTTTGCTTTAACCAATAAATTATCTTTTAAAGATACTTTCAAAATAAAAAAAATTCAATGTTTTCTCACATAACTACTTTTCCAGAGGCCTTTATTCCTTGGTGTAGATTAAAATTTCCATCTGGTGTCATTTTTGCTTCTGTCTCAAGGACTTTCTTTAACATTTCTTGTAGATCAAGTCTGCCATTGATGAATGTTTTCAACTTTTTATTTTGGAAAAAGTAATCATTTCTCCTCTGTTTTGAAATATATTTTCACTGGGTACAGAATTCTGGGTTGACAGGTTTTTTCATTATTTTTTTACCTTCTGTACTTTAATGATGTTATTCCACTGTCTTCTTGCTTGAAATATTTCCAATGAGAAGTCTGCTGTCATTCATTGTTCTTTTGTATATGATGTGTCTCTTTTTCTCTGCTACTTTTCAGATTTTCTCTTTATTACTGGTTTTAAGCAATTTAATCATTACATGCCTTGGTGCTTGATGTTTGTTGGTATTTTTGAATCCATGGTTTATGGTTCGTATCAAATATGGGAAATTATTGGTTATTTATTTAAATATTTTTATGCTCCTCTCCTCTTTGAGAGACTCTTAACTACATATATGTTAGACTGCATAAAATTATCCCACAGCTCACTGATGAGCTATTCACTTTATATATATCTATATATATCATTATATATTTTTTTCTGTATTTTATTTTAAATAGTTTCTATTGCTATGTCTTCAAATTTACTAGTCCTTTCTTCTGTGTTAATTCAAATCTGTATTAATTCAAATCTGCTGTTAATGCCATCCAGTGTCATTTTTCACTGCAGACATTGTATTTTTTTATATCTAGAAGTTTGATTTGGGTCTTTTCTCCCCTTTCTCTCTACTTAACATGATCAGTCATTACTCTAGTTTTCTGAGCTTATGGAATACAGTCATTATAATTGTTTTAATGTCTTGTATACTAATTCTATCTTCTGTGCTATTTTGGGGTATGTTTCTTTTCTTTTCTTTTTTTTTTTAGATGAAGTCTCACCCTGTAGCCCAGGCTGGAGTGCAGTGGCGTAATTAACCTCTACCTCCTGGGTTCAAGCAATTCTCCTGCATCAGCTTCCAGAATAGCTGGGATTACAGGTGCGTGCCACTGCACCTGGCTAATTTTTTGTATTTTTAGTAGAGACAGGGTTTCACCATGTTGGCCAGGCTGGTCTTGAACTCCTGACCTCAGGTAATCTGCCTGCTTCGGTCTCCCAAAGTGCTAGGATTATAGGCGTGAGCCACCACACCTGGCCAGGTATGTTTCTATTGCTTAATTTTTTATCCTTATTATCGGTTGTATTTTTCTGTTTCTTTGCATGCCTAGTAGTTTTTTGTTGGATGTGAAACATCATGAACTTTACCTTGTGTGCTGACCATTTTAATATTCCTATAAATATTCTTAAACTTTGTTCTGGGATGCAGTTAAGTTACTTGAAAAGTTTGATTTTTTGAGGCTCACTTTGCAGCGTTCTTAGGCAGGACTACTATGTTTCCTCCCACTGTTAAAGCAATGCCCTTTTAAGGAATCTGCTTGATGCTTTGTGATTTATGAAGTTTTCCACTCTGGTTGATAGGGAGGCAAACCACTCCAGGTCTTCGGAAACTGGTTCCTCTGCTCCTTTGGGATATTCTTTTCTTAAACCTGGGTAGTTTCCTCACATACAAATACTGTTCGATATTCACCCGAAGGCTTTCAGGGGGCTCTCTGCAGATCTTTGGAGCTCTCTCTCTGGGAAGCTCTCCTCTCCAGTTCTCTGCCCTGTGAACTCTAGTCATGTTGGCCTCTCAGCCTCTCTGTTCTGTCTCCTCCACTCAGGGAGCTATAATAGCTTGGATGCTACTCCTTGTGCTGCAGCCTGGAAACTCTCCCCAGGTAGAAGCTGGCAAGTGTAGGGCTTACCTCATTAGTTTCTTGTCTCGGAGGAATTGCTGTTTTGTATTTGCCTTATGTTCAGTGTCTGAAAACTGTTGTTTCATATATTTTATCTAGGTTTTCAGTTGCTTTAGGAGAGAGGGTGAATCGACTCCCTGTTATTTCTTCTGTCCAGAAGCCCTGTAACTACATTTCCACACTTAATTATCACACATATCTTGTATATTAGGTATGATTATCCCCATTTTATAGATGAGGAAAGTTGAGTCTTAGGGATTAAGTTGTAGTATACTAGAGTTGAGAGGTAGAATAATGTAACAGATAAAAAGATGGACTGTGTGGCCAATCTGGGTTTCAGTCTCAGATTTCCCACTTCTTAGTTATGTGACCTTGTGCAAATTAACCTCTCTGTGCCTCAGTTTCCCCACCTGTAAGAATTCAGATGCTAATAATAGAAATGACCTATAGAATTGCTGGGGGAATTAAATGAGTAAATATATAACTGGCTCATAATTACTATATATTAGCTATTATTAACAGAGTGAGTAGTTAACCATCTTCAGCTGGGTGACAGGAACACCCATTTTGAACTCCAGCTCCATCACTATCTTACTCTGGAAACTTGGCCATGTGTATCAGTCAGGTTTCAATTAGAGAAACAGAACCACTAGGGGATTCTAACCTGAAACATACAGGAAAGGGAATTCTGGGAAACGTAGTTCAGCTGAGCCTAGTTGACAATTACAAAGACATCACACCATGCTACCTAGCTGCTCTGAGGGCTTATTTCCTTGTTGGTGAGATGGGACAGTAACACCTCTCTTTGGATTAAATGGGATAGAACACATGAAGCATTTGGGTCTGGCACAGGGAAGTGTTCAATAAATGGTTCTTAGCATAGCTGCTCAGGATCCCACAGATAATAACTGCCAGAGGAGTGATCTGAACTCACAGTTGTTGTCCCTAATGCCTAATGCTCCTCCCACTTCACCCTGCCACCTCCTGTGCTGGGCCTGAGAGTGTGGAAATGAGTAAGACAAGTCCCTGCTCTCAGGATCCCATATTTCAGTAGGGGGTAAGCCAGGGACACAAATAAATACAATATAGGTCAGGAAAAGGAAGGCAGACACCATTAATGGGGGATTTCTATAAGACTAGCTCTGAGCTGGATTCCCTATACAGGGGAAGGGAAGGATGCAAGGGTTGGGGGGTGAATGGTTTGCTGCATAGGTCCTCTGTGCCAGGCTCTGTAGTAGGAAGTTTACGTGATGATCACATTTAGTCTTCACAATTAAAGAATGAGCTAGATATTATCCCCGCAATACAGATAAGAGAACTGAGACCCTGAGAGATTAAGTCATTTGCCCTAGGTCACAGAGTGACCAAATGACAGAACCCCTGCATCCCAGGAGATGGCTAGAGTGCAGTGGAAGCTGCAGCTCAGGGTCTGTCCCCCGGGTCACTGCCAAAGAAGGGTACTCCCCCTGAGCTCAGAAGCCAGGGCTGGCTATTTAGCCCCCTCCCGGGCCTGCCCCTTGCACCTGTGTGTGCCCGTGGGCGGTGGGCCCGTGGTGGCTGCAGTGCCGTGGTGGTGGCAGCAGTGGCGGGCGGCAGCAGGGAGACAGTCACACCTCGCTGTTTTGTAAACTGTTTCTCACAGCTTGTTTGTTCCGGGTTAGGGCTGGAGCGGCACCGTATGGAAGTGTGACTCATTGTTTAATGTGGCAGCTCATTAGCAGAGCTTGTTGCTGCCTCTGATTTCTCTGCTCTTGCTAATTGGAGAGCCCAGTGGGGCCCTGGCTTCCCGTGAAGAACCAACCCAGCTTCCCCAGGGCTCTAGCTGGCCCTTGCCCCTCCAGGCTCCCTGAGGAGGCCACCCCATGCCTGTGGGCCCTGGGATCAGCCAGACTGGGTTCAAATCCCAGCTCATCCTGGCTGTGTAACCTGGGATAAAGCATTCCTCCTCTCTGAGCCTCAGTTTCCTTATCCACCTAATAATTGGGAAATAGCACCCACTTCCTCGGGGTAGGCTAGAGACACAGTAATAATGTGTGTAAAGTCCCCTGGTATGTATAGATGCTCAATAAGCAGTTTTGTAGTGTTATTATTATTAGGCTGAAACCTCAGAGAGCCCCTCTGTTTTGGCCTACCTGGGGCAGCCACCCAGCCCAGAGGTGCTCCAGAGGCTCAAGGTGTGAGGACCTCTTCCACTGCAGATAATCTAACACATTTCTTTCTTCCGTGCTTCACCCCTCCCAAGGCAAATCTGCCAAGGGGCCCCAAATGCCATTCCCTCTCTGTGACCCCAGAAAAGGAAGCACAGCCTGGCTTTGGAGGGCCCTGGGCCTTCCTTAAAGTGGAAGTCTGCTCCCTGGAGCTCTCCCTCAAATTTCAGCTCTCCTCTTTGAAGCCACACAGAACACATCTGTCCCCAGTGTCCCGTGACTGTCCTTTGCTATTTGAAGACAGTGATCACATCCCCTCTCCAAGTCTTCTCTCCAGGTGGAACATGTCCAGTTTCTTCAACTGTCCCTTAAATGACATAGCTCATATGCCTGCTGGACCATACCATCAGTGGTGACCTTAGAGTTGTGCAATGCCGTGACCTCATTCTGAGTCCCTTCCCCAACCTCCTCATGCTCTGAGTCTACTCCTCTTTGCTTAGGTGCCTCCTGAGATGTGCAGTCTAGAATTCAGCTCAGTCCTCTGAACACGATAGGGCAGCCCCATCTCCTACTACGTCAAGACCTGTGCTATCCAGTGATAATATAATGTGAGCCATGGGTATAATTTTAAATTTTCTAGTGGCTGCCTTAATAAAAGGAGCTGGGCATGGTGGCATGCGCCTATAATCCCAGTGCTTTGGGAGGCTGGGGTGGGAGGATTGCTGGAGCCCAGTAGTTCAAGGCTGCAGTGAGCTATGATTGTGCCACTGCACTCCAGCCTGGGCAACAGGGTGAAATACCATCTCAATAAATAAATAATAAATAAGCACCCATCTTTTTTAAAAAGTAAAAAGAAATAGGTAACATTAACTTAAAAAATATTTTCACTTAACCAAATGTAGTCAAAATGTTATTTCAGCATGTAATCAGTATCAAAAAATCATTCATGAGATACTTGAAACCTTTTTTCATACAAAATGTTCAAATCCGGTGTGTTTTTATACTTAACAGAACATCTCATTTGGACTAGCCACGTTTCAGGTGCTCGGGAACTCCACGGAATTAGTGGCTCCAGTGCTGAGCAGTGCCGTCCAGACTCTACCTTTGTTAACATGATCTGAACTGCTGTGGTGTTGTAGCTGACACATCACTCTGGTTCAGGAGGAAGGAGTCATCAAGTGCCTAAGGGCTGGGGCCTCTGGGTGGTAGGCAATCGCGACCCCAGTCTTGGTTTCATCATTAGTTCACTATGTATGTGATGTCGCTCTTCCTTTCCAGGCCTCAGCATCCTCATCTGACAATCACGAGGTGGGAAGAAGAAAGCAGCGCCTGCTCGGTGCCAGGAACCCCCCGGGGCGCTCCCCATGTGCTGTGTTACATGTTTCTTGGAAAGCCCACTGTTTTAGGTTTTCTTATCTCTGTTTCATTCCCACTTGACCCTGAGACTTCCTCCAGGGCCTTGTGGACTCATAGCTGGTGTGTTGGTTGCTTCTGCCCTCCTGGCCACCATGGATACCAGTGGGCTCAGTTTTAGGCATGCAGCCCTCAAACCTCTTCCCTTCCTTGTCATGACTCTTTCCCTAAGTCGTAGACTAAGGACAGTGATGGCAGTGTTTTGATACGTGTCTGCAGGTGGCGGGCTCCTGCTGGATGAAAACGCCTCTGCCTGCCCAGGTGTCTGGTCTGTCACTTGCAGAGCCGTCCCTTCATGGTGGTGGTTGTGAGGCCAGGTCCCAGCCCCTCCCTGTGCCTGGTACTGTTCTGCTAGAATGTATTAGAGTGAAACCCAGACATCACATTGCCCACAGCTTCCTCCCTCATTGGCTTCCTCCCCAACTCCTCACATCCAGCTTACTTCTCCTTCCTGACCACAGGCACTCGTTCCCGTCCAAGAGCCACCTGTGTGACTTTGAGAACATCACTTCACTTGACAGAATCTCCGTGTCCATGTGTGAGATAGAGGAGAATTCCACCTTCCTCCTGAGGTTGGTGAGAATGACAACTGAGACTGTGTGATATGTGATATGTGACCGTGCCTCGCTCAGTACTTGGGGTAAATGTTAACTGTGACTGAATCTTTACCAGTCATTTTAAGAACAACTTAGCCTTACTCTCCTAACCTGAACCCTCTCTGGGGCTCCTCTGTGAGCTCTGCATGGCTTTCCTCTCATTCCCCAGCCATCTGGGTCTTTCTAGACTAGCCGGGAAAGCACCCCATCACTTCTGAACAGGGAGCTAATTGGCAGATGCCCACTTCCTTCCAGGAAAAGCCACTAAATCATGGTGCTGAAGGGGAGCTTGGTGGTCATGCTGGGGATACCCCATCACCAAGACAAACCGTCTTCGAAAATAAGACAGATGTGACTTCTACTGTGAATCTGTCTTTTCTTTTTCTTTTTCTTTCTTTTTTTTTTTTTTGAGACAGTCTGACTCTGTCACCCAGACTGGAGTGCAGTGGTGCGATCTTGGCTCACTGCAAGCTCCACCTCCCGGGTTCACACAGTTCTCCTGCCTCAGCCTCCTGAGGAGCTGGGACTACAGGCGCCTGGCACCATGCCCGGCTAATTTTTGGTATTTTTAGTAGAGACGGGGTTTCACCGTGTTAGCCAGGATGGTCTCAATCTCCTGACCTCGTGATCCGCCGGCCTCGGCCTCCCAAAGTGCTGGGATTACAGGCGTGAGCCACTGCGCCCGGCCTACTGTGAATCCTTCTAAAGTCCATTATACCCTTCCCTGTGTTTCCAAAAGAAGGGTAACTGACCTGAATGTAACTTTTTCTTGGTGATTCAGGACCATCATTAGGGATCAATATTTTTATATTAAAATAGTGGAGAACACTAACCTTTGAGTGCCCATTGTATACTGGGTATCTTATGATGTCATCCAATTCTTATGCAACCCTGATATAAAGTTTGGATATTATCTCCTTTTTGCAGATTAGGAAACTGTCTCAGAGCTATTTAGAGGCCTGCCAGGGTTTCACGGTCTCATACAGAGAGGTTCAGCCCCTCTCTTCCTCTACATTGCCTTTCGAGAGCCTTGAGGTTCCATTTTGAGGGCCCCTGGCTGACTCACAGTTCTTACGTGAGCTTTACAGGTTGGCCTTGCTTGGCTGGGCGCTGGTAGTATATACTCAGGGCAGTCACTGCCTCACTTTTTGGCCTGCACTGGCCTGAGAAAGCATGTACTGTAGCATATGCTTTTAGGCCTTTGATTTCTTGACCTTTCCATGACATATGTGCTATTTACTAGTTCCTTCTTTAACCACTCTCTTCTGGTTCTCATGAGTTCACTCTTTCTGAGCTTACTGGCTGCTCCTTCCCAGAAGCTTCCAGTCTGCCCTGGTTTTGCTCCCCCTAACATCTTGGTGTTCTTCAGCAGCCCCCTTTGGCTCTCTGTTCTTTTCATATTCTGCTCCAGCATCACCCTTGGGGTCTTCACTCCCCACCAGCCATGGTTTCACCACCTCTGTGCCAAGGACTTCCAAGTTTACACCTCCTGTCCAGACCTTTGCTCAGAGTTCCAGACTGTGGCCTCATGACCACTACCATATCAACTGCCTGCCAAATGGACTTCTTCCCTGGCTGACCCACTGGCACACAAACTCAGCTCCCCCAAACTGAATCCATCATCTTCCTCTGAAGCATCCACCCCTTCTTGTGATCTCTGTCTCAGTAACCACCCCTTCCCTCTGCCCCATGCCTTATAATAATACCGGCTAATATTTCTCAAGGGCTTACAAAATGCAGCCTCTGTGCTAAGTGATTCCATGGCTCTCACTTGATCCTTAATCAATCCGGAGAGGTTGGCATTATTTGATTGTCATCCTCATTTCACAGATGAAAAGAGGGAAACAGAAGTTCCTGGCACATGGTAGGCACTTGACAAGTGCTGGTTCTTTCTATGGCTTTTTGTTTCCCAACTATCTAAATTCATAAATTAAATCCACTATTCTCTTTTTTTTTTTCTGGGTCTGTTTTTTTTTTTTAATTTTTATTTTTGGTTCTGGGGTACATGTGCAGGATGTGCAGGTTTGTTACACAGGTAAACGTGTACCATGGTGGTCTGCTGCACCTATCTATGTATTAAGCCCGCATTAGCTATTCTTCCTGATGCTCTCCCTCCTCCAATCCACCCACCGACAGGCCCCAGTGTGTGTTGTTTCCCTCCCTGTGTCCATGTGTTCTCATTGTTCAGCTCCCACTTACAAGTGAGAACATGCGGTGTTTGGTTTTCTGTTCCTGTGTTAGTTTGCTGAGGATAATGACTTCCAGCTCCATCCACGTCCCTGCCAAGGACATGATCTCATTTCTTTTTATGGCTGCATAGTATTCCATGGTGTATATGTACCACATTTTCTTTATCCAGTCTATCACTGATGGGCATTTGGGTTGATTCTAATGTCTTTGCTGCTGTAAATAGTGCTGCAATGAACATATGCGTGCATGCATCTTTGTAATAGAACGATTTCTATTCCTTCGGGTATACACCCCGTAATGGGATTGATGGGTCAAATGGTATTTCTGGTCCTAGATCTTTGAGGAATCACCACACCGTCTTCCACAATGGTTGAACTAATTTATGTTCCCACCAACCGTACACAGCAGCTGTTCCTACCTGGGACATCTCTGGGTGTCCAGCTTGCTCAGTGACTCTAGCTTGGTAAATGAATCACCCAGGCTGGCTTCTTGTTCTGAGATATCTCATCCAAAGATCTTTCCCAGCTGAACTGAGACTCTGCCTCAGGAGGCAGCTGCTGTTGGTGAAGACAGGCAATGTGCAGAGAGTTACACAGGAACCCAATATGAGGCATGCAGCCACTAAACCTGCCCTTCCTCTCTGCCACTCCTCCCTCAAGTAACACCCTCAGGCAGGTGATAGCAGTTTTCAGGGTGTTTTTTCAGGTGGTGATCTGCTAGATGAAAACTGTTCTACCTACCCAGGTGTCTGGTCTGTCACTTCAGAGCTGTCCCACCCCGATAGTGGTCGTGAAGCCAGTTCTCAGCTCTTCCCCTGTTACTATTACCACTATTGTCACTGTCATCCTCACGACAATCCTGTGAAGTAGGTTTTTTTTTTTTTTTTTTTTTTTGAGACAGAGTCTTGCTCTGTCCCCCCAGACTGGAGTGCAGTGGCATGATCTCGGCTCACTGCAATCTCTGCCTCCCGGGTTCAAGAGATTCTCATGCCTCAGCCTGCCAAGTAGCTGGGACTACAGGCACTTGCCACCATGCCTGGCTGATTTTTTTTGTAGTTTTAGTAGAGACAGGGTTTCACCATGTTGGCCAGGCTGGTCTTGAACTCCTGACCTCAAGTGATCCACCCGCCTCAGCCTCCCAAATTTCTGGGATTACAGGCGTGAGCCACTGTGCCTGGCTGAAGTAGATATTATCAATGCTACCTTATAGCTAAGAAAATTAGGGCTCAGAGAGGCAAAGTGACTTTGCCAAGGACACAGAGCTAGAGCCAGGATCTAAACCAGGCCTGTCAGGCTCAGAGTATGTATGCTTTCCACATTAAGTTTCAGGGAGTTCATTTGGTCAAGGAGAGTAAAACTAAGTTATTCTTAAACTGACTGTAAAATGTAGGCATCCAAAAAAAAATAAGTCTTGTGAAGAAAAAGTCACAATGAACATTTACCCTAAGACGAGCGTTGTGCAGACACTGGGCAAGACACGTTCACGCATAGGGCCTCACTTGTCACTCCCACCAGCCCTGTGAAGAAGGAGGAATTCTCCACCATTATCCCAGGCCTGGAAATGGAGATTCTGTCAAGTGCAGAGATTTGTTCAAAATCCCACAGGTGACAGGGGATGCCCTGGGATTGGAAGGTGAGTCTTTGAGACTCCAAGCCCAGTGCTCACTCCTCCCACAAGACTGTGGTCAGAAATGAGGAGCTATGGCAAATAAAGTGGAAGGGGGGAGGTTTGGATGACGTGGTATCTGGAGTTTTACTTTATTATTTTTTAATTTTTTATTGAAACAGGGTCTCACTCTGTTGCCCAGGCTGAAGTGCAGTGGCACAATTATGGCTCACTGCAACCTCGACCTTCTAGGCTCAGGAGATCCTCCCACTTCAGCTTCCTGAGTAGTTGGGACCACAGGTGTGTGCCACCATGCTCAGCTAATTTTTGTAGAGACAGGGTTTTGCCATGTTGCTCAGGCTGGTCTCAAACTCCTGAGCTCAAGCGATCTGCCTGTCTCAGCCTCCTGAAGCACTGGGATTACAGGTATGAGCCACTATGCCCAGCCTAGAGTTCCACTTTAATATATCTGGTAGAGCAGGAACAGGCACAAAAATCAACTTTTTTAGTTAGGGAAACTGAGGCTTAGAGAAGGACAGCTGGAAAGTAGAGATGCTGGTATTTTGCTTGAATCTGTCTGACTTTTAGGCTTTTGCTCTCTTCACCACTCCACACTGTGGTTGCCAAAGCCAGACACCTCCTCCTTCTGACAATCTCTTCTCCAAGCCACAGCCTGAGGTCCACTGGGAACTCTGGGTCTTTTTCTCTCAGGTGGAAAAGATTTGAGCCTCTTTGCCTTACAACCCCTAATAGTGTCAGGCACTGTACTAGGTAATTTACAAGCATTTATTCATTTAATTCCCATAACAAGCCTGTGAGGTAGAAACTACTATTATCCCCATTTTTATGATGAAGGATCTCATGCCTGGAGAGGCCATATGATTAGAAGTGAGGGAATGGAATTTGCATTGGAGACTGACTCCAGACCAAGTTCTTCACTGCCGGGGTTGAGTGTAGATTTCACTCTCTGAGGTATATAATGCATGAGACCTAAAGACCAGAGTCCAAAGTCCCAGCTACCCTGTCCCTATCCATGAATTCCCACCCCCTCCTAAAGACACCCCTCATGCCCATCTTAACACCATGGATTAAGTCCTACTTCAGTTAGAGACTTCCTTTGGCCACCTTCGTACCTAATCCAGCTCTCACAATTACCCTCAAGAGAGGCATTATTGCTTCCATTTTCCTGAGGAGGCAGTTGAGGCCCTAGGGTCTCACAGCGTGGGTGTCAAGCTCCGAAACCACCTGTCTCTCTCTCTAAGACTCTTGCTCTCCCTGCTGGGGAGCCATGCGGGAGCCTGGGAAATCAGCTACTCCAAATCACGATTCCTGAATTCTGCCCCTGCCCATGTGCCTGACCCCCTCCCCACACGGAGGAGGGGCATTGGCTCAGTGATGTCCAAGGCTCCCTCTTTATCTCACAGCATTGGGTGCTGTCTTCATGACTCCATCAGGGCCCAGCTCTGGCAGAGGACCAACCTCCTGAGTACATACGGCTGACCTTCAGGCAGCTCTGGCCACCCCTGTGGCTCCACAGGGGTCCCAAGTCACATCCCTTCTCAGGGGAGGCCAATTCCCCTACCTCTGATTTCTGTGGGACCCTGGGACCTTCTCCAAGGCCCTTTCCATCAGACTCCATGTCTTCCTATCCCTTGCACTCATCAGGCCTGTCCTGGGGCGGTGGAAGTCACAAGGCCAGGCTGCTGGACCACACACTTGGCACCAAGTCACTGGACTTTTCACCGAGGCTCTGGTTGGGGCACTCATTCATTAATTATTCACTCAAGTACATGCCTTCTCTAGCAACTCTTCTTTTTCCCTTCAGTATTTTTAAATTTATTATAAAAATATTCAACAATATAAAACTATATAAAGTAAAAGGGGAGGCTTTCCTCAATCCACAATATCACTCTTGATTGGAACTAACTACTCTTAACAGATTTGGGGAATCCTTCCAGAAATGTCTATATGTGTGCATATATATGTGCAAATATAATGCACATGTGTAGTATTTACAGTCATGTAATCATATGACACATGTTACCTAGCATGCAATAGGCACTGTGACTTTTCCATCACTTCCTTTCTTCCTGAGTGTTGTCTCAGAACCACCTTTCTGTGTTAGTCCATAGAAGTCTACTTTATTACTTTTGAGGGCTGCGTAGTTTTTCTCTGTGTAATTGTGCCAACAGCACAATCTCCTTCAGATGACCTTCAGTGTTTTCCTATTACAACTATGGCTGTCACTTCCTGAGTTCCTATCATGTGCCTGTCACTACGGGAGGCCCTTTATGTACTCTTTTTTTTTTTTTTGAGACAGGGTCTCGCTCTGTTGCCCAGCATGGAGTGTGCAGTGGCTCACTGCAATCGTGACCTGCTAGGCTCAAGTGATCCTCCCACTTCAGCCTTCCAAGTAGCTGGGACCACACGTGCGCACCACCAAGCCTGGCTAATTTTTGTATTTTTTGTAGAGACAGGGTTTTGCCATGTTGCCCATGCTGGTCTCGAACTCCTGAGCTCAAGGGATCCACCTGCCCCAGCTTCCCAAAGTGCTGGGATTACAGGTGTGAGCCACTGTGCCTGGCCTACATACATTTTTTTAATGATATGGCATTCTTATTCTTGGATACTTCATGCCCAGCATATAATAGGTGCTCAGGAAATTACTGGAAGACCTAGCTCAAATGTTTCACCTCTGTGAAGCCTCTTATATTCCCTTTCCCTGTTCCCTCCCATCTCCCATTCAGGTCCTGCACTGGGCCTGACAGAGGAATGAGCAAGGCAAAGACCCTGGCTAGAGAAACTCACAGACTATAAACAGGCCTGGAAACAGAAAATTACAGCAGAGAATGGGAACAAGAAGCATACACCAGGAACATAGGAAGACTGACTGATACATTTGTGATGGTTTCTCGTATGTGTTAGCTTGACTGGGCCAAGGGGTGCCCAGATGAGATGTTATTTCTGGGCGTGTCTGTGAGGGTGTTTCCAGATGAGATTAGCCTCTGAGTTAGTGGACTCGGTAAAGTAGATTGAGCTCCCGAATGTAGGTGGGCATCATCCAAACTGTTGCAGGCCTGATTAGAACAAAGAGGAGGGAAGGAGAGGATTTGTCTCCTTCCTGCCTGCCTGCTGCTTGAGCTGGGACATCGGTCTTCTCCTGCCCTTGGACTGGCATTTATACCAGCAGTTCCCCTGGTTCTCAGGCACTTGGGGTTGGGCTGGAAACAATATCACTGGCTCTCCTGGACCTCCAGCTTGCAAGGGCAGACTGTGGAACTTTTTAGCCTCCATAACTTCTCAGTCTCCATAATTGTGTGAGCCAGTTTCCTCATTATCTATCTATCTATCTATCTATCTATCTATCTATCTATCTATCTATCATCTATCTATCTATCTATTCATCAATCAATCTGTTTAATCTATCTCCAGTTGGCTCTGTTTCTCTGGAGAAACCTAAGGCATCATCCAAAGTGATCCAAGGAGGCTTCTTAGAAGAGGTGACAGACAAGCTGACTTTCAAAGGCGTTGGTCAGGGATGTGAGAAAGCTGCCTGAGTTCTGTCTCACCCTGTATGTGGATTGACTTCCTGTATCTGTACTACTTTTCCTCCCTCATCATTTATGCCTCTACTTCCATAAAAAGGGATTTGGGTAGATTCTGATTTTTATAAAATGACACATACAATAAAAATACAACCATTAAGTAAGGAAAAGAAGTAAGAACTTTGTAATACAACGGGAAAAGAGAATGAACTACAAACCTACACTTAGAATAGTTCCTGTGTTTGATACAAGATTTAACTCTGTGCTTCCCAGCAGGCAAGAAGGTAGCATATCTGCACACATTGCAATGTGGGGACGGAGGGCCCATCCAGTGACATCAGGAGAGCGCTTGCTCACCCACCCCCTCTCTATTGATTTGTTCACTGTGTTAATGGCTCCCTTTTGTGTTTGGCTGGTCAGTGTTTTGAATTGGTCTTTAATTATATCTCATGCAAATGACTAAGGCATATGGAGAGGTTGTGGAGCCAAAAGTTTAGAAGCACCTATTATGTGCCACTCCTACTACTCTTCTCTGCAACATAAATAGAGGAAACTGAGGCTCGGAGGAGTTAAGTAAAACACTGGTCAAGTTGGCCCAGGGGCCCACATCTCCTGACCCCAGCATAGGCTCTTTATGAGTTTGGATGGATGAGATCTTTGGATGAGATATCTCAGAACAAGGAGCCAGCCTGGGCAATCCGTTTGCCAAGCTAGAGTCACTGAGCAAGCCAGACACCTACAGATGCCACAGGTAGGAACAACTGCTGTGTACTCTAGCTCAGCTTGAGAATAGTTGGTTTAATTTATGAATTTAGATGGTTGAAAAACCAAAAGCCATAGAAACAATCAGCACTTGTCAAGTGCCTACTATGTGCCAGGAACTTCTGTTTCCCCCTTTTCATCTGTGAAATGGGGATGACAGTAAAATAATGCCAACCTCTCCTGATTGATGAAGGATCAAGTGAGAGCCATGGAATCACTTAGCACAGAGGCTGTACTTAATATGTTCTTGAGAAATATTATTGTTATTTTCTTTTGTCTCTTTTTTTTTTTTTTTTGAGATAGAGTCTCGCTGTCACCCAGGCTGGAGTGCACCGGCACAATCTCAGCTCACTGCAACCTCTGCCTCCCAGGTTCAAGTGATTCTCCTGCTTCAGCCTCCCAAGTAGCTGGGATTACTGGCGCCCACCACCAGCCTGGCTAATTTTTGTATTTTTAGTAGAGACAGGGATTCACCTAAAGTGCAGGCGTGAGCCACCGTGCCCGGCCCACCTCAGCCTTCTGAGTAGCTAGACCACAGGCACTGGCCACTGTGTCTGGCTAAGTTTTTGATTTTTTTGTAGGGACATTGCCCAGGCTTGTCTGGAGTTCCTGGGCTCAAGTGATCCCACCACCTCGAGCTCCCAAAGTGCTGGGATTATAGGCGTGAGCATGTTGGCCAGGCTGGTCTCGAACTCCTGACCTCAAGTGATCCACCTACCTCGGCCTCCCAAAGTGCTGGGATTACAGGCATAAGCCACCACATCCAGCCTGTCATTATTATTATTATTATTATTATCATCCTCACAATAGTCCTGTGCTGTTGCTGCCAACGCCAGTGTTGTCTTACTGCTAAGGAACTGAGGCTCAGGGAAATGAAATGTCCAAGGTCACCAAGTTACAGCCGGGATTCTAACCCAAGCCTTTTGGGCTCAATTCCTGCACTCTCCATGTTAAGGGACAGAGGCCAGGAGATCAGGAGATAAAAATGAAGGTTCAGGAAAAGCATGTTAGGCAGGTAGGCCTAGGATAAGCACGCACGGCATGAGGTCTTTCTACTGGGTGAGAGGGCCTCTGAACGGCAGCTGCAGAGAGAATGTGGGCGGCACACGTGGCTGGCCTGGGCCCTGCGGGTAAGAGTTGTGGTCATAGTGGTGGGGCCCTGCTCAGGCCATGCCTAGCACCCAGAGGAGCAGCAGAGAAGTGACTGCAAAGCAGCCTGGGGCCGGAACCAGGTCCCAGGGCGGTCAGACCAGCTGAGGGACTATCGGCTGGTTGATGAGAGTTTACAAAGGGTAGGATGACAGCATTGGTGGGGACCACATTTTTGGCTTGTCCTCACTTACTCTAACCCAAATATTAAATTGCAGTAATTAAAAGTAGAAGTTAAGGGTGTGGGCTAAGCATGTTTCACACAACACAAAGGGGAGAAGAGGGCATGCCCCCTCTCTGCCAACCTGTCTGCTCCATTTGGCCTGGGAAGTCTGTGCCCCACTTATTTGGCAACACCCACCTGTGCAGGCAGCAACCAGGTGAGAGAAAGCAGCTGTAGCCATGAAAGCGTTGGCTTCGGGGCTGGAAAATATGGGCTGAGGTTCTGGCTCTGTGACCTGGGGAAATTTATTTTACTTCTCTGAGCCTCTGCTGTCCCTTCTAAAATAATCCCAGGCTCTAGGATTAATTTAGGATCAAGTGAGAGCCAGGGACTCACTTTGCATAAAGGGTGCACTTAGTAAGTGCTTTGATACATTATTTTCTCGTCATTGTCTTAGTCACGTGGGCTGCTATAACTGGGTAGCTTATAATCAACAGAAATGTGCCTCTCACCTTTCTGGAGCCTGGAAAGTCCAAGATCCAGGTGCTGGCAGATTCAGTGTCTGGTGAGGGCCTGTATTCTGGTTCATAGACTTTGACTTTTTGGTCCAACCTCACATGACAGAAGGGGCAGGGGGTCTCTCTAGGGCCTCTTTATAAAGGCACAAATCCCATTCATAACGGCTCCAGCCCCAAGACTTAATCACCACACAAAGGCCCCACCTTCTAATACCATCACCTTGCAGGTGAGGATTTTAACATATTAATTTTGGGGCGGACTTAAACGTTTCGACCATAGCAGTCATTATTATTATCATTCTCACAATGGCACTGTGAAGTTTCCTCAGGAGTGCTGCCTCAGTTTCCCCATCTGCAATGGGAATAGCTGTGGCTACTCCAGAGTGTGGCTTTCAGGATTAAATAAGATGGAACACACAACACAGTGCCTGGCACACAGGAGGCCTTTCCTCCCTCCCTCCGTCAGCCACTTCTGCAGGGCTGGTTGTTCTAATTATCTTAATTCACCAGGAGGCGCCAGCCTCTCTACCAGGGTTCCCTGTGTGGTGGGGCCCTGAGACCAACAGTCAAGTTGAGGAGGTGGTGACGCTGGCCATGCATCTAGAGGACACAGGGCAAGGCCAAGCTGTCAGCCAGAGAGAGAAATACTTACAATTTTTCAGAGGCCACATAGCTCCTTCCCTACCTCATTATCTCCTTTTATTCTTGTACCTCCTCTGGGGGAGTGGGATAGATGTGATCTTCATTTTGCAGATGGGGAAACTGAGGTAAGTAACCATTCCATGGCTACACAGTGGGTCCTTAATGGAGCTGGTACTAGCTACCTCCTTCCACAGTCACCTACCAGTGCTGGGGCTATGGCCGCCAAGGGGAGAAGCAGCAAGTCTGGGGGGTCCTCACAAGTGGAGGCTTACTGACTTGGGAAGGTCCACTGCCTCCATGGCCTGGTGGGGATTGGGAGGGCCTGGTGGGAGGAGGGAAGCTGGAAGGGGTAGCTTTCTCCTAGAAAGCTCACTCCCTTTTCAGTGACTTCTTATAGTGATGGTTGTGTCTTTAGAGTTCCAAACTAGTATTTTGCAAGGAGGTCTCAAGACTCTGTGAACATCACCCTCAGATGGAAGCTTCGAGAGTATCTGCCTAGGTCCTCCACCCATTTGACTGATGAGGCAACAGAGTTCCAGAAAGAAGTGACTTAGCCAAGAGCAGGGCCAGTAGCAGAATACTGCAGCCCAGTGTTTTCACACCACTGTTGGAGGCCCTGGGGACAGGACAATCCAGAGGAGAGGACATTTGGGCAGGACATGGCAGGCAGTGAGGCCACAGTGAGATACTAGGT
The DNA here is from genome assembly GCF_000001405.40 of Homo sapiens. NCBI lineage: Eukaryota > Metazoa > Chordata > Mammalia > Primates > Hominidae > Homo > Homo sapiens. Next base: position 41,356,002 of record NC_000001.11, read on the forward strand.
CTTATTCTGCCGGGCACTGCCATCAAATCATCACTTATCTTTTCCCTGCAACAACCCTGGGAGGTCGAGGTTGTTGTCCTCACGTTACAGGGTAAGAAACAAGACGACTCAGAGAAGGCCAAAGTCAAATAGCTTCTTCGTGAAGGAGGCAGAATTCAAATCTGGACCTGCCTGTCTCCAAATCCTACACATTTTCTATTACATCTCTTGCAATGGGTTCCATAGTGGCCCCCCAAAATTCTTGCCTTTCCAGGAACCTCAGAATATAGACTTGTTTGAAAATAAAGTCTCTGCAGATATAATTAGCTAAGTTAAAATGAGGTCATTCTAGAATGGAATGGGCCCTAAATCCAATATGGTAGGTGTCATTACAAGAATAGGAAAGATACAGAGATGGACAGGAGATTGCCATGTGAAGACACAGGCGGGGAAGAACACCATGTTGAGACCGAGGCAGAGACTCGAATGATGCGTCTACAAGACAAGAAACATGCAGGATTGCTGGCAACTGCACGAAGCTAGAAGAGGCAAGGAAGGATTCTCCCCTAGAGCCTTCAGAGACAGTGTGGTCCTGCCAACACCTTGATTTCAGACTTCTAGCTTCCAGAACTGTGAGACAATAAATTCCTATTGTTTTAAGCCACCCAGTTTGTGGTACTTTATCACAGCAGTGCTAACAAATTAATATACCTCCTTCCCATGGTACAGAAGGGGGGTGACATACAGGCATCTTAGCTCCCAGGTGTGGTCCTGCCGAAATTTAGACTATCAGGACAAACCCAAGGCAGAGGAGGAGGACGAAGGACATGTGATGTTTGACATACTCTTTGCAGGGCTTTGTGCTTGGCACTTCACATATGGGATCTTGATGTAAGTGCAGCCATTCCCATTTCCCAGATGAGGAAACTGAGACTTAGAAAAGGGAAGTTACTTGCCCCAAGCTCATTTTTTCCCTGCCCCGCGGTGCTATGCAAGGAGCAAACCCAGACTCTAGTTTGAGTTCCAGGGAAGTAAGTTACTCACTTCCCTTCTCTCAGCCTCACTTTCCCCATCCAGAAAATGGGAATAATACTTTCTGCCTCTCAGGTGGTTGTGATTTCTTTTCACATCCCTTCACTCAACAGATATTTACAGAAGGTCTCCTCTGTGTCAGCCTCTGCTCTAGGCCCCAGAGACACAGCAGTGAACGAGATGTGCCCAGTTCTTGCTCCTAGGAGTCTGATTCTTTTGGGTAATGCCTGTCAGGTGCTCCACAGGGGCCAGCACTTAGTGAGTGCTTGGGGAACCTTATGGGGATAAGAATATAGGATTGAATGGGATGGTGTGCAGAATGGGCTTGGCCTGTAAGAGGAGCTCACTTTGGCATTCATTTCTTAATCACTATGCCAGTGATTCTCTACCCTGCCAGTGGTGGTACAGCCTCCTGGACAAGGAAGGTACAAGGTCCTTTGGGCCTGGGCTCCATGTTCTTGGGCACCCAGCAGTCGCTGCTGTAAGCTGCCTCCCCAGAGCCAGCAGAACTCTCTGCCCAGGCCTGGTCTGTGGTCTGTGCAGGCCGCCGAAGGGGCCTTGGGTCTTCTTATAGGGGCTGCATTGCTGCACTGTCCCCCTCAGCTGAGCCTCCTCAGCTCAGCCCCACCCACTCCCTGTCACTGTCCCTGCAGGGGCCAGGCCTGAGCCTGTCCTGGAGGCGCTCCCAGCTGTCCTGATATCCCCTCTGGCTTCTGCAGACACTCCCCCTTTCTGCCCCTGGAGGCCTCCTCTGGTCACCAGCCCCTTCCCCTCCCCTCCAGAGGTGTCCCCAGACATCATCTCTGTGCTATTCCTTTTTCCTGGCAACGGTGGCATTAAATATCAGCCAGGCTCTGCTCAGTGCTGGCAGGGTGGGGGTTCTTGATAACCATGTGGTTTAGGGGAGGGTCTTCTCAAGCTCCTGCATGATGGGCTAGGAATGATTGGGTTGATTGTGGTCTGGCTCTGTTCCCAACTCACTGCACTTCCTTGAGCAAACCTCTTCCTTCCCAGACCTGGGTTTCTCTGAGAGGCAGCCCTCTCTGCTTTCAGCCGGGGGTATGAGGACCAGGGCACACAGGTCCTGAGCAAGTGGCAGCAGCCAATCCCAGGATGGCTGACTTTTTCCAGGTGGGCTCTGGGGATGCAGCGCAGCTATGCCCATCAAGCCTCAGAGAAGCGCGTCCTCCTGTCCTCACTTGCCCTGAGTGAGCCGGGAAAGCTGGCAGCAAGCACTGGGAAGCAGGCTCTGGCGGGCCCTGATGGCTCAGCGGTGGCAGCAGCAGTGGTGGCAGGGGCTATTCTGAGCGCTGGGAGGGGCTGGGGAGCTGAGACTGGAGGAGGGGAAGTGACAGGGAGGAGACAGTCTCTTGAGGGCGAGGGGAGTGCCACCTTAGCCCCGGGTGGGGGGTGTCTGCCGATGGCAGTGTGTGTTGGGAGAATTGTGTGGTGTGTGCTCCTCACTGGGAGTGGGCGAGTCAGCTGAGGTATTGAGGCATGCGCTGGGATTGTTTGAGTGTATGTGTACAAGTTTTGTGATCCAAGCACGAGTTGAGTGGGTAACGCGCACATCCACCTGCCTGTGGGCAAGTGAGTGCGCGTGCACTGGAATGCGAGCATGTTCCAGTGTCCAGGGAGGTGTGAGTGAAGAATATGTGCCTGCATGTGGAAAAACGAGGAATGAAAGGGGAAGCAAGTGGGGGCTTGTTTGTGAACAGAAATGAATGTGGGCGTGGTAGGGAGGGTGGATGGGAGCTTGAGAGCCAGCCTGGGGGAGCGGGGAAGGGTGAGAGCTGGTGGTCAAGGGAACTGTAGGTAGAAACCATGGGTCTGTGTAATTGAGACACAAGCGTGAGGCACGTGGCGAGTGTGCTTGTGAGTGAGCCTACATGTGTGAGCGGCTGTGAGTGTGTGCATGGTAAGAGCAGGTGGGACTGTATGAGCTGGGCAAAGTAGGAAGGGAAGGTATGTACACACAAAAGCAGCAATAAAAACAGCTAGCATTTATTGCGCGCTTATTCTGAGCCTGGTGCTCACATTCATAAATGTATTTAATTTTTCAAATATCCTGTGAAGGTAGTGCTATTATGGTAGTCATTTGTAGAGTAGGAAAGAGTGGCTTTGAGCAGTTATGTATCTTGCCCATGCTCTTAATCACTATGTTATACTGCCTCAAAATGAATGTGTGAGCAGGGGCCAAGTTGTGAGTGAGAAGAATGTGAGTGTGTGCCATTGGGTGTGAGTTTGAATGTGTGTGTGTGTGTGTGTGTGTGTGTGTGTAGGAGCTGAGTGTACCAGACATGGGCCTCAGAGGAGAGTCCAGGCAGCAGCTGTGGACACCGGGCAGGGCAGGGGCCTGAGTCAGCCTCTAGTGCATCTCTGCCAACCTGGCTTCCCAGACCCATGTTGGCAGCCTGTGCCAGGGCCCCCAGCTAAGGATCCTCCCAGCAATGGTATGGCCCTCAGCAGGCCTCTGCCTCACAGCTCAGAGCTGGGCCAGGGCCGCAGACTGGCGGGAGGCTTGCTCGGTCTCCAGGGTCCCTTAGGGGAGCAGCTCCCAGTATGGACTCCCCAGGCATGGAGGGCATACGAGTGATGTGGTGGTGGGGGGTGGATTCAGCAATGATTTCAGGCTCCTTGTGACTCTAAACAGAATCACCTGGAGGATGTGTGTATGTGTATGGATCGGAGGGGTCGTCAGCCAGCACTTCCCATGCCCACCCTTGCCTTGGGATATGACTCAGGCAAATGCCACGCCAGGCATCTGCAAGCAAGTCCTGCTCCCACCCTGGGGAATGAGGAGGGGCTCCTCCAGCCCCACCCCCACCCTCACCCTTGGCCCTGCTCCTCAGGTCCTAAACTGGAAGGAAGAAATTTTTGAGAAAGGAGGCCATCTCCCATGGCCTGGGCTCAGCCCTCCCACTGCCCAGAGACCTTCGCATCTCCAGCGTCCTCAGGAGCAAGGTACTGGCTGGTAAAGAAATCAGGAGCTTGAGATTCCAGTCCTGGCCATGCCACCAGGGGAATCACCTGCTCATTCTGGGCCTCAGTTTCCTGATTGGCAAAATAGGAATATTGTGCTAAAGGGGCACAAGGTGTTGCTGGCAGCTCAACAAGTGGTCTGGGCAAGCAGAGAACAGAAAGTGTTGGGAGTTGGGGCTAGAGAAGGTGTCAGGGCTAAGTTGACATTTGCACGGAGCTTTGAAGAGTGGGAGAATCTCTGATGAGGGCCTTGCGGCGGGGAAATGGTGTTCTAGGCAGAGGGGATAAATACCCTGAGCGAAGGCCAGCAGGTGCAGTGGTGACTGGGAAACCTAGCTCAGCAGCCTGTAGGATGAGGCCACGGACTGCCCAACCTCTCGGCTAGCCTCGCCCTTCTGAGCTCATGTGATGATCTGATTAGCATCTGACTCCTGACTAGTCTATGCAGTAGGGGACCTCATTTGTTTCAGTTGCTGCTCTCACTGTAGAGCCCTGGACAGTGCCTGGTGCGTCAGAGGTGCTCAATAAATATCCAGGAACTGATTGAGAAGCATCTCCCCAAACACTGTGAACTTTAGACAAGTGCTTGTTCCAACAACCGCAGTAAGAACCTCCCACAGACTCTAAAACAATGGTTTGCAAGGTGTGGTCTCTCGTGCATCACCTGGGAGCTGGTTAGAAATGCAAAGTCTGGGGCCCCAACCCAGACCTGCCGAATCAGAAACTCTGGAGTTGGGGTCCAGCAATGTTAACAAGCTCTAGGGGATGATTCTGCTCTGCGTCAAACTTTGAGAACTGGAGCTCTAAAACTATGACCACAGGCACCATGAAGAACATGTTTGCGGATGGAGGAGCGAGAATTGTGGCAAAGCCTAGCCTAGAACCCAGGTATTCTTGACCCATTCTTTTTCCCCAGCTCAGTCCAGGGCACAAAGAAGAGCAGAGTTCGATCATCCTCCCTGTCAGAGTCCTGGAACGGAGACTTGGGAACGTCAGGAGTCTACAAACAGAGGGCGGGGCAGTCCTCTCCGGAGTAGAAGGCGGGGCCAGTGCCCTGAGCCCCGCCCCATCCCGTTGCCCCGGGAAACCCCGGGTTGTAACAATAACCGGTGACGCGCTTCTGGGAGGGATCCTGTCGAGCCCATGGGCAGGACAGTCCAGCCGCGGACCAATGGGAGTGTTAGGGCTCCGCCCCCTAGCCCCCCCGCCTCCGCGCCGAGCAGGGGGCGGGGTCGCGCCAGCCGCTCCGCCCCTGCTCCGTAGGCGGCGCTGTTGCTTGCAGGGGCTGCGGCGGGGTCGCCCCGAGCTGGGAGCTCAGCGCCCGGTCTCCCAGCCCGCGGGCGGGGCACCTGGGCTGGCTGAGGATTCCGCGGCCGCAGGCGAAACGCCCCGCCCCCTCCCGCGTCGGGCCCGCCCCCTCCCCGTCCCCCGCCCATCCCGAGGTGCAGCCGGCGCTGAGCGCGGCAGGCGCGGGAGCTGGCGCTGGAGCCGGAGCGGCGGCGGCGGCAGCATTCACCGGGCGGCGGCGGCGCGGGCTCCGGCACCGGCTCGGGCTCCGGCATGGTGCAATCCGGCCTCGTCCCGGGAGAGCAGGGCCCGTGCGCAGGGCCGGCGCCCGGGGAGCGGCGGCAGCGGCGGTGGCGGTGGTGGCTGCAGGCGCAGGCAGGCGGCAGGTGCTAGAAGCGGGGCTGGGCGAGGTGTGTGCCCGCTGGGCTCCCGGGCCGCCGCCCCCTCACTGCCCAGGTCTTTCCCTCCCTTCGTGCTCCCCAGCGCGTCCAGCCCCCTGCCTCCGCGCCTCGGCCCATGGCGCCCCGCGGCTGAGACAGCGCCGCCAGGGACCCCTCCCGCGGGCCTCCCCGGGGCGTGCAGATCCCGGAGCCGCCCGCCCACCCTCCGCGAAGCCTCCCTCCCCTCCTCGCCCGAGCCGGGCGGGACCATGGCTGCGAAGCTGCGAGCGCATCAGGTGGACGTGGACCCGGACTTCGCGCCGCAGAGCCGGCCGCGCTCGTGTACCTGGCCCCTGCCGCAGCCTGACTTGGCCGGCGACGAGGACGGAGCGCTGGGCGCAGGGGTGGCCGAGGGCGCCGAGGACTGCGGGCCGGAGCGCCGGGCTACGGCCCCGGCGATGGCCCCAGCGCCGCCCCTGGGCGCGGAGGTCGGACCGCTGCGGAAAGCGAAGAGCTCTCGGCGGAACGCGTGGGGGAACCTGTCCTACGCCGACCTCATCACCAAAGCCATCGAGAGCGCCCCGGACAAGCGGCTCACGCTCTCGCAGATCTACGACTGGATGGTCCGTTACGTGCCCTACTTCAAGGATAAAGGCGACAGCAACAGCTCGGCCGGCTGGAAGGTGGGGGCGTCCGGCTGGGGAGGGGGCTGGGGACGCCGACTGGGGCTTCCAGGGGCTGCTAGGTGTGTTGGGCTCCAGGAGGGCCGTCAGAAGGAGGGCTTTTTGGCACCCCCCGGGGTCACAGAGTGTGCGCCCAGGGCGTGGGGCCGGCCAGCGGACGGGCGGGGGCGTACTGGGAGCAGCTGTGTGCGTGCTCCCTTGCGGGGAGGGATGCGGGGTGGGAGGTCTGGTAGGGTGACAAGGGACTGCCGCTTTGAGGCGTCCCCGAGGCACGTCCCCACCCTGTCCTTGGGGGCATAGCAGAGGAACCCATTCCCAGGCCGCGGACATTGGGGAGCCTCCCCCTCCTCCCCCAAGTCTGCTTTGTGTGACTCTTGTTTTACCCTTTCCACCAGGGCACCCTTCTTAGAGCGCTGGAATAATGACTTGGGGCCAATGCCGGCTTTCCCTCCCAAATCTCTATCATTGCGCTTCCTGGAGCTGTCCCCAGGGTGAGGAGTGTGACCATGGGCCCACAGTTCTTCTTGTGGTGCCAGAGTTCACCCTAGGGCACCAACCAGCCTGGAGTGGGGAACTCGGCAGGTGACCTGAGATCTGAGTTCTCCATGGGGTGGCTGCTGCCCCCCTTACCTAGATCAGGATGGGGGTCACTGGTGATGGCCCCTGCTGGTGTGAGGACAGGGTGTTGAGAGCTGGGGATCTGTCCATACCCACCCAGGATGCTTTTTTCCACTTCCCTAGCTGTCGGAGCCCAGATCCATTTAGGGGCTGGGGGAGGGGCAGGGTACCCCAGGGAGGCCTCAGTGCCAGCCAGTGGAAAGGGGGGAGCCACCTTAGGAGGGGACAGGGGCTTGCTTGGATTGTGGCCTCTCGACCCAGCTCCTCCCCTGGCCATCTTGTTGGAGAGTGGGGATAGTCTATGCCTTTGGGGGAGAGGAGGCTGGAGACCCCTCCTGTGCCTAGGAGGCGAACTGTCAGCCTCCCTATGGGAGGAGTGGCCTCTGTGAGGGAGGCATGCCTATGTCAAGGGAGGGGGCTGTGCCCTGTGGTGCCTGTGAGCTGGGTCAGAGGAAGGAGGTGTGCCAGTGGAGGAGGGGAGACTTGTGGGCATGAACAGCTCTAGATACCCAGGGGCAGCATTGTAGAGCCAGGGTATCCTGACCTGGGAGCCCATGGCTCTCAGGGTTAGTGCTGGCAGCTTCTGTCCCTCACCGGCCACTGTGGGGCAGGAACACAGGCTGGAGGAGTAGACCTGGGTCTCTTTCCGCATCCCCTCTCCCATCCCCTTGGGCTCAACCCCCACCAGAACACATTTCCCCCAAGTGTGTCCTGCACTCCCCATGCCCTGGCTTACTCCTCCCTGTAGATGTATTCACTGTCCTCAAGGGTACAGAGTTCAGATGCCTCCTCCAGGAAGCCTTCCCTAAACCCTTTTTAGCTAGCTTAGGACTCCCCTTTCTCTGGCCCTCTCCCTGCTGGTAGCAGGTTTTAGTCATTTGTGTTCTGTCTCATTTCCCCTCTCTACCCTGCTTTTGGAAGACAGTGGCAGTGTCAGAACCATTCTGTGCCCACAGCACCCAGCATACAGTCTTGACACCAAGAAGCCACCAGTGTGTGTCTAGTGAAAGAGTAGGGAACTGAGTGGATGGTGCAGGATGCTGAGGCAGGGGACAGTACATTGGGCCAGAGTGGCTGGGAGGGCTTCTTGCAGGACATGTAGCTCCAGCTGGGCTTGCTGCATCAGGCAGCATGGGGAAAGATGGGAAGAGGGAACATGAGGCTGGAAGTAAGCAGAGAACTGCAGTTCATTGAAGGTCTTGGGGCCAAACACTGTGAGAGGCACCTTGACACATCTGCCTTTAACGCTCTCAGCAGTCCCTGAGGTGGTTTTACTGTGACCAAATGGTCTCCCTCCAGGGTCTCCAAAGCCGGCATTGGCCCCAGGTACAAGGAAGGCCCTGAGGCCCGTATTTAGGAGTGAACTGGTCACACAGTTAGTAGATGGGAAAGCTGGAATCCAGCCTACATGTGTCTCCCTCCAGGGTCCCCAAGCACCTCTGGAACAGTGTCCTGCTGGCGGGGGGGTGGGGGGGTGGGAGGGACACACTGAAGGCTTTGAATATGGGCAGGTATAAATCCTAAAACGTGATTGAGAATATGCTTGGAGATAGTTTAGACCCATGAGTTCATTTCCCAGACGGTGAGACTGAGGCCCTGGAAGGGGATAGGAGTCTTGCCACCGGCATCACTGAGCAGCAGGCCTTGGATGAGGGCCCAGGCCTCCCGCCTGCCCATTGGATGCGGTTTCCACAGCACCACACTGCTAGGGACACACCGATTCTCCCTGTGCCTGGGCTCCCAGTCACGGGCTGTGTGTTGGAGAGGGAGCCTAAGGCGTGGGCTCCTGACCTAGGTTTTGGCAGAGACCACCCAGGCACTGGAAAGGGGCCTGCCTGATGCTGTCCCCTTCCACTTCACCCTCTACCCAGCTCCCCAGCAAGCCTACTTCCCCACTTATTCCTGGAGCTTCCTGCATGGTGCCCTTCCCCATTCCCAGTCGTTTCCTCCAGAGGCCTGGTGAAAGAGCCGTCCCAGCTCCCAGCCAGGCTCAGGTTGACAGACAGAACACCTCAGGTGCCAGGCCTGGGGCCAGGGCCCACTGTTCTCTCCTCATTCCCCTCCCCTACAAATATACTGCAATTGAATCCCTGGGGTGTACCAAACCCTGTGTTAGATGGGGCAGGGGACCAAAGGAGAAGGCATTAATTGGATCTATTTCAGAATAATCAGGACTTAGCCAGTTCCACACCCAGGCTTGTGTTTTGTAGATAGGAAAGGCTGGGGATGGGGGTAGGGAAAGGTAGGGGAAGGGGAGTTAGATACCCTGGGGGAGCCAGGGAGGTCCTCACAGAGGAGGTGGCACTTGGACTGCACTGCCTTCACTGGGGAGGGGAGAATTTGGGAGATAGTCTTCCAGGAAGTATTGACTGCATTCCCAAAGGCAGGGAGGTGAAATTGTGCATGTCTGATTTGGGGACAGTTTGGGTGTGCCAGACTCAAACCAAGGGTGTCCAGGCAAGACAGGGAGGTGGCATGGGAAGGGTGGAATGGGCCAGATCAGGAAGGGATGACATGCTTAGCCTTATCCCTGTGGTCACACCTGTGATGCAGGGAGGTGGCTGAGTGGTGCAGGACAGCAATTGGAGAAGACAAGACCAGCAGCAGGCTTGGGGACACCCAGACTATGCTGAGGCCTAGAGAGGCTGGGCTCATTGCTGGGAACCCAACCAAAGGGGCTGGTCATGTTCCCCTCCAGGCCTAGGATGGGGGCTTGGATAGGCGGTGCCTCTACAGCGTCCCAAGACTGAATATCCAGGTAGAGCCTCCTACTTTCTCTCAGATGCTCCAGTCTCACTTTCCCTTGGCCCTGGACTCCTCTGGGAAGCCTTTCAGGCTGCTCTGAGTTCTGGCACACCTTCCACTTAGTGCCCCTGGAGTTGTTCTGCCTGCTTTTGTGTTTCCTGGCTGCCAGCTCCACTGGGAGCTCCCAGGCCAGGCCTGGGCGCCTCCCATTCCTGTCCCCAGAAGGAGCACTCTGGATGGGAACTTCCCTTCTCTCCCAGGGGCTGGGGCAGCCTGGGTGATGAGAGGTGGGATCAGGAGGGGTGGCACCACCCCCATCTGGCCCAGTAAGTTCCAGGTGGGGTGGGGCTGGAAGAGAGGGACTCATCTGAGAGGGTGGGGGCAGGGTCCTGCTACAGCCCTGAGCAGTGGCTGTCAGCTGAAGCCACCCGCTTCCTCTCCCCCCAGCCTGCTCCAGCAGGGCTCCCTCCTCCTCCTTTGTCCTCCGGGGATCCCCAGCCCCAAGGGCTGATGGGGGTGCGGGAGGAGGCGGTGTGAGCCCCGGTTGGGGGGTGTCCTCACCCCCCTCACTGCATGAGCGGGGGGCTGGCAGCTGCCCGCCTCCTGGGCACGAGCCCGTGCCAGCCGCTCCTGGCACAGTTGCTGGCACGCCCGGCAGACTCCCACGACCACCTGCTCACACCCACCCACGAGCGCTGGCGCGCTTCGGGCCCTTCCGGCTTCCCGGGCCTCCCGGCGCCCCTCCCCCGCCGCCGTGCCCAGCCCCCCCACCCCGCTCTGCTCCCCGCGGACCCCCTCGCTCCCTTCCGGCCCCACGGCGGCCGCCCCCGCCACACCCCCCGCGCAACTTAGGGAGCTGAGGAGGCGGGGCTCAGGGAGGCCCCTGGGGCAGCCACGCGGCGGGAGAGGAGGGGGCCTGGAGGCAGACAGACCGACAGACAGGGTGAGGGCCCCGCCTGCCACCTGGCGCCGCTCCAGCGGGACGATGGCGGGCAGCGCCGTGCCAGGCGGTAATTGCAGACAGACTAATTTAAAGAGATGAGACGGTTATTTTTAACTCGCGTTAAGGTAATGAACGGCGCGGGGGGTTTGCGGGTTCGAAAGTTCAGCGCCCCCAGCCCCCACTTTCTGCGGGTCTGGGGGGCCCCTCTCTGCACGCCCCGAGGGCTCCAGCCAAGGGACTGACTAGAGGGAGCAGGGAGGTTGAGGAACTGGAGAGGCCCTGCCAGAGGGGCGGAGGGCTGAGGGGGCCGTGACAGAGGCGCCCGCCGGTCCAGAGCACTCCCATCAGACCCTCATCGCCACCCAGGCGGGCTGGCACCCCTGTGTTCCAGGTGGGGAAGTGACTTTCCCTGAGGTCGCTACCTGTGAAGTAGTGGACCTGGGAATTGGACCCCAAGCTCGAGCTTTTTCTGTTCCATTGGGTAGGATTGAGGTGGGGCAGGGGCTGGAGGGAAGGGCTTGTTTTCGACTCTGAAAGGCTTCAGGGCTTGTTCCCTGCCGCCTACCTTCCCTGTCTTTGAGTGGCAGCTAGTGGTGACCACCACATGGGGTCCTATCTGTGACTTGTAAGGGTTGAGGGGTAGTCAAGTACTGGGTGGGATGTGGGTGCATCAGCTACAGCAGGGGGAGCCCCTTCCTCACCTCAGTTTCCCTTACCTCCCAGCAGACTCACTAGATCCCCTTCCCAACTCCCGTTTACCCAGAGTTGGGGGTGCCTCGGAAACAGGAGAGGGTGGGGCTGGGCCTGCCTATGCATTGGTGCCTGCTCCCTCACGTTCAGATCAGACTTGGGTTCTCCAAAGAGCTGCAGAGTCCTGGAACCCAGTCTCTGCACCCCTGACTCCTCCCCAGCTCAACCCCCTCTGACACACTCCCAGCGACTGGAAACTCACCGTCTCTGGGATTGCCCATTCTGTTGCTAGACAAGTCTTTTTTTTTTTTTTTTTTTCTGAGACAAGGTCTCACTCTGTCACCCAGGCTGGGGTGCAGTGGCAGAGATCACTGCAGCCTCGACCTCCTGGGCTCAAGTGATCCTCCCACCTCGGCCTCCTGAGTGACTAGGACCATGGGCACAGGCCATCCCACCTGGGCTAATTTAAAAAAGATGTTTTTGTAGAGACAGGGGTCTTCCCTATGTTGTCCAGGCTGGTCTTGAACTTCTGGGTTCAAAGGATCCACCTGCCTCAGCCTCCCAAAGTGCTGGGATTACATCGTGGCATGAGCCACCATGCCTGGCTGCTAGGTGAGTCTTAAAGCTTTTAGGACTTATTTCCTTCTCCCCAGCAGTACCCCATCCCCTTTCAGCATCACACAGGGTTTTCTAGTCCAGCCCTTTGGTGTCATTTGGAGTTAGCTGTGGAGTCAGGAGTAGGTGAGGGGCTGGACAGAACACCTACCTGTAGGGAACCTGATCCATTGCATGTGTGAGCTGGAGCAAAGTTCTCTCCCATTCTGGTTCTCAGTGTTCTCATCTGTGTCCAAAGGGCCTTAACTCAGTCTCTTACCGGTTCAGTGCCGTAACTGACAAGCACACTGGTTCTAGGAGCCATGAGGGGTTCATTGGAAAGAGGGCACATAGTACTGAGAGGACTTCTCCCAGGTGGACACATGTGAGTACAGGTGTGGGTGGACTTGACTTTGGGACTCCTGTTTAAAGATGCCTGTCCTGTCTGTGGCAGTACCCAGGTGGCAGATATGCTCTGGGTACAATGAAAGGAGTGTTTATGGCAGTTCCAGCTGGCCCCCAGAGCAGGCAGATGGGGGTTCAGGGTGTTGGGTGGGCATGAGCTCAGGCTCTGGGACCTGGGTAGGGTTCTCAGGGGGACAGCTGGATCTGGAGCACCCCCCTTCTCCTGGCACCCTGGTTACCATAGAAACCAACTCCTGTTTGGGAGGGTTTGGCTGTTTGCTGCCTCTCCCCACCCCCCAACCCATATGTGGAGGTGGGAGGGGGGCCAGGTGGCGTGTGGGGGACACCCTCCCCCAGGGGCCTCCCTCTTTGCAGAGAGAAACCTTTCTGGTCTCTAAGTGGGGGTGCTTCTTATGGAAAGGAGAAAGAGAGGTAAGAGAATTAATGTTTGGGTGCTAGGCAGTCAGTTGGGCAGTTCACATAAATTCTCTCATTTCATCTTCCCTGGATCCCTCTAGGTACACATTAATAACCCCATTTTGCAGTTGAGGAAACGGAGGCCCGGAAAAATGAGGTCATTTGGCCAAGGCAGCATAGCTGGGACAGGCGGAGCCTGGATTTAGCCGCGGACCCGTCTGTCTCTGCCACATTTCTGCATCTCCCCATGCTGGTGCTGTCAGCTCCACACGCCAGCCAGCCTTCCTGCCCCCAGGCTCTCCTGCTCCAGAACCCTCCTGGGCTCCTTGGTTCACCTGGAAGTCAACCAAGTACCCAAACTGCTCTGCTGGGACCCATAGGCCCTCAGCCCACCTTGTCCAGGCCCTGCCCTTCCTCCCACTTTTCCTGCTTCCTCTGATCTCAGGTCGCCCTGGCATCTGCACCTTCACACCTGACACTGGAATTCTCAACCCACACCCCACTGCCGTTGTCACACGGTCACCAAGGCACCTATTGATTCTCCTTGGCTGATCCCTCGGGATACCCCTCAGAAACTAGGTGGGGTCTTGGGTGGTTTGAACAAAGCCCTACCTTCCAGGTGATTCTGGAACGCAACACTTCTGATTGAGAATTCCTGCCTCAAGTCCTTAGTTGTTTGCAAACCTGGCTGATGATCAGAGTCACCTAGAAGCTCTGACAACACAGGCTTCCAGTCCCCAGCTCAGATCCTCTATATCAGCATGGGCTCTGGAATCTGTGTATGGCTGGTGACAGGTCATTCTGAACTGATGCCTTAGAGGGTGGTTTCCTCACCTCCTGCCTGTCCCCCTGTCTCTTCCTCCCAGCATGGACCAGCTTCTACTCCAAGCAGGCTGCCCAGGTTGAGGCTACGCCCCTCTTCCTCACTCCTTCTGGGTCCTCCAGAGTTCTGAACCCCATGCAGTCAGCACCCAGGGACTGGGCCACCACGTCAGCATCATGCAGCCACCCCATGGCTTAGAAATCACACTGTATAGGACATGGATGAAGAGAATGGAGCCACAGCCAGGGCTGATATGCTTTGCTACTAGGAGCCTTTGCTGCAGGAGGGAGGGAGCCCCTGGGGACAAGGCCAGAGTCTGTGTGGTTGTAAATACTCAGGAAGCCTCTCTGGAACTGGAATGGTGAAGAAACTAAAAGTCACAGCCGGGCGTGGTGGCTCACGCTTGTAATCCCAGCACTTTGGGAGGCCGAGGCGAGCGGATCATGAGGTCAGGAGATTGAGACCATCCTGGCTAACACGGTGAAACCCCGTCTCTACTAAAAATACAAAAAATTAGCCGGGCGTGGTGGCGGGCACCTGTAGTCCCAGCTACTGGGGAGGCTGAGGCAGGAGAATGGCGTGAACCCGGGAGGTGGAGCTTGCAGAGAGCTGAGATTGCACCACTACACTCCAGCCTGGGCGACAGAGCGAGACTCCGTCTCAAAAAAAAAAAAAAAAAAGTCACAGCCCCTGCTCTCAGAGAGCAGAGAAGAGGGAGAGAAGAGGGTCATGTGTATAGCTGCTTAATCCAGTCCTGGGGCCTTAGTAGGACACTTAAGGCCTGGCCACCAGCCCTAGTCAACCTTTCCAGCCACCCTCCCATCTTCTGACCCTTGCCCTAGCCACACTGAACTATTCCAGCTCAGGATTCAACCTGCCATGTGCCATTACGTACATTCTTTCATTTAATTTCCCAGCAACCCTGTGAAGCTGGTAGGGTTACTTTCCCCATTTTGCAGGTGAGGAAACAAAGAATGAGAAAAGTAAGCAGCTTGAACAGTACCCTACTCTAAGTGGCAGAAACGAAACTCTCCAGGACTAACTCCACCCTAGCCCAGGGCTCTGACCTTCCTCCCCTCTGCCCCTTCCCCCTCCCAATCATTGTCTCTCTGCTATCCCTTGGAGTTTGGCCCTCAGGCTTCTGGCCTGGGGAATGGCCCTGGGGTCCCTGGCTCCCATTCCCAGATAGAGAGCACCCTGAAGGTGGGGGCAGACCAGCCTGATGTTCCCCTGGTCTGCAGCCCCCAGGGCTGAGGCAGCTCCCTCCATTCCGTGATCCAGGGCTACATCCACTGGGTACCTATTATGCAGGGCTGCTGGGTGGGGACTGGACTAGCTCCTTGACCTTGAGATCCCAGCCTGCAGGGGTCAAGCTAGGGAGATAAAAGGAGGACACTGACTCTGATGCAGGGTAAAACCTGCTCAGGGTCATGATGGAAGGCCAGATAATGAGCTGAGTGTTTGGAGGTAGAAGAGGGGAAGGGAGACAAAGCAGACAAAGAGGGTCAAGGCCTCAGGACTGTGTGGGGAGCCGCAGAGGGTCTGGCTGTGCTTATGTGGGGCCCAGCAGGCGTTGAAACTGGGAAAGCAAGTGAGTGGCCTTGAAGAGCAGCATCCCACGCTCTGGGCTTCTCACTGCGAATTCTCCATGGGAATGACATGGGCAGAGGTCACTCAAGGGTGCTGTGGGGAGTGGACAGGAGGGAGAGGCTGGCCCAGGTGCCCAGTGTGGGCCTGCTACTGGGGTCCAGGGGAGAAAATGAGCCTGAGATAGGGCAGAGGCCCAAAGAGTCCCAGATATCAGGCCTGGCATAGGCAGCACCCCTTGGTGCCTTGAGAATCCCTTAGGTGAGGCCAAGCTGTGTGGTTAGGAGTCTTGGAGGCAAACAGGCGGGCATAGCCTAGCTCTACTTACCCTCTGCGTAGCCTTGGGCAACTGAGCCTCAGTTTCTTCCTCTATAAAATAGGATAATAATAGGGTCCTTCCTCTAATGCTTCCCTTTCTTGTCCCTGAGACCGAGGTGTCAGATATTCAGGATGTCCAAGTTCCCTCCTGCCCTTAGGTGGGCCCACTGCTTTCTAGCCTCCAGAGCCTTCTCCATAGCCTTGGATGACAAGCAGGACAGGTTTTAGGCACCCCATTTTCACAGATGAAGGACATGTCTTGTTCAAGGTCACCCTTGAACCCAGGACTGCCCGCCCCTGGACATTGGCTCCTCTTTGCCCCACTGGCAAGCTGTGTGACCTTGGGCATGGCCCTTCCCTCTTTGGCTCTGAGTTCCCCTCCCCCAACACTCTGGGAAGCTGTGAGGCCTCTTCCTTCTCTCTCCTGTCCCCTCCCTCTGTCCTCAGCTGGCCTCCTCCTCCTCCTCTTGTAACCTGAGCTGGGGCCCTGGGGGAAGGGGCTTGCCCTCTTCCTGAGGCACCTGCCAGCTGA